>NT_187660.1:3386688-3688492 GCF_000001405.40 Homo sapiens | reverse complement strand
GCTGCTGCTGGAGACAGCTCCTCCGCTCCTGGCGGTGGGATGGCGGGGCAGCCCTGGGTCCCAGTGCCGCTGACAGCCAGGTCGGACCTGAGCACGAGACCCTGCACCAGAGCGGGGACATTCAGGCTCTGTGGACTTCCTGAGTGTCTTCTCCACATTGAGCCATCACATGTTTCCTGAATGGAACTGTTTCTCTGGGCCTTTGTCACTGGGACCACTTGGGAACCCTCTGACTGAGTCTCAGCCCAGCCTCATCTCCACGGCATCTGAGGTGCCCCAAGCACACTGCTTTCATCTCCCACCCCTAGAGGTGCCCCTGTGGGGCAGGGTCCCCAGCCAAGAGCTCCTTCCAACCTCCCCTCCTCATCTAAACCTCATCTTCCTTTCAGAGGCTGGCGGGGGCACATCTTCTCCCAGAGGGCTCTCCATCCATGTAGGCAAGGGAGCAGCAGAGCCTGGAGCTGAACCCGCATCTGTGGCTCCCATGCCCGGCCCCCACAGCCCTTCTTTGGGCCCCCTGACAGCCTCGATCAGAGGTTGTGTCCTGGACATGCAGTGTCTCCCCTACTGGAGTGGACATTGGTGCTGCTCACCCAGACCCCACTTCTCCTCGGGCACGCTCTGCATTCTGCGAAGTGGATGGCAGCAGGATCTGCCTCCAAACGTGCTCTTCTGACATGGAGATTCTGGCAATTCTGCTGAGAGTTGGGGTTTCCTTTCTTCCTCTTGACTCTAGGCAGGCTTGCGTGCCACTCCAGGTAAGTGATGCTATGTGGCTTCTGAGGCTGGGTCACAAATGGTGAGACAGTGTCTGCTGGTTCTCTTGGGACTGCCCTTGGAGACTCAGCCCTCATGCTGAAGTGGGCCATGCAGCCAGAGGACAGCTAGAGACCTTGGAGCTGCACTGCTGCGTTCAGGTCCCTGCACCAGTGTGGCCTTGGGCAAGTACCGCATCTCTGAACCTCAGTTTCCCCATTTGTAAAATGGGCACAATATAGTCTTTCCCGCTGAGTGTTATTAAGAGGATCAAATTCCCACATGAAGGGACCAGCCCAGCCCCACACACCAGGTGGCCCCCACTCAATGCTGGTTCCTGCTCCACAGCACAGGCTCTCACCCCAAGCACAGGCCCTGTGCCCAGAGGGCGGGATGCAAGCCTTAGGCACACCCTTGACCCCTGCTCCCCTCAAAGCAGGCAGCCCACTACCCACTTCACCCCTACCCGTGCCTTGCCCTGACTCAAGCCAGCTGGGATGTTACACCCCACCCGGGGGACAAAAAGCAGGCCCAAGGGACCCTGGGCAGGTGGGCAAGGACTTCGTGAAAAGAGCGTAACTTTGCAGTCTAGAAGATTTTGTCTCAGCCGGGTGCAGTGGCTCACACCTGTAGGCCCAGCACTTTGGGAGGCTGAGGTGGGTGGATCACCTGAGGTCAGGAGTTCGAGACCAGCCTGGGCAACATGGTGAAACCCGGTCTCTACTAAAAATATAAAGTTAGCTGGGCGTGGTGGCGCATGCCTGTAATCCCAGCTACTTGGTAGGCTGAGGCAGAATAGCTTGCTCCCGGGAGGCAGAGGTTGCAGTGAGCCAAGATTGTGCCATTGCACTCCAGCCTGGGCAACAAAGCAAAACCCCATCTCAAAAAAAAAAAAAATTGTTTATTTATCTATCGACGGGACACATTGCAGCACCTGCCTCAGAAGGTCACCTGGTGACATCAAAAAGATGATAGCGATGCGACGCTTCCAGGTGCTCAAACCCAAATCTCGGGGTCAGCTTATCTTGCCCCTCTCTCCCACATGTCACAGCCATCGCATCCAGCCAGCCAGACCCTCACAGGCAGTCAACCAGCACAACTGACTCTGGTCCGAGGCATTGTCCCTTCTCTCTTGGATCTGCCCTCTGCCTGGTCTCTCGGCTTCCACCCCCTCCCTCGACCCTCCTCCACCCTCCTCCACCTTCCACACAGCAGAGTGATCTGAGTAAAATCCAAAACCCAAGTTGGGGCCTGCCACCCCTCTGCTAGAAGCCCCAAGGCTCCCCATTTCCCTGCAGGGCACCTCACCCCCAGCTCTGACCTCCCTGTTCTGCTCCAGCCCCCTGCCTTGCCGCTGTCCCAGCTCTGGGACCAGCCACCTTCAGCTCTGGACCTGGGATTTGAGTTCTCCCTGCCTGTGGCACACTTCGTAAGGCTGGCTGACTCACTTTTTAAGGCCTTTATTTAAATGTCATCCACTCATGGAGACCTCTCTGAGCAACCTAATTAAACTGCACGCCACCCCCTCCATGTGGGGTCCCCTTCTGTCCTTCACTGTTTTCTATTTAGTGGTTGCCATCTGACACAATGCTGAGGATGGTTTCTTGCCTCTCCCCAGTTAAAATACAAGCATGAACATGAAGGCAGGGCTTTCCTGTCATCAGTTTCACCGCTCTCGCTCCGTGGATTCCCTGCAGAAAATGGATTTGGGAATACCTTTTCCCCATTGAGGAAGGCCAGGTGGAGGGAGAGCAGAGTCGGGGTGGAACAGGAGTAGGACTCGTCTCCTGGCAGGCTGTCAAGAACCCCATGGGGAGGCTCCAGTCTGGCTTGGCCTGAGACTATGTGCTGTGGCCTCTGTGGGTCCAAGCAGTGCTGACGGCAGCCTGAGGGTTTGAGTCACCCTCCCTAGTGGGAAGCCCCTGGGTGAAGAGCAGAAGTCAAGTTCAAAGGGGGCAGCTAAAGCTTTGAAGAGCCACTGAGCAAAGGGGCCTAGGAAAGCAAAAGGCACCAAGGTGTGGGCCCAGCATGGCAGAAGCCCCGGAGCCCAGAGTCAGGCTCTCAGCCCCTCCCTGTGGCCTGCCCTGGCAGATCGGGCAAGACAGGTGTGCACATGCACAAAAAAGCCCTAAGCCAGAAGACCCTCCCTCCCAGTGGCTGGTGCCCCTCTGCCCCACAGCGACCCCACCCTGGCACATCCACCCAAGCTGAGCCAGCTCTGACTCTGAGACCACACCCCTTGTCCCGCACCCAGCCACGAGGCGGAGGTTAGTGCAGGTTTCAGCACCCTTGGACCTCATCTAGGAGTAGAGGGGGCAGGCCTAGGCCTGGACCTGGAGCAGTGGGTGTCAAGGAATCCCCTGTGTGGGCAGGATGGCTCTGGGAAACCAAGGGCAGTGTGTGGTGGTTTGGCACAGCTGACTGCAAAAAACTCAGAGATAGGCTGGGCACGGTGGCTCACACCTATAATCCCAGCACTTTGGGAGGCCGAGGTGGGTGGATCACCTGAGGTCAGGAGTTTGAGACCAGCCTGCCCAACATGATGAAACCCCGTCTCTACTAAAAATACAAAAATTAGCTGGGCTAATCCCAGCTACTCAGGAGGCTGAGGCAGGAGAATCGCTTGATCCTGGGAGGCAGAGGTTGCAGTGAGCCAAGATTGCGCCATTGCACTCCAGCCGCAGGGGGAAAACTCAGGGATGCAATTCCCTGCCATGTGGGTTGCCCCCACATTTGTGGGGCTAAGGGGCCCCTTGTTTTCAGAGGGAGCTCAGCTCCTCTCAGAGGGTGATTGCAACTTTGCCCAGTGGAGTCTGCTCTGCTTCTCCATCTGGTGCTGACATCCTCTAGGGCAGCCAGCACCGTCCTCTTCACTGAGGCAGGATAAGGGGCTCGCACTCTGCCAGGGAGACACAGGATGCTTGGGGCTGTGTGACACTGAGCTTCCCTGGGCACAGGCTCCAGGGAAAACCCAGTAGATGACACAGCCCCGCCCAGTGGGGCAGATCAAAGGGAGCTGTGTAGGCGAGCACTAGGCGACTGTAGGGCTTGCCCACGGCTTCTTGGCCTGGCTGCAGGCTCTTCCCACCCACAGAGTCCTATAGCTGCCCTGGGGGAGAGGGAGGAGGGCACCGTGCATGGTTGACTCTTCCTGCTTCTCAGCTCCAACAGCCTTGGCCTCCTGCTTGATCTTTCCAAGGCCTGGGGGCCTGCTCCAAAGTCAGACACTCCTGATGTGGTACTGTGCCTGGGGACAAAGGTGGCTGGGAGGGCTCGGAGCCCTGAGCTTGAGCCCTGGGATGGAAGGGGTCGCTGCTTCTCCACTGGGGTCCAGGAGCCAGTGGGCTCTTGCTCTGGGAGTACCCTGGGGGCCAGGCAGCAGCACCAAGCATGCCCCTGAAATAGGCGCTGGCCAGAGCCTGGGTGTAGGCTGCGGGGTTGGCCCCAGGGCCAAGTTGGCTCCCTCATTGCCCACCACGCTCTGCTCCCAGCCACTACACACGAAATGCCAGCAGCTGTTTTGGTTTGGCAGCTTCTGCTGCCACCCCCATACGCCTTCTAAACTCGTCAGTGCTGCCGTGTCTGGTCTGTTGTGTCCTGGTGCAGCCCTGTCCCCTAACACCTGGGCTGTTTCCTTGCTGTGATGGCCATGGTTGTGCCTCTGAGGCCTGGGCTCCTTTCAACTAGGGTTGGAGAATCTCTGAAAACACCACCAATTAAGGCCCCGCCCGAGCAGGAGCATCCTGTGCTTTGTGGTGGGAACCTGTCCAGGCAAAGGCCTTATCCGAGAGATCAGGTAAATTACTGGGTAACTATCGGAGCCTGAGCAGAGACGCAGGCCTAGCAGGCTCCTTATTAGGCTAATTACTGGCCCCGGACTGCGTAAAACCCAAGATAAACTCAGGGTCGACCCGGAGAGCAGCTGGGAGGTGGTGTTTTCCTGGAGAGGCACTTGCCAGAGGCCCTCAGGCTGAGGCACAGGAGAGAAAGACTGAAGAATTCCCCAGGGAGAGTGGATCACCACCCCCCCCCGCCGCCACCCCCAAAGACCAGAGAAGTCTGCAGACCCCACATCCAGCTCCTAACTCTGACCCCCTCCACGTCCTCATCTGTGTAGTTCATCCCTCTGACATTTATGATGTGCCAGGAGCTGCTGGCCACTGGGTATGGTTGAAAATAACATAATAATAATAATGTTACAAAATCAGCCTCACACTGTACAAAGAGTAGCTCATTTAGTCCTCAACAAATCCATCTTCATTTTATAGATGGGGAAACTGAGGCTCAGGGATGTTAAAGGACTTGCTAGCAGCTGCTAGAGCTGGAAGCAAGAGGCAGCCCTGACCCCAAAGGGGAAACAGGCCCAGGAACTTCCCAGCGCCCCTCCCTTGAGGACAGACAACGTTGGCAGGCCACGGCCCCTCCCACTCCGAGGCGTCTGGACCTCTTGGCCTGCAGCCTTTGCAAGTGCGCGTCACTGAGGAGGAGAGGGCGCCACCGCCCCAGGCCTGAGAATGGTCGGCAATGGGCGGGGTCGGCGGCTCTCTGGGCTCGTAATTATTCTCCTGGTAATTATGCTGGCGCTGGGCGTGGCCTGAGCGGAGCGCCGGGAAGCCTGCCCACCCTGCCACGTGCACCCCTGCCCTGCCCTGCCCTGCCCGCCCCACCCCACCCCACCCCGCCCCACCCTGAACCTGGACACCCTCTTGGCCTCAGGGCCTCAGGCTTGTTCCCAACCCCCCTTTGCCCATTTCCGCCTGGGAAATGACCCCTGGCAAATGTTCCTGTGGCAAAGTCAAACGAAAAACCTGGACTGGAGGACGGAAAGTGTCCTCTGGGCTCAGGGTAGGGACAGGCACCAGCCCCTGAGCCACTGTTGAAACCACCACTGCAAAATTATAACCCAGACAGTGAACGAGATCTGACTTAACTAACTCCATCTTGCTTCTAACCTCCAAGCTGTCCTTGTTCATTCCTAGGTGTAAGCTGAACTAACTTTGGGAGAAAACTTGGTTTATAGTTTATAGTTTAAAACAAAGACTATAACATCCCTTTCCCAAAGCAGACCTCCTTCCTGCCTAGGGACTAGACTGCCTTTGTAGCTAGGACTAATAAATTAGCCAAAAAATTAGAAATTATGGTTTAGGAGTCACGCAGCTGGAGGCTACAAGATTCTGACTTTCCCAAGTTGCTTCTGGGGATAACATCACTATTGTAAAGCCTAAGATCCCTAAAATCAGTGCTTGAGATATTTTGCAGACCCTGTACTCCATGGATCAGCTGGCACCACCCAGGTCAATAAACTGGCTCATCTGATCTTGTGGCCCCAAACCAGGAACTGACTCAATGCAAGAAGACAGCTTCGACTCCCTATGATTTCATCACTGACCAATCAGCACTCCCAACTCACTGGCTGCCCCCCAACCACCAAATTATCCTTAAAAACCCTAGGCCGGGCGCGGTGGCTCAAGCCTGTAATCCCAGCACTTTGGGAGGCCGAGGCAGGCAGATCACAAGGTCAAGAGATCAAGACCATCCTGGCCAACATGGTGAAACCCTGTCTCTACTAAAAATGCAAAAATTAGGCCGGGCACGGTGGCTCATGCCTGTAATCCCAGCACTTTGGGAGGCCGAAGTGGGCAGATCACCTGAAGTCGGGAGTTTGAGAGCAACCTGACCAACACAGAGAAACCCCGTCTACTAAAAATACAAAATTAGCCGGGCGTGGTAGCGCATGCCTGTAATCCCAGCTACTCAAGAGGCTGAGGCAGGAGAATCTCTTGAACCCAGGAGACGGAGGTTGCATTGAGCCAAGATCGCGCCATTGCACTCCAGCATGGGAAACAAGAGCGAAACTCCGTCTCAAAAAAAAGAAAGAAAGAAAGAAAAACAAAAAAACCAACCCTCCCAGGGCACGTGTATCACAGGCCCTGAGGGGACAACAGCCAGAAAAGCTGGTGAATGTCCAGTAGGCAGAGGATGGAGGATCAGGGACTCTGAGGCAGACTTCTTGGGCCGGAATCTCAGCTCCACCACCAAGCAGCAGCATGACTTGGGAAACTCAATTCCACATACTTTGGGGGTTTCCCTCCCCCATTTTTATTTTATCAAATTAATTTTGATGTGATATTATTAAGTGAAATTAAATGTCAAAACTGTAGATGAAATGTTGCCATCGGGGAAATGCAAATCAAAACCACAATAAGGTACCACTTCACATCCGTGACGATGGCTATGAACAAAAAGGAGGACAGTAACAAGTGTTGGGGCATGTGGAGAAGCTGGACCTCTCATGGATTGCCAGTGGGAATGTAAAATAGTGCAGATGGAAACAGTCTGGCAGTTCCTCAAAACTAAACATAATGTTGCTACATGACCCAGTAATCCCACTCCTAGGTGTATACCCGAGAGAAATGAAAACTTATGTCCAAAAATAAATAAATAAATAAATAAGGAAAAAAGAAAACTTATGTCTACACAGAAGCTTGTACACACATGTTCATAGCAGCAGCATTCATAGCAGCTAAGGAGTAGAAATAACCCAAACATCCATCAGTGGATGAATGGACTTTAAAAAAATAGTATATCCATACGACAGAGTATTATCAAGCCATAATAGTGAGTAGGGGCCGGGCACAGTGGCTCACGCCTGTAATCTCAGCACTTTGGGAGGCAGAAGTGGGCAAATCACTTGAGGTCAGGAGTTCGAGACCAGACTGGCCAACGTGGTGAAACGCCATCTCTACTAAAAATACAAAAATTAGCCGGGCGTGGTGGCGGGCATCTGCAATCCCAGCTACTCAGGAGGCTGAGACAGGAGAATCGCTTGAATCCAGGAGGTGGAGGTTGCAGTGAGCCGAGATTGCCTCACTGCACTCCAGCCTGGGCAACAGAGGGAGACTCCCTCTAAAACAAAACAAAACAAAACAAAGGGAGTGGAGTACTAACACATGATACAACATGGATGAAACTTAAAAATTTATGCTAAGTGAAATGAGACAGACACAAAAAAGCCACATATTGTTTGATTACATTTATATGAGATATTCAGAAGAGGCAAGTAGATGAGTGGCTCCTAGGGCCAGGGAAAATGGGGGAATATCGGGGTGATAGCTAAAGGGTACAGGGTTTTATTTTGAGACAATATTCTATAATTAACTGTGGTAATGGTTGCACGTCTGTGAATATACTAAAGGCCAATGGATTACATACAGTAAATGGGTGAATTATATATGTGAATTATATCTCAAAAAAGTTATAGAAAAAATGCACCTAGAGAAGTCTCACTTCCACCTCCATCCTCTCTGCCCATATCCACAGGACTTCTTTTTGAAAAAATAAGCAAAATCTATATAAAATACACACCCACACTCTTTAAAATACTCCCTACTTTCTTTCTTTTCTTTTTTTTTTTTTTCTTGAGACGGAGTCTCGCTCTGTCACCCAGGCTGGAGGGCAGTGGCCCAATCTCGGCTCACTGCAAGCTCCGCCTCCCGGGTTCAGGCCATTCTGTCGCCTCAGCCTCCCGAGTAGCTGGGACTACAGGTGCCCGCCACCACGCCAGGCTAATTTTTTGTTTTTGTATTTTTTTTTTAGTAGAGACGGGGTTTCACCGTGTTAGCCAGGATGGTCTCGATCTCCTGACCTCGTGATCCGCCTGCCTCAGCCTCCCAAAGTGTTAGGATTTCAGGCGTGAGCCACCGCGCCCGGCCAAAATACTCCCTACATTCTTACTCAGGTAGGATTGTCTTCCATGTACTGCTTGGCACCTTCCTTTTTTTCCTTTAACTTAACATTGCACCCCAGCGCTGTCAGCATCTCTCTTTGGCCAGTGCACAGCGCTTCTCTGTGGAGATGTTAGCCTCATGGACCGCGCCCCCAGGAACAACCTTGCCTGCAAGTTGCTTCCTGTCTGTCCAGGTGATCCCTGTGGGAGCCCCCTGAGATGCAAGGGCAAAGGCAGTCCAGGCTTGGCAGATGCGGCTGCCTGTCCCCCCACCTCTCCACCCACCACCCTCGCAGACAGAAGCCCGACCCGGTGCCCTCCAGCCAGGCAGCATGTCCTTGACTCTCCATAGAGGCCTCTGTTTGCTCTGTGAACAGGGCTGTGGTAGTAATGAGACGGGAGGATGGATACAGGTCCAGCACTCAGAACGATGCCTGGGCCATAATGAACATGATCTCAGTGGGAACTCTCATCATCACCCACCTCACCTTCAAGGCCAAAGCAGCGATGCCTGGCTGGGAAAGCTCTGTCTTTGCTTCCTCTCTGGTCTTGGAGCACCGAAGCGGCTGCAGCTGCGACCGCAGAGCACAGCGGGGGTTGAGCCCTGCGGAGTGGCGTGTAGGGAGTACTAGACGAGTAGTGGGAGGACCGAGGGACAAGGGTGCTGGGATGGGGCTGGATGGCCGGCACCCTGCCCTGGCTCTGAAACCCCCTGGCGGGTGGGTGCATCCTAGGTCTGAGGGGGACGGGGGGGGGACGGGCCGGGGGTGACGGGGTAGGTACTCTTTAGCCGGGTTTAGGGAAGGCCTCTCATGGGGGAGCAGTGGAGGAGAGGCGTGCAGGGAGTGCGCAGCACACCTCCGTCACCTCCATATCTGGACCGGGAAATGCAAAGGCCGAAGGCCGGGCCCGGCGGCTGCTTACTGAACGCTGCATGCCGCTAGGAGGTCCCAGTAGCCCCAGCAGGGTGGGGGCTGGCAGGAAGGTAGGGGCAGGCCGAGTTCTGGGAGAGACGCAGGTGCCAGGTGGGGTGGGATCTAGAGGCCCCTGGAGCAAGAGGGGAAGCCGCTGTGGGTTCTCCTTGGAAAGGGCTCGCGCGCCCGCCTCCAGGCTTGGAGGCTCTCCCAGGCTGCGGTCGGTCTCCGTCCAGGCGGGTATGGTGGGGCTGGAGCGAGCGGTGCTGCACAGTCGTGGAAAGGGGCTCTGCTTTGCAGGTGGAGCCGGCAGAACTTGCCTCCATGCTCTCCAGGCGTAGCGGACCTGGCTGGAGCCGGACAGTGCACCTAGAGCCGTTTCGGACCGGCTCACGGCAGCCGCCTAGACCTCCCGGAAGCGTCGCGGGCGGGGGCGGGGGCGGGGTGGGGGGCAATCACAGAAATGGGTGTGGGGCCCCAGATGGGGCTCCTGGCCCAGCCCCGAGCTGACCCTTGTCTTGGGCCGGTGCAGGACCCCCATTGTTAAAATACCGCGAGCAGACTCTACTGAATTTCCAAAACGTCACCCAAGTCACTGGCTCCTTCCTCCGAGCTATTTCTAGGGCGGACCCCCAGGACAGGCCTGAGGGGTCAGGGAGGAAGAGCCGAGTCCCGTGGACACCCTGCAGGCCCCTTCAGGGGCGGGACAGTCGCGCGCGTAGAGGACCCAGGATGCGCCGTCAGGGTCCTGAGGAGCGCAGGGGACCCGGGGAAAAGGACGCGGGTGAGAGCTGGGAGAGCAGGGCGGGGCCACATCAGGAGGGGCGTGGCCTGGGCGGCTCGAGGCTCAGCACCGCCGCCCCGTCCCCGCGACCCGTGACTCGGCGCCCCAGCCCGCGGCCAAAGAGGTGGCGTCTACCCCAGTCTCACTGATAGTCGCTGCCCGCGGTACATGAGCTCACGTGAGGAGAAGAAACTTAGAATGACAGAGTGCAAAGCACAGTGACAATCCTTATCGTTCTCTCCCGGACCACAGCATCATCCTTGTGTCATCTGAGCTCGCCGTGGGCTGGGGGAATCGCAGTGGGCAGAGGGCGCTGCGAAGTGGAGACGACGTACTGCGGCGGCCGCGAGGGCCTGGGGCTGGCCGGGGTCCGAGGGGGATGGAGACCGCGACCCGGGGGTCGGGGGCGAGTGGGCAGCTGGCGGGTCTGGCCGCTCGCTTCGGAGGCAGTGAATGGCCCGGCCGGGCTCGGCGCCCGCCCAGCCGAGGGCTCCCCCGCCTCCGGCCCAGCCGTCCCGGCTGCCCTCCGAACGCGGCAGTCCGCGCAGGAATCCTCTGCCTTCCCGGGGCCTTCACAGATCCTCCCCCGGGCCGGCAGTTCACGAATTCCAGGAACTTACTAGAGCCTGGGAAGCCCGGGAAGCGCCTCCCGCCGGGCTCCGCCTCCCCCAACCCAACTCCGCGGACTCCTCGAGGGCTCCTGACTGCCTGAGGAGCGCAGTAACACCCAGCCCACACAGCCCCACACAGCCCCCCACAGCCCCCCTACAGAGCCCCCACACAGCCCCCCAACAGTGCACCTAGAGCCGTTTCGGACCGGCCCACGGCAGCCGCCTAGACCTCCCGGAAGCGTCGGGGGCGGGGGCGGGGGCGGGGTGGGGGGCAATCCCAGAAATGGGTGTGGGGCCCCAGATGGGGCTCCTGGCCCAGCCCCGAGCTGACCCTTGTCTTGGGCCGGTGCAGGGCCCCCATTGTTAAAATGCGGCGAGCAGACTCCACTGAATTTCCAAAACGTGGAGTTTTGGAAATTTGGAGCACAGCCCCCCAACAGAGCTCCCCCCTCCACAGCCCTACAGCCCCACAAACCCAGCCCCCACAGACCCCACACCCAGGTCCCCGCACTCAGCCCCGCACAGCCCCACAACCCCGACACCCACAGCCCCACACAGCCTACACAGTTCCACACCCAGCCCCCTTCAGCCCCCCACAGCCCAACACCCAGCACCCACCCCCACAGCCTCCTCAGCCCTATACCCAGCCCCCCCACAGGACCACAGAGCACCCCCAGAGGCCCACACAACCCCCTCAGCCCTACAGAGTTCCCCAGAGACCCTCACAGCCCCCTCAGCCCCACACAGCCCCCCCACACTCCCCCACATTATCCACCCCCGCCATAGTCCCCACAGCCCTCCACCCCATAGAGAAGCCCCATGCAGTTGAGAATGTACATCCTTTCCTGACTCAACAGCCTAGTAAGGGTCAGGACAAAATGCCATGGCCAAGAGTGCCATGAACACTGTTTGGGGACAGGGATGGCCAGAAAGGCTCCCACCAGACATGACCTGTGGTCTGGGTCTTAGGGGATGAATGAGATTTGAGTAAGGAAGCCTGTTTCAGCTCAGGGAGCAGACCAGAAGAAAAGAAGGAAAATAAACACAGGGATAATGCCGAACACAGAGATAAGGGACACAGAAGCCTGATTCAGTAAATCCACCTTCAACTAATAGGAATTCCAAAAGAAAAGAATGTAGAGGGAGGGCAATTAACAATACAAGATTAGAGGAAAGCGTTGCAGACCTAAGGAACAGACCTAAGGAGACATGGGTCTGCAGATGGAGTGCTCCGTGGAATGCAGGATCAAGGAAAAAATGACCTGCCTCTAAAAATATCTGAACAAAAGTGCAGAGCAACAGGGAGTAAGATTGGTTGACAGATTTCGAAGATGGTAAAAATAAAATGTTCACGGCAAAGGCTGAGAACTGCAGTGCATCAGATCCCCATCAGTAGCAATGGTTGTAAGAAGATGATTGGCAAGTAATTTTGAACCTTGTTTTCTATACTAGGCCAAATTATGAATCAAGCATGGGGTAGAAAAAAGATACTGTTAGACCTCCAAGGACTCAAAAAAGCAGAAACCCATCGTCCCATGCATCCTTTCTTGGATAGTTACTTGAGGATGTATTCCAGCAAAGTGAGAAAGAAAGCTAAGAGAAAGACCTGGGATTGACTCTTGAGTGATCCACCAGAGGGTGGTAAAGGGAGTCCGGGGCTGTGCTCCCACTCAGGGACAAGGAGTGGGGGTGCGGATCCATGGGGTAGGAGAGGGCAGGGGAGGTCTTGAGAATAAAAGGGTGGCAAAACTGAGGCCACATCAAAGGCACATTATTATTCTGTTATTAATATTATTCTGTTAATAAAAAGGAAGCAAGGCAAATAAAAGCTATAGGGAAAATGTATATAACAAAATTCAACTTCCACTGTAAAGCAAACTAACATAGGATAGGATTTTCAGTTCCTGAGGGAAGGCAAAATGAGTTCGCCCCATTTGCTCTGGATGCTAAGAATATCTTCCTTGTGTGGTTGGAGACGGTGGTGGTGGTGTTGATGACTTTAGGCCCATAGAGAAAGAAATGTGCCCCTGGCCCAGCGGTTAGCTGTGCAGTGAGTAACATGTAACAGTGACATGCCCAACTGCCTAGGGGTGTAGAGGCTCCCACTGTTGCAGTTCGAATCCACTGGGCTCCACTTTTACTATAGACTAAGCTGCAAAAGTAAAGGCTGAGGAGGATGGTGTTGTGGGACCTAGAGAGAGTGGATAGCAGAGGCCATCCTACTCCCACCTTCCATGAAGGGGAGTCAAGATGCAGACCAAAGGTATGGTAGTAAATATAGGGGAGTAAGAGCTAATGTAAAGTTTCAGAGAGAATCTGCAGAAGAGTTAAAACACTCCTCTAATGTAAACACAGGGGGAGGAGGGAGAAGGTGCAGAGGGTAGAGGGGACTGGAGGTAATTACAGTTGATGCTTGAACAACATAGGGGTTGGGACCGTTGATCCCCTCCCCCATTGAGTCAAGAATCCACATAAAACTTTTGACTCCTCAAAAATTTAACTACTGATAGCCTGTTGACGAGAAGAAGCCTTGCTGATCACATGAACAGATAATTAACACATCTTTTGTATGTGAGATATATTCTGCATTCTTACAATATGGTAAGCTAGAGAAAAGAAAATGTTATTAAGAAAATAATTATAAGAAAGAATATATTTAGTATTCATTAAGTAGAAGTGGATCATTATAAAGGTGTTCGTTCATTCTCATTGTCTTCATGTTGAGTAGGCTGAGGAGGAGAAGAAAGAGGAGAAGCTGGTCTTGCTGTCTCAGGGGTGGCAGAGGCAAGAGAAAATTTACATGGAAGTGGACCCACGCAGTTCAAACCCATGTTGTTCAATGGTCAACGGTATTCATCTTTCATATTAGGAAGCCAGTGTATTTTGTCAAATACTCATAAATCACAAAGTAGGAGGACAAGTATTTTATTAACACTGAAGGGAATAACGACAAAAACAAATTAAAAACAGAAGCGATAAAAAGTTTAGTCCCCTAAAAAAAAAAAAAAAGTTTAATCCCAAGGTGGTAGAACTGGTGTGTGTGGGGGGAATGGGTAAAGAGACATTCTTATCATTAGTTTTTTTTTTTTTTTTTTTTTGGTATTTTTTAACCTTGTTCGTATGTATGATTAGAATTCCTGAATTTTAAAAATAAAACCAACAATCAAATTACTTCCAAAGTCCTTGAACATCATGACTCAATACTCCATAAAATAAACATATTTTACTGGTTTTCTTTTTCTTTTTTTTTTTTTTTTGAGACAGAGTTTCGCTCTTGTCACTCAGGCTGAAATCTTGGCTCACCGCAACCTCCACCTCCTGGGTTCAAGCGATTCTCCTGCCTCAGCCTCCTGAGTAGCTGAGAGGGATTATAGGCACGCACCACCGCACCCGGCTAATTTTGTATTTTTACATGGAGAGACAGGGTTTCTCCATGTTGGTCAGGCTGGTCTTGAACTCCTGACCTCAGGTGATCTGCCCTCCTCAGCCTCCCAAAGTGCTGGGATTACAGGCGTGAGCCACCACACCCAGCCTTTCTGTTTCATTTTTAAAATCATTTTCACTGGCACTTTCTCAGTTTTACAACTGTCACCAACTGTACACAGAGCATGCATTCTATACCCTAGACATGAAGGGAAAACAAACAAACAATCAAACAAACAAACAGTTTCTAATGCTTACCTAAAGTTACAGTGCCAGCTGATGAGAAGAATAATAACCACCCAGGCCCATCATGTTCAGGCACTTCCAGGTACCAGGACAGATGACTTCGACTCCTTCCTGACTCGTGGCAGCATCCTTACCTAGTCTCAGATCAATGAAACCTGTTCTTGTTTTAAAGGCCTCCCAGCAAGGAGCTCAGCCTGTCTCCTCTCCGGCTGAAGCAGTTCTATTTTTATTCCATGCTGTTTGATGGCTCATGTCCAAGCCAGTGGCTGTGCTCCAGGTGCCAGACTCCCTGGCAGCACCCCTATTATGGGACAAAGCTCTGCCTGGTCCAGGCAGCAACCTGGTCACAGCCTGATCACAGGCTGGTCACAGCCCTGTCATGGACATCTGTGCACACTTCAATCTGCCCGTTGTAGGGACAGCCTGCAGGCCTGCCTGAACCTGGCCAAGCCCTGATAACATGCAGGAACCACATCTGTGAACCATGTCACAGACTGTCAAATTGTCAAACATTTCACACCTACAGTGAATACAAAGAAAGGAAAAACAAGCCCCACTTTTCCCACCACCCAGTTCTCGTACAGGCAGACCTCAAAGATATTGTGGGTTTGGTTCCAGACCACTGCAATAAAGCAAATATCACAATAAAGTGAGTCACACACATTTTTTGGTTTCCCAGTGCATATAAAAGTTATGTTTAAACTATACTGTAGCCTATTAAGTGTGCAATAGCATTCTGTCTATAAAAATAATGTACATACCTTAATTTAAAAATACTTTTTTTGCTAACAAATGCTAACAATCATCTAAGCCTTCAGCAAGTTTTGGTCTTTTTCCTGCTGGAAGGTCTTGATTCAATGTTGATGGTTGCAGACTGATCAGGGTGGTGGTTGCTGAGGTTTGGGTGGCTGTGGCAATTTCTTCAATTAAGACAACAATGAAGTTTGCCACACCCAATTGACTAGTCTTTTAGTGATGGACTTCTCTGTAGTGTGCAATGCTGATAGCATTTTACCCACGGTAAAACTTCCTCCAAAATTGGAGTCGGTCCTCTCAAACCCTGGCACTGCTTTATCAACTAAGTTTATGGAATATTCTAAATCCTTTGCTGTCATTTCAACAATGTTCACAGCATCTTCACAAGGAGTAGATTCCATCTCAAGAAACCACTGTTTTTGCTCATCCATAAGAAGCAACTCCTCATTCATTCAAGTTTCATCGGAAAGGAGTCTTTTTTCCTGAGCAGTAGATCTCAAAGTGGGCTTAAAAATATTCAGTAAACCATGCTGTAAATAGACGTGCTGTCATCCAGGCTTTGTTCTTCCATTTCTAGAGCATAGGCAGAGTAGATTTAGTGTATTTTTAATGGTCCCAGGATTTTCCGAATGGTAAATTAGCACTGGCTTTAACTTAAAGTCATCAACTGTGTTAGCCTTTAACAAGAGAGCCAGCCTGTCCTTTAAAGCCAGCCATTGACTTATCTCTAGCTTTGAAAGTCCTAGATGGGATCTTCCTCAAATAGAGTCAGTTTCATTTACATTGAAAATCTGTTGTGTAGTAAAGCCACCTTCATCAATGATCTTGGCTAGATCTTCTGGATAACTTGCTGCAGCTTCTATAGCAGCACTTGCTGCTTCATCTTGCACTTTTATGTTGTGGAGATGCCTTCTTTCTTTTTTCTTTTCTTTTTTTTTAAGATGGAGTTTCATTCTTGTTGCCCAAGGTGGAGTGCAATGGCACGATCTCAGCTCACTGCAACCTCCGCCTCCCAGATTCAAGTGATTCTCCTGCTTCAGCCTTTCAAGTAGCTAGGATTACAGGTGCACGCCACCACGCCCAGCTAATTTTTTGTACTTTTAGTAGAAACAGGGTTTCACCGTGTTAGCTAGGCTGGTCTCAAACTCCTGACCTCAGGTGATCCTCCTGCCTTGGTCTCCCAAAATGCTAGGATTACAGGCATGAGCCACTGCGCCCAGCCTAATACTTTCTTTCTTTAAACCTCATGAATAAACCTCTGCTAGCTTCCAACTTTTCTTTTCTAGCTTTGTAGCTTCTCTTAGCCTTTGTAGAATTGAAAGAAAGTTAGGGACCTTGCTCTGAATTAGGCTTTGACTAAAGGGAATGTTGTGGCTGGTTTGATCTTCTATCCAAGCCACTGAAACTTTCTCCATATCAGCAATAAGCCCATTTCACTTTCGTATCATTCATGCATTCACTGGAGTTAACACTTTTAAGTTCCTTCGAGAACATTTCCTTTGCATTCACAATGTGGCTAACTACTTGGCACAGCCTACCTCACCTTTTGAGACTTCCTCACATGGCTTCCTCACTAGCTTAACTATTTCTAGCTTTTGATTTAAAGTGAGAGACCTGTGACTCTTCCCTTCACTTGAACACTTAGAGGCAATTGTAGGGTTATTAATTGGCCTAATTTCGATATTGTGTCTTAGGGAATAGGGAGGCCTGAGGAGAGGGAGAAAGACAGGGAAAGGCAGGTTGGTGGAGCAGTGAGAACACACACATTTATCAATTAAATTTGCCATCTTATATGGAAGTGGTTCATGGCACTCCAATTACAAGAGTAACATCAAAGATCACTGATCACAGATCACCATAATAGATGTAATAATAGTAAAAATGTTTGAAATATTTTGAGAAATACCAAAATGTGACCAAGACACAAAGTGAGCATGTGCTGTTGGAAAAATGGCACCAATAGACTTGTTCAAGGTGGATTTGCCACAAATCTTCAATTTCTAAAAAACACAATATTTGCAAAGTGCAATAAAATCATGTGCACTAGAACAAGGTATACCTGTAAATCCTAAATAAATCTAATGTTGCAACCCCCTTGGGCCCCTCTCAGTCACCTTGTCCTGACTTTGGGATTAACCTTCATCATGTAGGTTTCATGCTCTTGGTCTATAGATACTCATCAGTTCAGGCTGCTAAAACTAATTACTATAGACTGGATGACTTAAACAACAAACATTTACTTTTCACAGTTCTAGAGGCAGGGAAGTCCAATATCAAGGTGCGGACAGATCCAGCGTCTGGTGGGGGCTCTCCTCCTTGTTTGCAGATGGCCACCACCTTCTTATATCCTCATGTGGATGAGAGAGAGATCATCCCTCTCACATCTCTTCTTGTGAAGGGATCAATCCCATTCATGAGGATTATGAAATCATGAGATCCACCCTCATGGTCTAATCACCTCCCCAAGGCCTTACCTCCTTAATGCCATCCTATTGAGGGTTAGAGTTCAACACGTGAGTTTGGCAGGGACACAAACATTCAGTCCATAGCAGGTATGGATGCATGAGTAGCACATGGCATTGCTTGGTGTGTTTGGTGCTCCTTTAGCAGCTTGCTTTTGTGGTGCAGCATGGTTTTTGGGTGACTTTGGGATGACACACTCAGCTCTATGTCATCCCTTTGCACCAACGTGTGGACAGCCTTTGGGCGTGTCTGTCCTTGTGTGGACATGTTGAGGGCATTTGGGGTATGTCCAAAAGTACGCTCATGAATGTTGGTGGACATCTTTTGGGGGATGAAGTGGGGACACACTGTGCCAGCTTACCTTTGGCAAGCTCTTAGCCTCACAAAAGTGCTATTGTGAGTTTTAATGACAAAAGTGATACCTGAGTAGTTTTGAGAATTTAGAGAGCATACAAAAATAAGTAAATAAAAGTCATCTGTTGTCCTCTACCTAAAGGTAACAATTGCTTGAGTTGGTTCTGTCTCTTACCTGTCCTTATGTTTTTGAGAAGGAGCCTCACTCTCACCCAGGTTGGAGTGCAGTGGTGTGATCTCGGCTCACTGCAACCTCCACCTCCAGGGTTTAAGCCATTCTCCTGCCTCAGCCTCCTGAGTAGCTGGGATTACAGGCACCACACCCGGCTAATTTTTGTATTTTTAGTAGAGACGAGGTTTCACCATGTTGGTCAGGCTGGTCTTGAACTCCTGAGCTCAGGTGATCTGCCCGCCTCAGCCTTCCAAAGTGCTGGGATTACAGGCATGAGCCACCTCACCTGGCCTACCTACCCTTTTTCTATGCATTTAAACATGTAAACACAATATAGCTATAGAGAAAAGTGTTTTAATAAATCATGATCATACTTCTGTACTGTTTTGCAACCTACCTCACCTCTTTCACTTAATAATAGATTGGGTATTAGTCATAATGGAGGTTATGTGGTTCATTGAATTAATCTCCTATTCCTGGACATTTAAGCTATTCGAAACATCTTGATATTTTTATTTTATTTATTTATTTATTTATTTTTTGAGACGGAGTCTCGCTCTGTTGCCCAGGCTGGAGTGCAGTGGCGTGATCTTGGCTCACTGCAAGCTCTGCCTCCCAGGTTCACACCATTCTCCTGCCTCAGCCTCCTGAGTAGCTGGGACTACAGGCGCCCACCACCACGCCCAGCTAATTTTTTTTGCATTTTTAGTAGAAACGGGGTTTCACCGTGTTAGCCAGGATGGTCTCAATCTCCTGACCTCGTGATCTGCCCGCCTTGGCCTCCCAAAGTGCTGAGATTATAGGCGTGAGCCACCGCGCCCGGCCCATCTTGATATTTTTAACAGATAACTTTCTTTTAATGTTGTTCTTATGTGACATTCGCTGCATTCACAAGAACATATGTAATGAAAGTGTGAGTGCGACCCTGTCCTCAGCACTAGGCTGTCATCATCGCTGACACTCCTATGTGTGCCTCTCCTGGCCCTGTGACCCTCACTGCAGAGGCACCTGTTCTCTTGGATTTAGAGTTTGTGTTTCCATTGTAATCCAGGTTCCACAAACTAGTAGCTGGTCTTCCCAAAGTGGAAGGTTCATGTACAAAGTCCACTGGGCCACGGTGGGAGAGCACTGCAGAGCCCGGGAAGGAGGCCATCCTCCCTGCTCTGAGCATGTTCCGCCCCCACAGGCCAACAGTCGATCTCAGAAAACCCACTGGAGTGTGTTTATGGTTAAAAGAGCAGGAGACAGACAAGAGACAGGGAGCAGCTGTGTTCATCAGGGTAAGCATGCAATAACCACTTTCCCAAAACACCTTGTGTTGCTGGTGTTGAGATGAGGACCCCTCTTAGGAGGTGCAGAGGAAGTCTGCTGATTATGCAGGCCATCTTGATATTTACTGTTGATTCTCCCTGGTCCCCTGGCCCATTCATAAGTAAATGATTACCTAATTGTGAGGTTGGGAATGGAAGACATTATGATGGGGCAGGGGTCAAGAATGAGCCCTGGAGCTGGGGTCAGGACACCCAGACTGAGCTCCTTGGGCCTATCATGTGCTTGTAAATGAGGGCAACGCCCGTCACGACTTTGTACTGTCTGTCTCTGAGTTCCAAGAGGTCTGAGTGAGTGGACGCGGTACCTAGACACATTGGCAGCCTGGGCACAGGGAGTCACAGCTATGCAGGGGAAAGGGCTTTGCCTGGTTGCTTGGTGGGCCCTGAAGGGAGGTCTGAACCTCACAGTGCCTGGGACTGGGCCCCCCTGAGGGCAGCTTGCTCATCTTTTTAGAGGACATTGCATTGGACACACTGAGCTGCCAGGTGCAGGCCCACACTGGCCAGTGTTCAGGCCCCAGAAATGCAGCAGCCAGAAAAATGCTAAGTCACCAGCCCTGTGTCATGGGGCCTGTCACTCTTCTGGGCCTGTCCCACAATGCCAGAGAATAGACAAAGGTACCCCTAGACAGGTTAGAAGCCTTTAGAACTCAGAGCTTAAAAGGCAGCTGTGGCCAGTGGTCCAATCAGACCAGGGTCCCTCCGTGACTTTTGCCAGCTGTGTGACCTTGAGAAGGCCACTTCAACCCTCTGAGCCTCGTACCCTCTGCAGCCCTAAGTTGGGACTACTCACACCTCCCTCCCTCTGAGAGTGCTCAGAGGGTACAGCTCAGCAAGCAACCCTCTGGCCCAGGATCTGGGCAAGTGGCTGCTGCCCGGCAGGCCTCTGGGACAGGGAGTGCAATGTGGGACAGCCTTCCTCTGTGTCCCAGGTCAGTCCCAGTCTCTGTCCACAGGGATCATTTCCCAGTGGCATGTGAGAGTGGAGGCCTGGCCTGGGGGCCTGAGTATCTGGCATGGGTACAGTTCCCAGCATCTGACATCTCGCACACCACTGGGAACTTCACCATGACCCCACACAGACCATGCCAAGCTTGCTTCCCAGGTGAAGGCAAGGCTCAGGAAAAGACTTCTTTCCACAGCTGCGTGGCAGGCTGCTCAGAGCTGAAGGCCCAGCTGCGTCTGGCACGGAGACACCAGACCTTTCTCCGCCCTGAGCAACGGCTGTGCAGGCAGCAGCAGGTGAACTGGGGTGCAGGTCTTCAAGAACTGATCGGCTTTTAAGAACTGTAGTGAAGTGACAATTATTTTTACTATTACTCCTACTTTTTAAAGCTGAATAGTTGATAGGGAATACTATGAAGGATGACAAAACACAGGTGGAAGAGATGCTCAGTCCAGTTTAATTCAACTATGTTTTGTGAATTTGCTTGGGTCATGGAGAGTGGGATGCAGGCTCCTTCCACTAGGCAGGAGTTCATCAAGCCCTGCAGCCTAAGCTGCCACTTTGCTCCCTGCAGCTCAGGGGAGTGCAGGAAGGACATGAAGGCTGGGGTGGATGGGGGGCTCATCCTGGACTAGTTCAGGGTTGGGGGCAGCCTGATGTGCAGCCACATCTCAGCCGCACAGGGTAATCACAGAGGTCCTTATAAGAGGGAGATTAGGAGGTCAGAGAGGAGACGCTACTCTGATGGATTTGAAGACAGTGGAGGAGGCCACAAGCCAAGGAACGTAGGTGGCCTCTACAAGCTGGGAAGGAAAACAAGACTCCAGAAGGAAGCAGCCCTGATGACACCTGGATTTTAGCCCTGTAAGACTTGTTTTGCACTTCTGACCTCCAGAGCTGCAAGAGAATAAAAGAATAAATTTGTGTTGCTTTAAGCCACTGCTTATGGTAATTTGTTACAGCAGGAATAGGCATTCTATTTTTTTTTTTTTTTTGAGACAGAGTCTTGCACTGTCGCCCAGGCAGGAGTGCAATGGCGCGATCTTCGCTCACTGCAACTTCCAGCTCCCGGGTTCAAGCCGTTCTCCTGCCTCAGCCTCCCGAGTAGCTGGGATTACAGGCACCCGCCACCATGCCCGGCTAATTTTTGTATTTTTAGTGGGGATGGGGTTTCATGATGTTAGCCAGGCTGGTCTCAAACTCCTGACCTCGTGATCTGCCTGCCTTGGCCTTCCAGAATGCTGGGATTACAGGCATAAGCCACTGTGCCCAGCCAGCAACTGGCAATTAATACAGGCCTTGTGTTTCCAACACTGTCTTCTGTACAAACCTGCCTGTCCTATGTACCATTGGAATGCTGGTCTCTGATGCGTAACGGTGGAGGAAAGTTGGTGCAGAGATAGCAGCCCTGCCAGGAGTAGCTGCATGTCTTTACTGCTTTCCACGTAGGAGACTTTTTAGGAGTGGTGCCAATGGCAGGAATTTTAGCATGGCCTAGATGAGGTTTGATTGGGGGTAATTGAGCCACCCATGTCCCCAGAATAAGCTACACATCGCCTAGTCTGTTATTCAAGACCTTCTGCAGCCAAACCCAACCCAGAAAAGGCCAGTCCACACCCCAACATGACCAACAAGGCTAGGAGAAAGTGTCAGAGGGTCTTGATGATTACACCCCAGTGAGTCCACTTGGAAAACACTGTGGCCCTTCCTCTGAACGCTAACTGGGCCCCCTTCCAGAACACCAGTCCCTTCATGGAATTCCTGGCAAGCAGTGTTTCAGCCCCTGCTTGAATGCCTCCAGCGACAGGGTGCTCACTGCCTACAGGCCAGCACCAAGGAATGGGAAGTCCTTCTTTATTAATTTATTTGTTTTTGAGACAGAGTTTCGCTCTTGTTGTCCATGATGAAGTGCAGTTGCGTGATCTCGGCTCACTGCAACCTCTGCCTCCCGGGTTCAAACGATTCTCCTGCCTCAGCCTCCCAAGTAGCTGGGACTACAGGCACAAGCCACATTTTTGAATTTTTAGTAGAGACAGGGTTTCTCCATGTTGGTCAGGCTAGTCTTGAACTCGAAATCCTGACCTTAGGTGATCTGCCTTCCTTGGCCCCCCAGAGTGCTGGGATTACAGGCGTGAACCACTGCGCGCGGCCAGAAGTCCTTCTTTAGAGGGGCAGATGTCACTGTGAGCCTTTGCCAGGCTTGGCCCTCTTAGGGAGTGCACCTCCGCCCTCCACCAGATGTTTCCCCTCACCTGGGTCACTATGCAGCCAGACACAGCACTTCGCCTAACTGCCACAAACCTGACTTCTAATCCAAGTCCTGAGAAATATGGAAAAAGGGTCAGGTCCAGGAGTGTCCTGAGGCTGGCCTCTCAGGCCTGCCTCCAGGACACTGTCATCTCTGCTCAGCACAGAGGACCTGTCAGCCACAGACCCTCTCCGCCACCCGAAACTGCTTTGTGACCTGGTCCAAAAAGAAAGCGTGAGAAGAAAATGTGCTACACGCATGCCAGAGACACTCATACATTTGTTCTTCAAAAGCCGGGAAAATCTATTGCTTGCTTTTTTTCTCCATTACCGGGGGCCTCTGAAGGCCTTAGGAGACCCCTCATTCCTGGGATGGGGGCTCCATGAATGGTGGGTCCCCCAGTCTTCTGGAAAGAAATACCAGGAGGGGTTTCAAATCTCAGCAGTGACATAACTGACAGGCTTTTTTTTTTTCCTGTCAATATTTTTTAAGCATCTGGGATCCTCTGACAACTATTTATGGAAGCGGATCCACCCTGCAGTTGCTGCTATCTGGGGAAGTTACTGAGCAATAAATGGCTCTGAGAAGGCGGAGCAGTGGCTGTCCTGGGAAAATACTCCAACCAAGAATGGGCTCCAAACGTCTCAGTACCAAAATGACTTTGTTTGAAAAATGTGTGCTTGTTTTTATGACTGTTCAGTATGTGCCTGGGTGCATTCATTTCACGCCTCCCTCCCCCCAGTCTATGATACAGAAAACAAACGTTCATCAGGCAATGCCAGCTGGTGTCAGGGTAGCTTCAGGAAAAACCATGTCTAATCAACTGCGATGCCTGTATTTGTTAGTAACACTTCACATTTTGTGGTGGTTTTCATTTACCCTATGAACAGGTAATCACAGGCCTGGTATGGTGGCTCAATCCTGTAATCCCCAGCACTTTGGGAGGCTGAGCCAGTGGATCACCTGAGGTCAAGGGTTTGAGACCAGCCTGGCCAATATGGTGAAACCTCGTCTCTACTAAAAATACAAAAATTACCTGGGCGTGGTGGCAGACATCTGTAATCCCAGCTACTCAGGAAGCTGAGGCAGAAGAATCGTTCGAACCTGAGAGGCAGAGGTTGCAGTGAGCTGAGATTGCCACCATTGCACTCCAGCCTCGGCGACAGCAACGAGTGGGGCTACACAGCGAGACTGTGTCTCAAAAAAAAGAAAAAGAACAGGTAGTCATGTATGAACAGTGTACAGCCCAGATGCAGCGCTGGTCTACCCCTGGGTGAGGCTGAGATGTGGCTGCACCAGCACCTCCCTTCTACATGCTGTGGCTAGAACAGGGTTCGGGCCAGACCTCCACCCCAGCAGCCACCTCCTCCACTAGCTGCCAGCTTCCCACTGCCTCTGATGAGGACATCATCTGCCCTGGGGACAGCCAGGGGCAGTTAGTGTTCATTGGGGACTTAAACGGGCTCTGCTATCAACACCTGCCTTCCTACTCCCCAGACTCCCAGTGTCCTGGGACTCGTCCTCGCTGGAGCACACTTTGGGGTCAGTGCCCGTGGTAGGTTGTAGGAACTTTGGTAGCTAGAAACAGGGGAGTTTTCTAGACTCTAGGCTGAGGGGTGAGGCAAGCAGCGCATCTGGGGTTGAAAGAAGCGGTGGCTGCTGCCCAGGAAAAGGAAGTCCAGGTGTTTTGGGGGGACTTTGAGGGAAAGGTGCTGTGCCCTTTGAGGGAATCTGCCATCACCACATCCCGTTCTCCTCCGTGCTCTTTCGGATGGACGGAGGGGTGGGAATGTGAAGAGCTGAAATAGCTTCCCATGGGCAGGAGGGGAAGCCAGAAGAGCACCCACTGTGTGCAAGAGCTCTTCTGCAAAGCCTTCCTTCCAAAATAGGACCCGCCAAGTTCCAGGCAAGCTTCAGTCCCTCAGTCAATTGCAACTGCTTGAGTTTGTGCATTTCAGTTCCCCTCCCCTCCCGGAGCCTCTGCAAGACATGCTCTTCAAAGAAACTAGCTCCAGCAAATAAAATAATGAATCATAAATTTTATTTCAAAATGTAAACGTCACTAAACATGCATACACGTTAAAACAATAAAATTTACAATTTCGTTAATTTTTCTTTTTGCATAGGACATCATTACAATATAGAATCTATGCCATACAAAATACATACAAAGTTTTATCCGAGCAAGCCAAGGCCAGACTGGGAACTGTACAACTGTAATACTTCACTGTAGTGATCCAGGAAAGATGAAACGTGGCCTTCGGAATTATGGTGGGTGCTGGTTAAAAAAAAGTTCCTACAGAAAAGAAAAACATGAGCTCCATGGAAATGGTCTTGGACCCTTGGATTCTGCCTTGGGCTTTTGGCAAATGATTCCAGAGAAGCTCCACCAATGGCTTTGGATGGGAAGGGGTTGCCTGTGCGGGCCTGGGGCAGCTGAGACCCGGAAGCATGCACCCAACACATGCACACAAGCAATTCCCAGTCACCAAGGAACCACCGAAAGCCCCAAACCCGACAATGACAATGCATAGTTGCTCAGTAGTGCCTCCTTTCTGCTGAGGCTTTCCAGCCCCAGAGGCCTCAGCACTAGGCACCAGGGGCCTCTCTAGGATGAGGCCAGGGAGCAAAGTCTCCCACTCACACACCCAGAGGCAGGCACCTGGAGCCGGCACAGACGCTGGGGCTAATGAGCCCACGTGGTGTCTAGAGCCACATGGGAGGTGGCCTCTTGCTCCTCTCAGGGCAGCCAGGTACAAGGGCTCCTCTGCTGAGTGCATGGCCTGGCAGGCATTCGGCTCACACACCTGGTTTCCAAATAAGCACGCACTGCGACCTGTCCACGGGCCCTCTAGAAGAGGCCAGGGAAAACAGGACCCTGAGGCCTTAAGAAAGCTGTTCCCGTGCTCCCACCCCCACCCCCATGACTTCCTGCCTCCACCCCCCACCCCCCTCCCCGGAATGTGTGACTTGTAGGGTAGGGGACGCTACTTCTCTCCCATCCAGTTCATTTTTAAATAAAAGTAGTAAAGTTTTAAAGCTGTATGAGAAAGAGAGAGGCAGGGCAGGGCCAGGTGGCCGCACTGCAAGTCTGAAATCTTCATGGGGGTCAGTAGAAACCAAGCGCGACCCCTCTTCCCTCATGGACACCGGGCTCCCGTCTCCTGCTGAATTCAACTCTTCTGATGCTGAGGGACAGGACAGCAGGCAGGAGGCGGCGCCTCGCCCTAAAGGGTGCTCAGGCGTGTATCAGTAGTAAGGTGGACTATGCATCCAAGTTCTGGTACAAAGGTCTCCGGAATGTGTCTCAGACAAGCCTTCAGAGCCTCAGAATCAGGAAAATTAGTAATAGGACCTGGTTCTTCCTGGGGTAATCCTGATTTCAAAAACCATCAGCCCACGCCTCAGATTTTAGTTTTGGAAAATATGGTGACCAGAATTGTATATGGAAACAGTCAGCAAAAGATGTGGATAACCTACCAAGCGTTTCTTACTGGTTGTGATGTGACCAACACATTACACCCTTTAAACCTCTAGCACTGTGTCTTTGACTAAATGACCTTTTTTAAATGGGGGAAAGAAAATCAGTGACACCTGTCAGAAGTCAAAATAGTCAGGTAGCCCTGTACACACAGCCACAACCAGAAGCGGAGAAACAAGGCCACACTATTGCTCAGATCACATCTTCCTGTTGGGTGGCACCCCTGCCCAGCTGAGATCCTGAATGGGTCCCGAGGGAGTGCCGGGACCCTGTGCAGTCCATCTTAGCACCTGCTTCTGGCAAGAAAGAGGCTGGTCTTCTGGACACACCGGGTGGGGAGACAGAACACTTGAGGTCAAGTCCTGAGGCAGAGTGGCCAGCCCTCTCTGCCCATCCCCACCTCTGAATCACCCCTCACTGGTCTGAGCTGTGTTCAGGGTGCTGCAAGGACTGGGATCGCCAGTGCCTCAGATGTTTGTACCCGGAGGCTGCACCATGGCGAATCCTGCACCTGCCTCGGTGTGGGGCCTGGGAATAAAGTCAGGGTTAGGAGTGAGGCGATCTTGCACTCGAGTGTCGTGGGTGGGGGTGCAGCAGGATGCAGGTAGGGCACCTCCAGGACCATGTTCCCATCCAGGACATCTCTGCCCATTCCTATGCAGCATCCTGCAGGACAGGACCCCAGGGCTCTTTAAGGAAAGGGCTGTGTCCGTCTGTTTTCCTGTATGGCTGTAGGATCCAGTAGGCATTTGGGGAGCTGACAACCGTTCCCCTAATATGGCTGATGTAAAGAGGGGCTTCCTTGTCTGGGACAGGAGCAACACCAGCCCCTTGATGGCTGAGCCCCAAATCAATTTTAGGCCTTTTATAGGGGAACTCTCCCTTCACTCAGGCAACCTTCACTTTGACATCTCTGCCCCTATGGACCACGAGAACTGAAGTCCCAAAATAAGGGTTTGAGTTTTCACTATTATTTCTATGAGTCCTATGGGTTCCTCAACCCCACCAAAACTGGCAAGCATGGCCATAAACCACAAAAATGGAAGACCCTGAAATAGACGCAGTCTGGGAAAACATTCTGCATGTTTGAAGAAAATGGAGGCTGTTTCAGGAGGGTCCGCCTTGTGTGCCCGCCTCAGTGGAGGCAGCGTTCCAAGGCCCACCACCCTCTTCCACAGGAGTCCCTCACTTCATGATGAAATGGAAACCTGCCCTTGAGGACCCCTGTGAACCGTGCCTGAGATTCATGGGTTTCTCCCTGCCCTTCAAGCGAGATGAGTTTAAGCCGCAGATGATTCAGGAGGGTCTGGCCAGGAGTACCCAGGAGGATTTCTCTCCTGGTGCCCTACCCCCATTTCCCAGTCCAGGCCGGGGCCTAAGGACCGCACCCTGCCATTAAACGAGAACCACTTTGGGAATGAAGACACGCTCTTATGCCAAAAATAGCCAACGCCTGCATATTTCTGTTTTAAGGCAATGTTACCCTTCCATCTATCAGACGGAACAGCCCTGGGTCATTTAAAGGAAAAATTAAATTAAGTGCTCTCTTTGGAAACAGCCAACACCCGCTTCCCTCCCCCACCCCCCGCCCTGCTCTAAAACAAACCAGCTCTTCTTTTTATTCCAAGATGACTAGGTTTAGAGTCCTATCTTTTCCTTCCTATGTGCAGACAGATGTGGAGCTAGAAAATCTCCTTCCGTGACACCCTGGGCAGATCACAAGGACGTCTGACCCCTCCCTGGAGAGCACTTTGCCAGCCTCCCAGGGACGGGCCACTCCCTCTCCCTGCCTTGGGGAACGGTGGACGGTGAGTGCACCAAAGGACTTTGGAATAAAATTCCTGAACCTGGAATGTGAATTCCTGAGACATAAAATGTATTCAGAGTGTGGCTTTCTCTGCCTCACACGAAAACAACTTTGGGAGGGACCTCACTTTGGAACTGGGCATGAAGATCTTTGCACCACAAGCACCCAGGGCTCTCTTCTGTCAAGGTCCCTACCAAATATTCCACTCTCTCTCCCAGACCCAATGCAAGCAGGGAGGTCAGAGAGCCCCAACACAGCATGGCAGCCAGAGGGACCAGCTCCGCATCCAACCAGAGTGGAGGTGACCCTCTCCCTGCCAGTTCCCACCACAGCAGAAACAATGCCACTGCCCAATTTAGGGTCCATCGGTCTACCTAGAAGTCACCACCACGCTGTCGGCCAATCCCAGCTGACACACAGTGGTAAGAAGCGGGCACCTGACGGCATACTGTGCCTGAGCAGCTGCTGTGGACAGAGCGTACCTGTCCACTCTGGAGCCAGCCAAAACAGTGACCATCAGCTGTGGGCAGTGGCTAGGCCTGGGTCCTGGGTTTGTGCTGCACCCCATAGCATGGCAGGGCTGAGTAGAAGCAGGATGGCCACAACCAAGGCACGCTAGGCCCAGGAAGCCCATCTGTGGCCCTCTGAGGTCCCAGGGCCGTTCCTTTGCATCAAAATAGGTACTCATCAAAACAGGTATCTCTGGCAAGATACCCTGAGTCCACCCCAATCCCCCCACCCCCCCCAACACACGCGTGTGTGCTCACGCGCGCACACACCCACACGCACGCACACACTCTGTCCTGGGCCCTTGTATTTACAGGCCTCAACTCTCAGGAGGAAGGGAAGGTGATACCTGGGCCACAAGCCTGGGTCAACACTCCAGCCATCTGCAGAGGAGTTTGCTGGACCACGGCTTGACTGACCCCCGCCCAGGGCTCGAATCCCAGCCCAGGACCCAGCTCTCTGCTCCTCCTCTCCTGCCAGGAGAAGGCCGGTGATGGGGCACTGGAGCAGCCCCACCAGCTGGGTGTGGCCTGGAGCCTCCAGGCAGGACAAGGAGAAGCAGGAGGAAAAGGGAGGAGGAGTCCAGGGGAAACGGAGAGGCTGGAGGTTTGCTAAGTCTGAGTTGGGGACATGGTGGGTCTGAGAAAAGTGTTGCCCGCAACTTTCTATCTGGCATTCCCTGCGGAGGAAATAGAATGCGCGCTCTCCGACAGCATTTCCTGTAACATCCGCGCCACTCCTGAAAAGGTCCAAGTCACAATGTTCCGGTCTCTTGCTACAGAATGGTCTCTGTGAAGCATGGTGCGCTGCCACATGCACAGCCGCTCACACAGACCCTCTGATGAGGAGGCCCCATGACCTGCCCACTGTTTCCAACAAAAGTGCCCATGCGGGCAAACTCGGAACTGGATGTGCCACCAGGAATTTCTAACATCTTTTTAGAAGACCAGAATTCCCCATCAGAGGCCCAGGTATAGTAGTGACAGGGTCCTGCATGCCTTCTGCTGGGACACGGAGAAGCGGAGTCCTGGCAGGTGTGACCCCGGCCCCTGCCTCGGAGGTCGGACGGTGCAGTGCTACGCTCAGCCAGGGCTGGCATCTCTGCTTCCAGTGCTCCCTAGCGCCGTAGGAGAGGGCTCCTGAAGGCGGGGTGTGAGGCAGGCAGGGTGCAGAGGGCTGAAGGCCCCCTCCACTATCCCCAAGGTGGAGTGCTCCTCCAGCCAGGGACAGCTTTAAGGCATCCCTCTGCAGGGGCCTGTCTCAGAATCAGCTGCGTTGCAAGCCCAGCCAGGCTCGTTGGGCAGAGGCCAGAGACTGGGTTGGGGGCTGGGCAGGAAGAGGTCAGGCCAGCTGCTTAGGAATCTGCCCTGGAGGCACAAACGTCAGTGAGCACATCTGCTCCCAACAGACCCACAGGCTGGCCAGCCAGCCAGACGCTGAGCTCCACCAGACTGGCTGGCCTGCTCTGTCCCCAGCGTGTTCCCGAACCTAACAGAAAACTCCAGAGTGCAAATCTATGTACAGAGTAAGGCGGCAGGAAGGGGTGTCCTCACTGACCTCGTGAAACGTGTCCATCCCTGAGAAAGGGGGTTCAACAACGCTGAATCTCAACTTTGTGGGTGTATCTATTGTGCAATTTGGTGGGTGGTGTTTTTTGAAATTTTTGTGTTTTTTTTGTTTTTTTAACAAATTTACTTTGACACCTGAGGTGAAAAAAATTGTTTTTTCGTGGACTTTGCATCAAGTTCTCTCTCTTCTTTCTTATTACAAAAGGAAAGGCCAGGGACTCACGAGGGGGTGGGAGCGGCTGCTCATGGCTGTGGCGGGCTCAGGGCGAGCTGGCCGGGCTGATGGTGGGGCTGCTGGCGTCGGAGCGGCTGTAGTCGCTGAGGGAGCCGGTCCGCGAGCCCCCGCCGCGCCGCTGCAGCATTCCCGGGTGGAAGTTGGCGTGGCGGCGCGCGTGCTTGGTCAGGTGGTCGCTGCGCATGAAGCGCTTCTCGCAGATGGGGCAGCTGAACTTCTTCTCGCCCGTGTGTGTGCGGTAGTGCCGCGCCAGCTCGTCGGAGCGCGCGAACTTCTTGTTGCAGTCCTGCCAGCTGCAGGCGAAGGGCCTCTCACCTGTGGGCACAGGGGCAGAGCATCAGTATCCGCACCTGGCCCCGCCTTCACACCCTCTCTGGGGAAGGGCCCGCAACACCCAACACCCTGGTCTCTCAACACCCCTCCCACATGCCCCACCTCCAAGAGCTTCTGTGACAAATCCATCAAGGCAGAGATGAAGGTGGGCCCCTGCCCTCCCGCCCACGCCTGGGATGGAGGCAGAGGACACGGCCTAGGATAAAACAGCATTTCAGGTGCTGAAGCTGCAGGGCCCATGGGTAGGTACAGGTCAGGGCCCCAGGCTCCTGGCAGTGGACCCCCTAAGTACACCACAAAGCAGGCTGCACTACACACCCATGCCGGGCCAGTGGTCTCCAACGCCTGGGGGTTGCAGGCCCATGCCCTGGCTTCACAGGCCTCCCGGAGTCCAGCCGCCCATGCTGCTCCATGGGAGCCACACTCTGCACCCCTGCAGGGCAGGAAGGCAATTCCCATTCTGACCCTCCTCAGTCTAGTCTGTCACATGAGAGGGTCAGCGTAGGTGAGTTCCGGGGCCTGGAATTCTACAACCAGTCTGCTGCTCCTTCTCTCACAAAAGTCCCAAAGTGACCAACCAGGGACGGCTGGCAGAGCAGGAGAATGAAACAGCCTCTTGCAGACCCAAGTGTGGTGACAGACAAGGGCAGCAACCCAGAGCACCCCATTATAGGGGCCTGTGCCGGTAGGGAGGAGGCAGAACACAGTGGGGTGGGAGGTAATGAAGGTTGGCTACGGTCAGGATGCTGCTCCCTCCTTCCCATCCCTCACTCGGAGCGGGAGACAGGCCAGCATTTACCCAGGCAAACTCAACACACAAAACTCTGAATCACAAAAATGACATCAACTGCTCAGGAAGAACCAGGGTGGGGGGCTCTGGCACCCCAGAAACGAGCCCTTCTTGTATTAGGGGTGGCCGCAGGGCTGCCCTTCCTACACGGTCTCATCCCCTCTCACCCCCATACAGACCCTAAAGTGACTGCCAGTCACTGAAGCTGGTCTACCCATGTTCAACAGAGGAAACCCACTCACCCACCCACCTTAAACACAAGCAGATACCCAGGGATGGCCAGACAGCCAGGGAGAACCAGCAGCATGGAAAAGAAAGGCCAAGCGCAATGCAACCACCAACTCTAGAGGAAAAGAGTGAAGCCAGGAAAGAGAAGAAAATTTTAACTTGAAATTTCTGATTAGTATTCTCTGAGGAATTTGAGATGAAATTTGATGCAAAAGCAAAGAGGATACCATACAAAGAAGTTCAGAGAGCAAAAACGGCCAGGCGCGGTGGCTCATGCCTATAATCTCAGCACTTTGGGAGGCTGAGGCGGGTGGATCACTTGAGATCAGGGGTTTGAGACCAGCCTGGCCAACATGGTGAAACCCCGTCTCTACTAAAAATACAAAAATTAGCCAGGTGTGGTGGTGTGCACCTGCAATCCCAGCTACTCGGCAGGCTGAAGCAGGAGAATCACTTGAACCTGGGAGGTGGAGGTTGCAGTGAGTCAAGATTGTGTCACTGCACTCCAGCCTGGGCAAGAGAGCAAGGGTCTGTCTCAAAAAAAAAAAGCAAAAACAACAGCATTTAGGAATTGAAAACAGCATTGTGTGCATATAAAACTTTCATATAAAAGCTGGAAATATACTCAAAGCAAATATATGAGAAAAAAAGAACCAAAAAACAGTTCTGGAAAATATGTGGATGTCACGATGTTCCGTCTCCTGGTACTGCTGAAGCAGGGGCCGTGTGTGGGTACACTTGCTCTCTTTATTGATTTTACATGTTGGGGGAAAGGGTGTTGGGGGGATTCAAAATCAAGTAGCCACCACGATTTCCCAAATACACGACAATTACAATCAAGTGAGAAAACAGAAAACATGGAGAAGAAATTACAAAAGAAATAATAGAACAGTCTCTGTCAAAGAGTAAAAAAAAAAAAAAAAAAAAAAGAAAAAGGAGACAGGAAACTAACATGAGACAGGCTGCACAGAGGTGGACCAGGTAAATGAGTTAAGACCTCTGCTGCGAGAAGCTCTGCAATGTCAGAACACTGAGTAAAAACAGGAGCTCTCACAGCTTAATAGAGAGAGGGGGAAGAAACAAACACCAGGTCATCCACAAAGGAACAAGGCTGGGATAGACATCAGACTTTTCCTAAGTCACACTGGATCCTGAAGACAAAGGAACAGGGCCTTCCAAGTTAATGTCTCACACACTCCAGCTAAAATGAGATAAAACCAAGGAGCTAGAGACATGACTGAATAGTAAAGGGCCATTGCATGACAAGAGTGAGGCAGAGACCCCGGGAGGTCACTGGAGCACAGGACCAAGACTCACGGGGGAAAATTCCAGGAGGAAAGTGAGTTTTGTGCACCAGAGAGTACCATCAAAAGGCTGGGTAAACTTCAGGACCCAGTAAAGACACACCACTCTTCTTTGTTTAAAAGAAAAAAGAGGCAATTAGAAACTCCAGGAAAAATAAAAGACATACAAAAAAATTGTGGTTCAAATTAGATGTAAACGAAAATGCCTCATGATTATGGGTCAAGAGCTCCGAGCCAAGCTCGGTTCTAGGGGTTTTTCCTATGCTCTATTATTTATTCTTCACAACAACTCCATGAGGTGGTGGCAGGAAATGTAATCCCAGCACAGGCCCTGCTGATGGAAGCAAACTTTACACAGTTGTGGTCATGCTAACCTTAGCACTAGTTGTCAATGTTTCAGAACCAATCCTATAAACAAAGGCCATACAACTGACCTGTGGGCCCAGCAGAGAACATGGATTTAAGGGAAAAGTTGGAATGCACACAGTGTGCAAAGAACGTATCTAAATGAAACACAGAGATTTAAAATTACAAAGATAGTCAACAAAATAAGTAAAATAATACATCCATCAATTTAGGAAGAGTTGGAGGGGAGGGATAGGAGTCAGGTAAATCCTTAAATTTCATGGCAGGAGGATAACAGAAAATATCTAAATTTGATAAATCAAGAAACAGCAGTAAAATACAGTTCATTTATGGCAGTAACCATCAAGACAACTAAAATCAGAAAAGAAGTGTTGCTGTCTAGGGAGTGGGGCTGGACTGGTGAGAGGATTTTTTTTGTTGCAAGCTCCTCTGTGTTATGGGTATCTATCTATCTACCTATCTATCTATCTATCTATCTATCTAATCTGAGATAGAGTCTTGCTCTGTCACTGCAGCCTCCACCTCCCAGGTTCAAGTGATTCTTCTGCCTCAGCCTCTCGACTAGCTGGGATTACAGGCGCCTACCCACGCTCGGCTAGTTTTTATATTTTTAGTAGAGACAGAGTTTCACCATGTTGGCTAGGCTGGTCTTGAACTCCTGACCTCAAGTGATCTGTCTTCCTCAGCCTCCCAAAGTGCTGGGATTACAGGTATGAGCCACACGCCTGGCTTGGGCCTTTTAAAAAAATCCTATGTATTTGTTTCTTCCATAACAAGAAGAAGAAGTGTTTAAATATAGTTCCTTAAATATCTAGTCCAATATTTCCCAAAACATGTTCAAAGAAATGTTATCATTGTATAAAACTGTTTATCGTTTCCAGAAAAAAAATTTTGTCAACTAAAGAGTGAAAATGTTGCATGATAATTCCACTCTTGGAGATTCACAACGCACACTAGTCATTAAAAGCTTGGGAAAGTCCAGCATTAAATGGTTTAGCATTAACCATGTCAGGTCTGACAGATGAGGTTCAGACCCTGTTTGCCCTGAGTTGTGACGCTATGGCCTCGAAAAAGCTCCGTGCTGCCAGCAGTAGGGCAGATAATGGTCCCCCAAAAGATATAGCCAAGTGATAACCCTCCAGAACCTGTGCATGTGATCTTATCTGGAAAAAGGGTCTTTGCAGATGTAATCAGGTCAGGATCTGGAGATGAGCTCCCAAGTGTGGAGCATGGAGAAGAGGGGAGGGGAGTGAGGGAGACGGGGAAGGCAGCAAGTGAGAAGGGGGAGAAAGGGGGCAGGGGAAGGAAGGGGAGGTATGGAGTGGATTCTCCCTCAGAGCCTCTGGAAGGAATTAACCCTGCCAACACCTTGATTTCTGGAACTGTGAGAGAGTAAGTTTCGGTTGCTTTTCAGCCACCCAGTTTGCGGTAATGTGTGACAGCAGCCACAGGAAGTGAGCACACTGCCCCGTCCTCATGCGGGGGGTCCATACAGTGATCCCATGGGGCTGCGCACGACCGGCCTCAGCACAGCGCCTGGCACGTTCCAAAGGTCCACTCCTGAAATCTCAGCTGTTATTGTTGCTCTTAGTCATTAGCCCTGTCAACTGGGTCTCCTCTGATTTGGGCCTGTTGGTGTGGGGGGAAGCCAACCCAAATTCAGACTCAGCCTTGCTTCCTAATAGCCCTTGTGAGGAGCCTTGTCCTTTAGCTTCTTCTGCCTGCAGGCTGGGGAAGCATGTGAGGTACACAGAGCTACAGGTGGACCACATGGTGTTGGGGCCGCAGAGAAATGCAGCATCCAATGGATGGGACGTTGGTGCCAGGCAGCCTGGAGTGGAGGAAGGTGGGTGTTGGGTGCAGCCACTCCACCAGCACAGCTCTTGGCCTCCCTATATATCAGGAGCTTTATGCTTTGACAGGGCACATACTGGGTGCCTGGCCCAGAGACATGGTCCTGACCCAGGCAGACGCGGCCCCCACGGCTCCATTCTCTGCTCCTCCCTCAGCCTGCTGCAGAGAGGTGACGGCCAATGAACTGGCCCACAACAGGAGTTATGGCTCAGGCTAGCAAGGAGCAACACTGGGTCTGGCTGGGTCCCCTGGTAGTGACACTCAGGCAGCACCCAGGAGGCTGACAAGGAGCAGCCCAGAGAAGGGAGAACGGGTGGAGGCGGGAACAGGGAGCAACATGCCCCAGGCCACTTTCACCCACATGATCCGCAGGGAGCCCCAGGAGCTTTCCTGTATGTGGGCGGGAGCCACTGCTTTCATCGTATTAGAAATTACAAATTAAAATGGAAAAAAGGTCTTCAACCCAAGCACGCATTCCAGTCGTCGTGGTGCTGTCACACATCCTGTAGCATCTGCAATAGCCTACTGTACTCTTTTGGGAGAATGAGGCAAACAGTGCTATTGTTATGAAAACAGTTTTGATCTCATGGCCCCTCTGAAGGGTCTGAGGCACCTGCGAGTGTCCTCAAGCTTCACTCTAAAAACTGCTGTTATGGGGACAGACTCCAGGCGGGGCTGCGTGCAGCCGAGTACAGTGAGCACAGGGGGGCACACAGTGAGCACAGGGGGGCACACAGTGAGGTGAGGGGCCAGCCAGGCCCGGCCCTTCAGGGAGTGAGCCCGCCTCCCATTCTAAGGCAAAGGGAGCCCAATGGCCTAAACAAATCCAAGCACCCTCCTTGCTGGGCTCAAACCCTGCATCTGCCTCCACCCGGGCATGGGGTACACAGACAGCAACAGCAAGACAGGGACTCACCAGGACAGGAGCTCCCTCTAGCTCCAAAATGACAAGAGAACCAGTAGGAGATTCCAGACTCCTGCAGAGGAGCTCCTAGCCTTCCTGCCGGATCTCAGAGTCACTCCAGCTCCCCAGGTGGGAGGGCCCCAGGGGTTCTGGCTATGTGTGCCTGTGCCTGTGCATGGGGTGGGGGCCGTGGGACAAGGCGGGGTTAGGCCTTGTGAGAAGACTTGGTGAGAGGAAGGGGGCTGGGGTCAAGCCTGGAGGGGCACTAGGTGCCCTGGAGCCCTGAAGGGAGGCTGTAGGAGGGTTGGGGGAACTGTGGGGAGCTGGGAGAGGGGCTAAGCCATGCTGGGGTTTGGGGGTCCTACAGGTGCCAAGCAGAGGGGGGACTCTTCGGGTACCAGGCTGCATGGCCGGGTGATGCAGGGTAGGGGACCGCATGCAGTTGCGGGGAGAGTGGGGTGGGTGGGGATTGGAGTATGGTTGGGCGGGGCAGCTGCTCAGGGCTGCGCGTTACATAAATGTTCCCTGGCGCCACAGCGAGGCCGCGAGCGGAGCAGCGCCCCGAGTGAGAGCAATTGCCTCATCTTATCAGGGAACACAGCGTCCCACATGCTGCTCTTGCCCAAGCCGCAGGCCCAGGCGGGGACAACGTGTTCTCTCAGAGAGCCAGCCGGAAGGGGGGCGCAGGGGCTCTCTCTCCTTCAGCTGAGCCCCCAATCCGCCTCAACACCCAAGTCCCAGGCCCTCCCCTCTCCCCCACAGCAGCCACATGCAAATGCAGCCAGCTCAGGAGTGTGCGTGCTCCAGCTCAAAGCCTGAGCTCAGACTCGGGCTGTGGCATGGACTCCACTCTGCTCTGCCCTCCTGCGCAAAGGGCACGCTCCAAGTTATCTCCTGCAATCCAGCCTTAGCCAAACTCCCCCCCAACCCCCCACAGGTGAGTGGGCCCCCCCACCCCACCCGGCTCCAGCTGCACCTGTATAAACCACACTGCAGATCTTTCTGTCTGCGAACCTCCTGTGGGAAGCCTGTTGAGTGGTCATTTTTGCAATGTTTCCAATGCCCGGTACCAAGCTGGGGCCAGAGCAGCGTCTGCCGCAAGGGCCTCTTCTGCCGGCCTCCTGCTGGGTCTTCTCTAGGAAGCCTCGCTGAGCTCCCCTTCATGGAAGGGAGAAGGGAAGAAATGCAACTCCTACCGGGAGGTCCTGGAAAGGCAAATGAGCCATCACCCTCACAGGGATGTCTTGGATACAACAGACCTCTGGAGCGCAAGGGTCCATGTGGGTGTGTATCTGGAGGCAATGGCAGGGGCAGCGCTGGTCAGACTCAAAGGGAGGCACAGGGAGAGGCTTCCAAAGAGAAATTGCTTGCCCTCAGGCTCCCAGGCCACTGTCCCCAGTCTCCAGGTATTCCCCACCAGTGAGTGGGCTGTCATTCACTGATGGACAGCTCTGCCCTGTGGGCACTGGTTTGGGGCCACTTCTAGCTCCCAACCTCAAGACTGCAATGTTTTTCACTCCAGGAAGACTGTTCACCCTCCTGTTCTGGAGCAGGTCAGCATGGCCAAACACAGGGGCTGATCAACTGCTGGCCTCCAATGAAACTCAGGCATACAGCCTCAGGGGTAGCAGAAAGGCCTGGCCTCTGTGGTGGGGGGTGGACTTCCTAACTCCTTAGGAGGCCATTTGACTGTCCTGCTCGTCTCTAGAAATGTTAGTGGTTTATTAAGCCACATGGAGCTGACATGCACATGGCTTCGCAGGAAGTCCAGGTTGGAAGCTCTTACCCACCCACTGAGCAGGTAAGGGAAGTGAGGCCCAGGAGGAGAGAGTGAGCTGTCATTCAGCTGGCTGGCGCCAGAGCTAGAGCCGCAGCTGGAACCTGCCTGGGGCAAGGAAGCAGCCTGCTCTACCTCCACTCCTTTGTTGATGCCTCAGGGATTGTCATCCAGCCTGTTTCTCAGTCACTGTGAGGGTTAAGTGGGAGAATACGTGGGGCACATGCCTGCTGCACAGTGGTGCTTGGAGGAGATAACAATGTTATCACCTATGGGCCAAGGGGCCCCGGGAAGCATGTTTGTGAGCCGCCCAGTAGTGAAAGAGACATGGGGGGCAGGTGTGCCCTGTCCCAGGCGCTCTGGTCTAGTGCCGCTGATCACACACTACTATCCACTCTTCACATGCAAGAGCTGGCAGGGTGCTGAAGCCTGGCTGGAGACTGCCACAGTGTCGGAGGCAACACTGCTTCAGTGAGAGAATCCTCCTTGGGCAAATGTGTGGCTCCACATTTCTACAATGCTTGCGAAGATATTTTTTAAAGTAGGCATTTTTCTTGTTGCTTTGCTTTGTTTTCGAATAGGATAACTTGATCCTAAAAATTCATACAGAAAAACACACAGTAATAGCCAGAAAAAAATCCTGCAAAACAATGACGTGGGGGAAACGAGACCACCAGGATTCAACACAGTTTCGTAAGCTGATCACTGGCCAGTGAAGCCCAGCAGAAATGGCAGAATTAGAACGAAAGGTAGTGGTAACTGTGCAAAGGACAGAGTGACATCTCGAACCCCTAGGGCAGGGAGCAGTCAATACATGTTATGAGGACACTTCGGTAGCATCTGGAAAGGCTGGGTTCATACTTCCCACCCTACACCAGGATAAATTCTAAATGGGTCAAAGATTCTAATGTGAAAAATAAAACCACAAACATTCTAGGAGAAAACTGTAAGACAGAAGTTCCTTCTATGAATCAAAGTCCACAAACCATAAAAGAAAAGACTAAAGGCTGGGCATGGTGGCTCATGCCTGTAATCCCAGCACTTTGGGAGGCTGAGGCAGGAGGATCACCTGAGGTCAGGAGTTCAAGACCAACCTGGCCAACATGGTGAAACCCCGTCTCTACTAAAAATACAAAATCAGCCGGGCGTGGTGGCGAGCGCCTGTAATCCCAGCTACTCAGGAGGCTGAGACAGGAGAATCACTTGAGCGTGGGAGGCAGAGGTTGCAGTGAGCTGAGATCACACCACTGAACTCCAGCCTGGGTGACAGAGTGAGACTCAGTCTCAATCAATCAATCAATCTATTTGACTGCACAAAACAGTATACTATACTTCTCCATGAACAAAGTCACCATAAACAAAGGCAAGAGATAACTGACAAAACTGAGAGAAAAAATATTTGCAGCTCCTATCACAAACGGCTAATCTCCAATACAGAAAGAGCTCACAGGAATTTTAAAAAGAAAAATATCCAACAGAAAAATGGGCAAAGCCCATTCATAAAAAAGGAACTACAAATGGCTCTCAAATGCATGAAAAGATGCTCCACCTCATCCATCAGGAGCTAATGGCAGATGAGACACACTGAAATGCAGCTTGGTAGCTTATCACCTTGGTGAGGCTGCAGGTAAGCAGGCATTCTTTGCTGATGGGAGTACAAACTGCTACAACCTCCATGGAGGGCGATTTGGCAATACCTATTAAAATTAGAAATGTGCACACCCTTTTACCCACATCTGAACTTTTGACATCCTAGCCTACAAACGCATTTGCACACCTACAAAACGGGATATGCTCCTGATTAGTCAATGCAGCAGGAACCTGAAAACAACTCATGTCCTTCCACTGGGGCCTGTCAAATAAATTATGGAACGCACATATAACAGAACACTATCGCAAAGAAGTAGAATGAGTTCTTTACAAACTGATATGGAAAGATCTCCAAGCTGAGTGAGGAAAACAAGGTTGAGGAGAGATGACCAGCAAGGATCTACGTGCGCCTTGGCCTGTATGTGCAGAGAGAGGGTCCCTAGGAAAGTAGGAACAGAGATCACCCAGGGGAACACTGAGCAGATGGAGAACAGGGAAGGTTGACAGAATTTTCCCTGGGGAAACTACTTAAATCTTTTAGATTCTGAAACACACAAATGCATTTCCTATTCAAAAAGTTAAATTCAAAACAAAAAATCCATAGCAAACTAGAAAATGCTAGCCATCAATAATGCCAATTTAAAAATCAGACATTCAACACTCTGGGCACATTACTGGCCCCATTCTGTATTCCCTATTTCAAAGCACAGTTCCTCATATTACCCCAAGAGCTCTCTTAAAATAACAATGGTCGCCCAGGCAGATTCTCCTCAGAATGTGCTGGGCAGTGGCTTCCAGGATGAGAAACTCAAAAATAGCAATAAAGTCCAATCTAGCTTTGTAGGAGATGCTCCCAGGGCAGGGCTCCAGGGCTTTAGAGCCCCTGGGTCACGCTGCAAACTGTCCTATTGGAGAAGGGCCCTCCCTGATAAATTGTTTGATAGGCCCAGCAGTTTAGAACGGGTCAGACCTAAAAGGCTATGGGTGACAAATATTCAGCAAAGGATTTAAACAGAAGCAGTTCCAGAGTTGTAATTCCACGTCAGAAGCCCCCTTCAGGCTCCTGAATACCACACTCCTGCCATAAGACCACTTTGTGACACCACTGTGGGCTGAAAATTAGCCCAGGTGGATGGCAGCTAGGAGAGCCAAGTCCATCCAGCCACTAGGATGCAGATCCCAAGTGCCACTGTAGGGGCTCATGAGGAGTAGGAACCAGGGAATCTGTGGACTACTGGGAAAGGGTTTTCTCTTGCACCAAGAGAAAAGGAAGGAGGGAGGGAGGGAAGAAAGAGGGCAGAGCACGTGGTGGGTAGGGAAAGGGACACAGTATGGAAAGGCCTCTTGGGCCTGCCTCTGGCTGTGACGTCTGGGGTGGGGGGTGGGGGGCACCAGCCTTGACAGTCACAGGGGAGATCTGCAGAATCTCACAGAGAAGTCCAACTGCTTCTTGACACGAACAAGCACCTGCACAGCCAGCCCCAGCTCTGCACCCCAGGTGCCCGTGCTCCCAGCCGGCTCTCTAGGCAACTGAGGGAGGGGCCCCTGTCTGCAGAGCCTTTGGCAACCATCGTGGCCCACTTCCTCTTCCTGTGTCTCCCCTCCCCCAGCCTTCATTTCCTCCCCCTGCCCTCTCCTTCTGTGTCTCCTGGGGGGGACCTTGCCTGCAGGGACCCCACCCTGCTAAGCTCTGCTACAGACACTCAATGGCACAAACAGCTGCATGTACACTCTTTACAGGGGTGCAGCTTTTACTTTTGGCCTGCACTGGGCTCATCTGACTCTACCAACCCGGAAGACAGGAAAGTGTTGATGTGAAACCCTTGTCAGAGGTGAGAAACCAAGTGACCTCACCAAGGTAACACACCCAGAAGGGTGGGCCTGAGGCTAGGCTACACCGGGAAGAAAGACATTCTCACAGCCCCTCCCCAGCATGGAACAGGAACACTGCTGCCCACGTTCACGTTCCAGGAGGAGCAAGCAGGGGCACCCACCCACAGTGCGGCGAGGCTACCCTCTGCACCCAGGGGCCCCTGCTGCCCCCACAGCCAGGCTCTACGAGGCCTATTTCACGGCAGGCTTGCCCAGGCTGGGGGCATGTGGGCCTGAGGACCTGTGGGGGACCTCCACGGTCCCCAGCTCCCCTGCAGCAGGAGGCTGCAGCTGAGGAAGGAGCCAGGCAGTTCCCTGGAAGGGCCCAGCGCTACCAGGCAGCGCACTCAAAACAATGGCACTCAGAAGCCCTGGAGGAGCCTCGGCAGGCTCCTCTTCCAGGCCCAGCACCTGCCACCTGGCCGGCTCCAGGTGCACAGCAGGCTCAGTTTTCTCAGGAAAAATGTGGCAAGGTTTCCAGCAGAATATAACGAAACAATGTATTCTTCAGGGTTGGTTTCACAAAGTAAATACATCCGAATTAAAATGAGCTTGTAATTTGGACGACGGGCCTAAAAAACGCCTTTGGTTTTTGAGGGAGCCGAGACAAAACAACAACAACAACAAATTAGACAACGGTCTGTTTTTTCTGAAACAGGTGAACAGTGCCGGGGCTTCTGCTAGGAACCTCCAGACCCCCAGGGAGGAGCTAGAAAGCCCCCAGACCTCTCCTGCAGCAGCCCAGGCCGATGGAGCCACCAGGGGCTCTCGGTCTTGCCCACTAGGAGCAAGTTACCCCTACCCTTTGGGAAAGCCCTTGTGTTCAAAAACCCTCTTGCAGAGAACAGGTGACCTGGCAGCCCCGGGCCCTGTCCCTCAGCCCTGCCCGCAGGTCTAGTAGCCCCCTACATCCTGCTCAGGCTTGTCGCAGCCTAAGTGCGTTGGAGAGGGCCTGAAACAGAGCCCCACTGCCTGCCATGTGGGGAGACCAGTGCTCTGGGGGGCCACCTCTTCTCAGGAGACAAAGCCCACCCTCTTCCCGGCACAGGCCTGCCCGCTGCATGTCCGTGCCCACACCTTCCTCCCTGTATCCTGCTGGCCCTGTTTCCTAAGCCCTTCCCTGTCCTAACCTAGAACAGGGCCCTAACCTTAAGGCAGCTGACCCCAGGGACACCAGCCGGGAAGAAAAGCAGTGCCACACTCTGCACTATCCCACGGCCAGGCCCCCAGAAGCTTCAAGGTTGGAGTGACCCCCTCTGCAACAGCTCTGTACGGGACTCCAAGACCTGAGGCTACCTAGGTCTGCCTGATGCCAAGGGAGGGCTAGCAAGAGCTGGGAGGAGCCACTGGGGCAGGAACCCTGTTCTGTGTCCTACCTGCCTCCCTCCCCCAAGACCACAACATGCGGGGTGGAGGGCTCAGCGCTCCTTGGTGTCATCCCCAAGGTTACTGGAACCAGGCTTCACAATCTGTTGGATGGGGTAGACGAGGGAGAGTAAGCACACGGAGCCAGCCCAGCTGTCTCTCTCGAATGTTCTTCTGAACCACCAATGTGAGCTGCTGATAAACAGCCCCTGGGAACGTGGACAGGGAAGAAAACAGACTACCAAGTGGCTGAGCCCCACCCTCAAATGCACACATGAAATGCATATGCCAGAGCTCTAATTGCAGGAAGGAAACAGAGGTTACCTCAGGAAGATGGGATTTGTGTGTGACTGTCCTTTCTGCATTTCTGCCTTCATCAAATGAATCACTTTGGACAGTCAGAATTAATGCAATAACACTATGTAACAAAGTGGTGTATGTACACACACGTACCTTTCACCCAAGCTCCAGCTCACCACTGGGACTGCTTCCACAGAACCCAGCACCCCAATCCCTAAGAAGGGAATAGCACTAGTTTGCATGAACCAGTACACTGCCTGGAAAGGTTAAAAGGACCACATGCCAGAATTTCATAAAGGTGTTTGCTCTCCTTTTGCTAAGGGTTACAAAACACACTTGAAAATTTCCGTTCTCAAGGTCCCTTTTAAAAACAGAAATAATAGAATACCAATGGTTTCTGCCAACAGAAGGCCAGAAGCCACCTGAGACAAGGGCTCTGGAGCTTCTCTCCTTCACGCACACCCGAGTCACAACCCTTATTGCTCCTCAATGGATAAGTAGGGAGACGTATATCGGCCCCTTGCCACAGAAGCTTCCAGATCATGGATTGTGCAAGTGAAGGCCTTCTCCAGATGAACGGTGCTACCTGTGGACTCATGAGAGCTGAACCCAAAGAACAGACATTTCCATTTCCTTTCCATTGTGAGACCCTCATCACTAGCTGCCTCCCAGGGGAAGCCAGAAGCATCTTCCCTGAGCACGGTAGGGTGACGCATGTCCAGCTGACCCCACTGCCCCCGCCTTTCCTCTGCCATCTTGAAGGGAATGTTCCCTGGCTTCAGGAGCCAGTGTGCGGTTAACATCCTTGTTCTGGGCATCGGGAGGCAATGTGACTGCTTGCGTACCAACACAGCCCTGATGGCTGGTGATAGCCCAGGGATGACATTCCTATGCACCTCTTCAGATATTTTCTGAAACACAAGGCAAGACAGGAATATGAGGTTGGAATCCACAATTACAGAGCCAGGTTTATTTAGCTGATAAAAATGCTCTTCATTTGAGGCTGATCAAAAGTAAAGGCAATTTGTATCTAAAATACATAAAGAACTCAATCTCAACAATAAGCAAATGCCAATTTAAAAAATGAACAAAAGATCTGAACACTCTTACCAAAGAAGATAGAGAGATGGTAAACAACTGTGTGAAAAGGTGTTCAGTGTCATTTGTTATTATGAAAATTCAAATTACAACGAGATATCACTATACATATTTATGAGAATGGTTAAAATCCAAAACACTGACAATACTAAATGCTGGTGGAGCAACTGGAGCTCTCATCCATTGCTGCAAGCATGTTAACCACAGGGGAGCTGACCAGCCACTTGGGAAAACGATGTTTTGACAGAAACTGTAAGAATGCAGACAATCGCAACTGTACTATAGTCAACCTGCCAACCTTAGGTTTGGACCCCCTCCTTCCACTGCACAACTGTCTTCTTGTGAGCTGCCTTCAGTTGCTTCCAGGATATTGCTGGATGTATCTCTGGCAAACTCCTGGATAACATTGTTGGGCAAGAACAAAGGAGATGCTGGCTGCCCAAGAGCTGGACAACTCTCAGCCGCCCCCTACCTAGTGCTTACCTTACCCTCATCTCTCCCCACGCCTCCTGCACTGGACCAAAGGCCTAACAGGAACTCTGGATAAAGCTGGCAGGTCAGGCACAGGCACCCACCACCCTTCCAGCCCCAGATCCCACTACAATGAAAGAAAGTGGATTTTAACAGACAAAGCAAAAGGGAAAGAGAGTAACAAAAATAATCTGGAAGCAAGAAATTAGAAAGACAGCAGAGAAGGCAAGGAAGCAATCCACGTTTCCCCACAAAGGCTCGGGAGTCTCTGGCGGGGGTGGGGGTGCAGTTGGTGGGGGGCACCTGAACATCAGATAAAGCAGCTGTGGACACAAGGTCTTTCCTCACCTTACAGATGGCTGCTTGCCCTTCCTGCACCTGCCAGGAACCAGAGGCTGACTTTCTGGGAGGGTCTACACAGGAGGGAGCTCTGGACTGACGACTCCAGACCCAGCTCAGAGTAGGGCAGCCTCCAGAACAGGGGTGTGGGGAACAGCCCACTCACAGAGTGCTGCCTCCCAGCTTCTCTCCCAGTGTGCAGCAGGACCACCCTCCCTCCCCCAGGCAGGAGCAGAACACTCCTCTTGGGGGAAAACCCGGAAGGAGATGGCCCAGTAGACCACCCACAGGAGGCCACCGTCGCTGAGCCTGATGGGCACCCAGAAGCCCCCACGCAGCTCGAGGCTCTCTGGGCCGTGTCACCAGACATCAAGGATCAGCAGACAATGCAGAAGAGCCTGACGTGGGTGGGCAAGAGACCCAGACCAAGGAGCAGAGACAGGTGATGTGGAGGGAGCAGAGGCCACGCAACGAGAAGACTTCCAGAGCTGTCACTAACATCCTCACCGCATAGACGGCCTGGCGGAAACAAGAACCGCATGCGCCTTTAAAAGGGAAGCTTAGAAACCTGAGTTTGAAAGCAAAGGCTTAGAAACCTGAGTCTGAAAGTAAAGATACAGAAGGAAAAATGTGGCAGAAATAAAAATCCCAATAGCAGGGTTGGGAGAGAACACTGAGAGAATTTCACAGAAAACAGAGCAAAAATACAAATGGATGGGTAAGAGGGAAAAAATATGAAAATGTAAGGATCAGACCAACAGCTCCAAATAAAAGGAACTGCAGGCAGCCCTGAGAACACAGGAGGTGAGGTGATCGTGAAGAAAGTGGCAAGAATGTTTTCCAGATGCCACCCGACGGGCCCGCTGCAGAGGACAGAGCTTGGCCAAGCACCTCCACACACGTGCACACCTCCAAGCCCTGGTAAAGGCACAAGCCCAAAAGGCCCTGAGAGGCAAAGAGACCGGGAGGTGCACACAGCCAGAATCAGAAAAGCTTCAGTCTTCTCCACAGCAACATCAGAGCTCCAAACCGCACGAGTAAACCATTCCCACCTATGATTCAACCCAGAGAAACGTGAATCAACCTCAGACCAGGATCAAGACATTTCCAGACATATAAGCCTTAAAACAATGGCCTCCCATTCTCCTAAGTGAATTAACGCAGGAACAGAAAACCAAACACTGCATGTTCTCACTTATTTTTTGAGACGGAGTCTCGCTCTGTCGCCCAGGCTGGAGTGCAGTGGCGCGATCTTGGCTCATTGAAACCTCTGTCTCCCGGGTTCAAGCGAGTCTCCTGCCTCAGTCTCCTGAGTAGCTGGGATTACAGGCGCCCGCCACCACGCCCAGCTAATTTTGTATTTTAGTAGAGACAGGGTTTCACCATGTTGGTCAGGCTGGTCTGAAACTCCTGACCTCAGGTGATCCATTCACCTTGGCCTCCCAAAGTGCTGGGATTATAGGTGTGAGCCACCGCGCCCGGCCAGTTCTCACTTATAAGTGGGAGCTACACACTGAGTACACAGGGACACAAAAGAGGGAACAGCAGACACCAGGTCCTACTTGAGCGGGGAGGGAGGAGGGTGAAAGACTGAAAAACTACCTATCGGGTACTATGTTTATCACCTGGGTGATGAAATAAGAACATCAAACCCCGTGACATGCAATTTACCCATGTAACAAACCTGCACATGTACCCCCAACCCTAAAATAAAAGTCAGAAGGAAAGGAAAAATGGCCTCCAGTGCACCCCTTCCAGGAGGCTATGCAGCAGGAGCTCTGCCAAGAAGCAGATGGCAGGGGCTCCAGGAAGTGGGGCCTGGATGGTAGGGGAGGGGTCCCAGGATGACAGCCAACCCCCACAGAGATGTTATCCAGGCCACACGGAGCAGGCCACACTGGGTGTGTGGGGACAAATGGGGGGCTGGGGGTGTGGGGACAACAGCACTGGGAAAACCAAGCAGAAATGGCAACTATTGAGTCTAAGGGAAAGAAACACGTGTAATGTATGGGTCACCTGCAACTAGCATTTACTGTCATGATCCCCCAAAATACCGCATGCTGGCTCCATCCTAAATATCCAATTATCACATGGGTGGGAGAAGGGTGCCTGCAGGCGCTCATGTGCCATCATGGGAAGTCAGGAGATAATGCCTAACACTCTTCTACCATCAAGAAGAGCCCCTATGAGCACGTTATCGAGCTGGGAAAGGTAAATACCAAAGGCAGTAGCTGAAGAAGCTGGCAGATGGTGGGGGTGACCTGCTTATCACAATGAACGTACAGAAAGACAGGATCCTTAAGCTATGTGTATTACCACATGCACTACTCTAACACAATTTTTAACATAATTTACAAAATGGGATGGGTATACTGCTCTCGGCAGTCCAGCCTTTCCTTAGAGCATCACTTTCTTCTCCTAGTAGCTCCTCTTCAGAAGCCATTGGAGAGTGCTGGCCCTGCCATCTCCCCAAGGCATGTGGAGATGACACCCTGCCCTTCTGCTCAGGGGAGGTGAGGGACCGTCCACAGGAGACACTTACTGAGCACCTGGCCTCTTCCTCACCTATCTGTGTTACCTTAGTAGCACTGTTGATTGTTTCGGTTGTTGTTGCTTTTGATCTCATAAACACCTGTGTCCTGGTTGCCTTCTTTTTACCTATGACTAGTTATAACTCGAGGCTGAGGGATGGCGAGATGGGCTCCAACACTTCTTTAAATGGTGGCTCCAACCCCAAGCCCGGGGGTTTTAGGGCTGGATCCACACAATTCCCAATACCAAGTCATGTGGGGTGACTTCAGGCTTTGGATTTTTTGCTTCACACTTACTGTTAGCCCAGTATGAAAATTAGACGTATCAGGCTTTCATTTGAAGATGTAAGGCACTGAAATATTTATGGACAAATTGATATTGCATCTGGGATTTCCTTCAAAACAACTGGAGAGGACGGTGGTGGGGGAGGGGCAGAGATAAGACTGCAGGGGGCTAGCAGGTGCTGAAAATGTGGGTGTCCTGAAGATGTGGGCATCTGTCTGAAGTTCTCCAAACAGAAGTTTAAAAACTATTAATATGACCAGGTGCAGTGGCTCACGCCTGTAATCCCAGCACTTTGGGAGGCCAAGGTGGGCAGATCACTTGAAGTCAAGAGTTCAAGACCAGCCCGGCCAACATTTCGGTGAAACCCCATCTCTACTAAAAATACAAAAAATTAGCTGGGTGTGGTGGTGGGTGCCTGTAATCCCAGCTACTTGAGAGGCTGAGGCAGGAGAATTGCTTGAACGCGGGAGGCAGAGGTTGCAGTGAGCTGAGATCGCGCCATTGCACTCCAGCCTGGGCAACAGGAGTGTAACTCTGTCTCAAAAACAAAAACAAAAATTACAAAACTATTAATATATGGACAAGGATTGCAACCCTAGGCCCTGCCTGGAGGCCATTCCTCCTCGCTGGATTTCAGCCCATCCCTCCTCTGGCTCTCCCCAGGCCTGCTCACCAGCACACCACGGTTTGGGGTTTGGTCAGCTGCTTCTCTCCCTGCCCCAGGCAGGCAAAGTCCCATCCTGCAGGCCTGGGCTGATGTCCTGGACTGGACATTGCTGTCAGTCAACTGCAGCCTGACACTCACTGGGAGGGCAGAGCTGTGCCAGGCTCTGGGGCCAAGCTGGGTAGGGATTGGATAGGCCTGAGGCCTCCACACTGACGCTGTATCCAGGGCCTGGCTGTAGTCAAGTGCCACGTCTGACCCCACACTACAACCTGGGTCCTGGAGTCTGAAGGGCTCAGGGGAGTTAGGGACTCTCAGGGGTCTTCAAGCTAGGCAGGGCTGTGGGGGTGTACTTTTTCCCCAGAAGCAGCCTGGTTTCTGTTTAAAAGAAGGAACAGTGAAGTCCTCTTCTCCTCTGAGGCCCATGCCTGCAGTATAGAGTCCTCGGTGAGAGAGGGGAAGGGTGTGGGGGTTGCCTGCCGAGAGCCCCCTGCCCCAGGCTTGGCCACAGCGAGCCACTCCACAGCCCTGCCAGCTCACTGTTGGAACTCTGGCCACAGCCACCACAGCCCCCCTTCCCAGCAGCTATTCTTGGTCTGTGTCTCCCTTTGGGGGGAGGATAAGAGTGGAAATTATCAGAAGCTAAAATTAGCAAGAGGCAAACAATTGAGGCCAGGAATCTGAGGTCAGCTGAGGACAACAGCTTGTTCTCTGCAGCCCCGAAGTGGTTTTATAGCAATAAAGGGAATTGAAAATGAAAACAGATCTGGAAGCAGCCCAAGCCCTGGTGGGACCAGGCCCAACACAGCCAGCCCCAAGTGGGCAGGCCAGATGGCAGGGACTTTGCCAGCCCAGGCCCCCCAACCTGGGGCTCCCCTCTTCACAAGGGGGCCCTCTACAGCCAGGAGGCAACACCCAGAGCACCTGCAGCTACGGTTACAGAACGCCTGGGACAGGTTTCCCACGCACTTAACGTGGGCGTGACTTCCTCTCCAGGGGAGGCCCAGCACAGGCGGCTGTAAACACCCCCAGTAACTACTGGATGACCAGGGCCACAAGCCCCTGCTTTGATACCTCCAGGCACTCCCCCTTTAACAGGCCCCAGCAAAACTCCCTAAGTGACAGACCAGGAAATGAGGCCACAAAGTCAGATGTGGAGCCACCCTTGAGCCCAGCCCCCTGGCCCAGGGTCCCTTCCCTGTCACTACCTCTGCAGTCCCTCCTCCCCTGGAAGGCCCACCCAGAGCAAGCCGCACACTCCAAGGCGGCATCAACAGAGCCCACAGCCTAGGTGGGCTGCATGGTGGCTGCATACAGACGGAGAGGTGGGTCCAGCCTCGTCATGCTCCACGGTCAAGAAACTGCCCTCCCCACAAAAACTCCAAGTAGCCACCCTGGAGGTCCCAATGCCAGTGGGCTCTGGGTTCTATCTGGTGATGCTCAATCCTAAGGGAACTTGGCTCAGCCTAGGATGCATGGGATTAAATACAGCCTTTTATTAAGTTTTTATTCACTGATCTCTGCCACCTAACAGCTTGCAAATGTCAGAAGAAATAAATCAGCCCAGTGGTCATAATTCAGAGCTGGGAAGCACACAGGAGGCTGGAAATGCACAGACCGGGTTGGTAGACCCAGCCCTGAAGATACTGCTCCTGTCCCCAGGAGAGAGTACATGCTGACAGGCCCTTCCACGGGGCCAGCACAGGGCCAGGAGCCAGAGGCACACCAAGTGGCACCACATACAGACGCTAATCTCAGCAGCTGCTGAGGCTGCTGGCCGACGTCATGGCCCATGGAGAAGGCAGGCATGGAGCCCGTGGCCAGCCCACACCTGGGCCAGGCAGAGCTCACACAGCCTGTCCTTTCTCACTGGTACGGTCAGGTCTGTGCATTCTGAGCGGGACCAAGGGAGCCTGTAGGGCAGACACTGGGACTGAGGGAGGTAGAAACCCCTGAGCGTGGCCTGCAGCAGGCAAGCCTCTGCTGTGAGACAATCTCACCTTTCCCTGGACTGCAAGATCTCAGGACCCGGCATCCAAGGCTGGATCACAAAGCCTCCAAGATCTCAGTGTCCAGGGGAGGCCTATTCGGAACAGTCTGAAGCTCCCAGGTACGGGGCAGCGTGGCGACCCCTCTGTTGTGTAAACTCCAACAGTGACTTTTGTTCACTGCAAAACCCTTTTTTTGTTGTTGTGTGTAAACTCTACTTAAACAGTGACTTCTGTTCACTGCAAAACTCCCCCCGCCTCCCTTTTTTTTTTTTGACACGGAGTCTCACTCTGTTGCTCAGGCTGGAGTGCAGTGGCGTGATCTCAGCTCACTGCAACCTCCACCTCCTGGGTTCAAGCAATTCTCTGCCTCAGCCTCCTCAGTAGCTGGGATTACAGGCGTCCGCCACCACACCCAGCTAATTTTTGTATTTTTAGTAGAGACAGTGTTTCACCATGTTGGCCAGGCCAGTAGTCTTGAACTCCTGACCTCAAGATCTGCCCACCTCAGCCTCCCAAAGTGCTGGGATTATAGGCATGAGCCACCGCGCCCGGTGTGCAAAACCCTTTTAGACATCCAACAGCCACCCGCCCACTCTCCCTGCCAGGGTGCATACCTGGGCGCTCTCATGCCTTGCTTGCGGGTAGCACACTCATCCTTCCTTTCTGAAAAGAAGCAACCTGCCCTGAAAATGCACATTCCTTTGCAGGCTCCTGGGAACTCCCCCTGAAAATAATGAGGTGGACGGCTGTCCCAGGACAGCCAATCACTGGAGCTCTCAGTGCAAGACAAGCGCACACGGGGCAACCACTCAGACCAGGTTAGAAACCAGTCAGTGCCTTGGGGTTATGAGCCTAACAGGATGTTAAAGCAGGAAAATGTAGAACAGAAAATGACTTGTATGGAATGATCCCACGTTTTAACAGTGGTGACTTGTGAGTGGTGGGATTAAAGTTATTGATTTTCCTCTTCATTAATTTTTCTTGATACTTTCCTGTTTCTCAAATCATCCTTAATTAACATGCTTGACTTTCACAAATAGAAATAAAAACAAATGCCAGGCACTCAAATGATGATCTTTTGGCAAGGCAACTTCTTACAACAGGAACACACTTACAAATCTGACCCCAGCCCAGAGCACCAAAAGCAAGTCCATGATACGGGCTGAGAAAAGACTTTCCAACTCAGGTTTCCCAGGCCTTGGCCCAACTCAGAATCTGCGCCAGGTCCAGGGATGGTGGATTTGGGTCATTTTACAAAGCAAGTGGTTCCTGGAGACACTGGGGAACTCTTACTCGGATGTCCATCCACACACTCCCTCCCAGCCTCCCTGCTCTCGCTGTCATCATCATGTTCTTACACAAAGGCCATTAAACATTAGGCTCCTTACTTACTCAAAACTGCTGCTGCCCAGAAGGCGCCTGGGCGAAGAGTGCCAGGCCTGCATTCTGGCCTGGCCATGGGCGCACCTCAAGAGCCTGCTTAGCCTCACCTTCTCCACTGGCATGGCCACCTCTAAGGCCCTTCTCAAGGGCTGTACCCAGACCAAAGCTTCCTTGCGGATCCTTCAAGGTCTGAAAGCTGAGCCAAAGAGCCAGTGCTTGTGCAAGTCCCAGACTTCACCAAAAAAGGGGGTGAAGTTGGGCCAGAGACCACCTTACACGCCAAGCTACTTTCTCTAAATACCCAGTGGATGGAACAGGTACAAAGAACCAAGGCTTGGGTGTCATTTCCTTTATCCTGAACCCTGCAGGGGCATAATTTCCTACACTTCATATTTTAAGAGTTTGGTGAAGACGGAAGCAAAGTGGAGCATCCTTGCCCAGAACCACATAGACTCCCTCCTTTGAGATCTGTAATGAGATGAAGTTCACAGGTGTCCACCTGCTCAGCTGAGAGACCATTGTTCTCATTAGGCCCTGGCAGAAGAGAGCTAAGGCGAGGTTCCGAACAACGGACCAATGTGGTCGGCATCCAGGTGCCCTGCACGCTGGGGGGCCTGCTCGGCTCATCCCCTCCCTCCCCAATCCCAAAGCTTCATCCTTCTGTCCAGGATCCGTGGGTCCAGGATGCCCAATATCCTACCATAACTGCGGCAGACCCTGGCTGCTTCCTGCCCTGTAATGGGCATATTGGCTTAAAAGCAGGGGCCGCATGCTGTACTACTCTCCATGTCTGGAATGGCCGAGGGTTAGGGGCCATTTTCTCTAGGGCTTCACTCAATGGAGAAAAGCACATCATCTCATGAAATGGGATTCATCCCATGAAGCACAAATTCGGCAAAGGCTAGGCTACTCTGAGGACTTGGCAGCTTCAGCAACACTCTGAGTACTTTTGGTTCCGCCAAGAACACATGGCTGGTTACTTTATACCATTCAACTTCATGTGGAATTCCAGGGACATCTGAGCTCATCTGCTTTTCATTAATTCACACCCAAGTTCAAAGTGGCAGGAGGGGACCTGGAAGCTGTGAACCCCCTCCCCAGGAAGCCCTCCAGGCCCAGGAGAAACAGGCTTAAAGCAGCCTGAGGACCTGAAGCCCCCTGCTCCCAGCCTGGGTCACAGGCACAGGGGCACAGGCTTGGCCCATACTCGCCTCACATGGGCCCGGAGGACTTCTCCTGCAGACACCAGCCTAATTCCTCCCCACTGCATGCTAGGCACTAAGAACACAGCACTGCCCTTGCACTCATGCAGCCAGGGCAGTGAAGTATCAGAGGCAAGCTGACTAACCACAGGCTGGCACCAGCTGGAGCAGACTGGGTCCCAGAGACTCATGTTAAGGGTCAGTGCAGAACGAGGCAAGTGCCCTCCAGATCCCCAGGTCCTCGGCATGGTGGCTGTTCCATCGAAGACAGCGCTGCTGTACCACTACTGCCTGACAGGGCACCCGCCTCCCATGTGGCCCAGCGGGCATTGGTCCATCCCACACTCTGGGGAAACATGTCATAATCTGCACAGGTGGCGGCTCATGGGGAAAGCAGTGTCAGCCTCCCCTCCCTAAATGGGCAGCAGCAGCATTGCCCTGGGTCCTGGGATTCCCCCAGATGGAATGACAGTCACAGGCTTCGGCCCTACAAAGTTAAGGGGCAAAAAAGCTGCCATGAGTTGGGGGAGTAGGCCTGCAGAGGATACAGTACCCCACCCTACCTCGCCATCTGCCTTCCGTGGTTAGGCAAGAACGCTGGGCACTATAGGCTGAATGTTTGTGCCTCCTGAAAACCCATACCCTGAAGCCCTAACTCCCAGCTTGATGGATGGTCTTAGGAATTGGGGCCTCTGGAAGGTGATAATGTCATGAGGCTGTAGGGCCCTCCTTATGGGATTAGTACCCTTAGAAAGGAGACCCCAGAAAATCCCTTTGCTCCCTCTACTATGTGACATTATAGTAAGAAGACAGCTGTCTACGAACCAGGAAGAGGGTCCTCACCAGATACAGAATAATCTGCCAGCGCCTTAATCTTGGACTTCCAGCCTCCAGAACTATGAAAATAAACTTGTTGTTTATTTGCCACCCATCTCCAGTATTTCTGTTACAGCAGCACACTGAGCCTCCACCACAGCTCTGGGGCGGTGCTTAAACTCTACAATGCCAGCACCGAGACACCCCACTGGAGCCCAAGGCACTGCGGCCTGAGATGCAGTCAGGACCCCAGGGTCTAAAAAATGCGGACATCAGTGGCCAGAGCAGGCAGGCTGCCGTGACTGCAGGGTCACACCCTTGGCTGCCAGGAGGGGCTTCCTGGGCTCTATGCTGGCAGCTTTTCAGTGAGAACCAGGCCAAGCAACAGTCCTGTCTGGGAGGTAAAACTGTGGGTGCCACTTAATTTCTTCTTTTAGCTTTTCTGTACTTAAATGGTCTGTAGCACACGTATACTTCAATAAAAAGCATGTGGTGCGGCGTGCGTGTGTGCCTACGTACCACGCGTGGTTTTTCCTTTCGGAAGGCACTGGAGGCTGGGCTGACAGAGCCAGGCCCTCTGGGTTCTGCTGTCCCTTTAGTGCAAAACCAAGCTGAAGAGGGGCGCCTGTGCTCCTGCTCTCTCTTCTAGACATCACCTTCCACAGTCATCCTGACAAGAGTGGCAAGCTGCCTGTCCCAGCTCCACAGGCAATCCACGGGAGGAGGAGTGGCGTCCTTTCTTCCCACAAAGCCTGCGTGTTTTCCACTTTCCTCCACCAGCAAGAACACCTGGGGTTCGAGGCCTGCCTTCCGCCTTCAGAAATAAACCCCCCTGAAAGTGCAGGAAGAAGCCTCCACACTGAGGCAGACTCATGTGGAGTGGCCAAGAAGGCCAGGCTGGAGACACTGAAGCCTGAGATCTGGAACGCACTGAGAAGCGCAGCTCTCTTCCTCGTGTTAGGAGGGTGTCACCTTCAGGGGGTGTGGTCCAGGAGAAGCCAACAACACACCTTCCTGTTCCACCAGCGCTGCAGCCACTACAACAGAGGCAGCCCCCAACCCCTGCAGCCTATATGCTGCCCCAGGGCCCCAGAGGCTGGAGGGGGTGGAAGGGCAGACAGAAGAGGTTGGGGCCCCCTCAAGCTGCTGCCACAGGATGGCAGGATGGGAGCCTTTGGGCCCAGCCACTGTGACACCCACTTTTCCTTTAGCCATTTCTTGCCTTGGCTTCCCAAGTCACACTGCCCCGCCTCTCTCCCCTACTCTGAGGCTCCGCTGGCTTAGGGCCTGCCATAGGATGCCCTCGTCCCTCATGAGCAGCACCTCCAAGGCAGAGTCACCTCCTGGGCCCCACATCCTGCCTCTCTCATCACCACAGTCAAGGTGGGGCCCCTCCCCAGCCCAGCCCCCTGAGGGTGCCCTTTGACGCTAGCACACACAGGTTCTAGCGGGCTTGCCACCCACGTGCGGCAAAGCCTGGGTAGCTCTTCCCTGCCTCCAGTCTCCACTGCCCATCCCCAGCCCTGCCTCAGGGGGAAGCCTTGTTCACAGCTCCCCTTCCCCACCACGAGCACCAAGGACGGCCTCTTCCTGAGGTGTGCTGTCCCAGTGGGGCTCAGCAGAGAAGCTGGTCACCCAGCTCCCTCCAGGAGGTTCCCAGGCCCTGCCAAAGAAGCCTTTTTCTGGGAAGGCTGGTGCTACCAGCAGAGCAATGGAGGGGGGAACGCCTGCTGATCCCAGGAGGGTGTCCAAATCCTGAATTCCCTGCTTGACCTTCTAGCTTCACAGGTCCTCAAATCCTCCTACCTGCTGGGCTCGGTGTCGTGCCCTGTCACAGACCTGACCTTGTCCCAGCCCCGATGAGAGCCAGCAGGTAGGGGAACTGAGGTCCTCACCCATGCTTGCTACCACAGTCTGCTCCTGCCCCCAGACTCAGGACCCTACGCTGCCCCTCTCCCCTGCTGGCCCACCCAACCCACACGTCCAGTCTGCATCTCCCCAGACCCTCCCTGATGCCGCCAGCACAGAGGGGTGCAGAGTGGTGGCAGGCAGGAACCTGGCCTGCAGGCCAATAGCCCACCTATGGCCGGCAGGAGCCCTGGCCCCACCACCAAGTGCCTGGGATGTCCCTCGCTAGAAACTGAAAGATTTCGAGGCACAGGTGGTATTTTCATTTCTTCTTCCAGTTGAAGGTGATGCCTTTAAAAGAGAAAGAAAGATACGGAAGTGAAGGCTGCTGTGTGACACAGAAGTCAGCCTGGGGGGCCTGCAAGGAGGGGACGCCTCATGTCCTGAGAAAGCTGGGGCAGGGGGCAGCATGAGGCCTTGGGGCTCTGGCCTGGAAGCTCCTGCAGAGGAAGAAGAGAACCCGGGGAGGAGATCCTGCCTGGCTGTGGCCTGGGGGCTTTCCACAGCTGTGTGGGTGGCCGCAGCTCCAGGGTGGCTGAATACTGGTAACAGCGGTGGGGGGTCCATCATACTCTTTACCAAAGGGTCAGGTTAGAGTGGACTAGTCCAGAAGGGGAAGGACAGCAGCTGCTATGCAGGAGCTCAGGCCTGTGGCCAGGGCAAAGGGCCGGTGTGGAAATCTCTCCTTCTGGCCTCAGAGAAAAGCAGAGGACAGGAGGTCGGGGGAGAAGGCTGTGAGTTTCAGAAAAACGAAGAGGTGCTTTCTGGAAGCCACAGATGGGTAATCTTCCCAGAAACAGAGTCAAGATCATTGACCTGGTGTTCTGTGCGGAACAGCTCTGGGTTCCCGTCAGGGTTCTCGGGGGCTCCTGAGAGATATGCCTGGGCCGTGGGCATCTCAGCGTGAGGCAGGCATCTGTACAGAGGGGCTCACGCATGCCTGAGCCAGATGCCGGCACAGAGGGGCACACTTGTGGAGCTGCACTCCCTCTGAGCTCAGATACTCTTCCTCTAGAACCAGAACCCCCATCAGTGCCTACAAACGGAACCCTCCGGGAAACAGAGACAACCAGGGGTGAGAGGTGGGGAGCAGTTGCAGCCCTCCCCAGAAGGTCATTTGCCCCCGGTAAACTGACGGTGCAAATATGACCTCGTGTGGCCCACAGCATCTGACGACTTTACACCAGGCTGGCAGGGCAGACACCCGGGTCAGAACTAAGCACACTAAGCCCTGGTGTGGTCAGTCTCAGGCTGCGGCCTCACAACCACAACAGCCAGGCAGGATGCTGCCCATGTAGGGCCACTGGAAGACAGTGAGTAGGGCAGGGTCCCCTGGTGAGGGGGATGGGGGCCAAAGGAACGGTACACCTCCCGGGCTTTCTCCGTCCCACCCTCATACTCACAGATTTCCTGTCAGTTTCAGGATGGGACCCTGCCACGCTCCTGGAGATCCCCTGCTGCTTGCTGCTAGGCACGCGGTGCTCACTCAAGGCAGGATCTGCCCGCACCCCAGTGCTCTCCAGGCAGGTGCCCGAATGGGAAAGAGGCAGGCCAGCGGTGCAGCAGGGCAAAGGCAGGCTGAGGCGGGGGCACAGGCCTCCAGGCCCCCAGAGCAGCACACAGGGTGGAGCCACAGGCCCTGCCCTCAGACACCACGCCCTCAAGGGACAGAAACACCAGCCAAAGCCAGGCCCCTCATGACACTCAGGCAATGAGTGAGGAATGCCCAAGTCCCCACTCCACCCCTGTCTGCTGGCACCCCACAATCCCAGCCCGATGCAGCACGCCTGCATGCCATCTGTCCTGCTCCTCTCCTGGCTCTGCCTGGGATCTCACAGCTGCCTCCTCCTGCCCAGCCCTATGGAACCCAGACCCAACCCCCACCTGCTCAAAGGCGGGGAGGCCAGGGTGGCACCCTCAGAAGGGCCAGGAGAGAACCCTGACCCACAGAGCCTGGAAGGCACCTGCCCCAAACTGCAACAGCTCACACTCCCTGGCCAGCCCCCAGGGTTGGCTTGCACCTAGACTGGCTGTCCTGGGCTGAACCCTGGAACCTTGGCCTGCTCCTGGTTACTTGCGGCCCCTCCCTCCCCACTCAGGCGGCTTCCTTGGGGGACCCAGGGAGGATCCCGCACAGCCTCAGGACAAAGTCAAAACCCCTCCCACCCTCATCCTGCCCCACCCAGCAATCCTCCCAGCTCTTTTCTGCACTGGATTCCAGGAGATTTTGTTAAAAGAAAGGTTCCATTAGGTTTAGAATAAAAATCTGTAAACCCAAGGACCAGAACTCCTTCTCCACATTCTTACAGCAAATTCTGTAATGGTCCCTTGGGGAAGCTCTCCCTCCCCACTGGCCCAAACCCCCACAGTCCAGAAGAGAAACAGGGCCCCTGGCCTGGCCCAGCCCAGTCTCAGCTCCTAAGCAGCAGGTGAACCCTTTCGCCATGGGCCAGCCATGACAGTAGGGTGAAGTCACCCCCAAAGGCCACCAGCCAAGGCACTGAGGAGCCAAGCTTGGCAAATGTCTGGGTGGCTGGGGATTCCTGGCACCCCTGCCACCTCCCCTGGAGCCCTTGCCAGCCAGACACATGAAAACGTCCAGCCATGGCGTGTTTTCAGAGCACGCCCTGGCTTAAAAGGCAGGTGAAGGAGGCCACTCTGCTGACACTCCTCCAGTCCTGCCACAAAGAGGGGAAAGCCTAGGTGCCCACTCCCCTCCTGACACAGGCTGGAGGGGTGGATCTGGGATGTCTGCATCTGCACAGAGATGGGTATGGGTGTGGGGAGAGCCCCACCTCTGGAGCTGGAGTGACAGGCTCAGGGTGGTGTGGGTGCGCAGCGCTAGCAGGAGGTAGCTGCTAAGTATTGGCAGGTGTTTGTCCCAGGGGGTTGGAAAACATCCCCCAGGGCCAAAGTCACCCCTGACAGCCAGGCCATTTGTGCACAGCAAGTATTTAGGGCAGCAACCAGGCATGGGCCACTTGCAATGCGTGGCTCTCCTGTCTCTGCTGCCGTCTCAGAGGGAGGGACACTGAACACATTATACAAAGACTGACAAGTGACCAGAAGTATGGGTGGGGACAGGAGATCAAGAGGTCTCCCAGGGAAGACTAAGGAGCAGGTTAATTCGTGCACCAGAGCCTCAGACCTCTCCAAGGAGACCTTCCCCATGGAGTCATGGTGACCCGCAGTCAGTGGGCACATCCCCACATCAGGACTCAGCCTGGCCCGAGGGCTGTGCGTGCTGTTGGAAAGCCAGAGCTGGCCAGCTCTTAACAACAACAGGCAGTTTAAGTAGAAAACTTTTCCAGGTCATTTCTTGAAGTTGGAAATCATCTCCTAACATGAAATCCAGTTCTTGCTCCTGCGGTTCAGGAGACTGACGGCATGGGTGGGCACACAGACTCTGCCAGGGCCCATCAGCACCCAGGCCACCTGTGGGTCCCCACTGGAGGCTGGATGCACCCCTCATGCCTCCTTGCCTTCTCCCTTCAGGTGAGCAGCCTGAAGGCTGGTCTCCTTCCCACTGCTGGGGGCCGACACCTGGTGGGAGGTGTGCAGACTTAAGACTGCAGGATGCTGTTTGGGAGGCTGTGTGCACCCAGCCTTGTCTGTGGGCACTGCATCCCGCCTTACGGCTGGGGGCAAGTCTGAAATCCCGAAGGCAACTGCCTCTGCAGAACATGCAAATGTGGCCACCCCAGACCTTGCTGCTGTTTCTCCCAGGATGGTGTCTGCTGCACACCTGAGCCGGCGGGCCCTGTGCAAGGGTGCAAGACAGTCCCCAGCTCAGGCGCCACTCTACACCCAGTCACTCAAAGCAGAAGAGAGAAGAGGCCACTCATGACCACAAGAGCAGAGCACGGAGACAGTATGTGCCTCGGCGTCCTCCTCTCCCCAAGCACAGGAGCCTGGCCAGCAGGGGGATGCGGAAACTCCATGGCCAGGAGTGGCCCCGACCCCCTCCAGCAAGCAGGCCCTGCCTGGGGAACAGGCACAAGTGTCCACGGAGCAATCAGACGCCGGGAGAGCGAGGAAGGCCATGCTCTCCTTAGTCACTCCAAATGTTCACCTCCGACCACAGGAAGCGCCTCTATACAACAAAATACACTCACAGGAAGACGGAAATAAAGCAGGAAAGGGGTGCGAAGGCCCAGCTCAGCAGCCAAGAGGCCAGCCTCAAGAAGGCCTCATGCTTCCCTTTAGGAAACAATCCTCATATTTGCAAACATAGAACTGCTGCCCCAAAAAAGAAAGAAAATAAAGAAAAAAATACATATATCCGCAGATGGCCCAAAGCTCATGAAGGCAATTACTCCTGTAAACAAGAAGTGGAATGCCTGTGGAAACGAGCGAAGCCCAGGCGAGACACAAAAATAGCAAACCTAAGTCCTGAGTGGGATTCTCCGGGCTGCTGATGGCTGAGATGCCGACCGCAGCGATGAGCTCGCCCCACTTGAAGGAGCTGTTATGAAGCGATCCAGTGAGGCAAGTTTTGCTGCAAACAGGATTTCTGTTCTCTACTAAAGAGCTGTCAGTTAAGAAACCTGTCATGGTGCCTGGGTCTCAGGAGGGAAGGCGGGGCACCCAGCAGGGCACTGCGTCCCTGGGAGGGCAGCCGGCATCCTCACCCAAGACTGCCCAGTGTGGGGAGTCTCACCCAGAGAATGCCTGGTCTCCGAAAGTCCTTTCCTTGGGGTGGGGTCACTCGGCAGGACTAGCATGGCCACCTGCAGGCACAATCTCTCCTGTCCCTGTAAGACTGCCCAAGACTACTGACACAGGGTGCAGGGCAACTTTCAAGCCCACCTCAGAGAGGTGGACTTGTCCAGAACTGTTCTGATGACTGGTGACTGAGTCTTTCACCTTGAGGTTGAGGTTTCAGTTCATCTACTTCTGCTAATTAAAGAGTCTAGCCAGGTACAGCCTGTTGGTACCTGAGAGGGGTTGGTTACCTGGTAACACGTGAGGCTCACCTGAGACAGGGTCACCACTCCCTAGTCTGAGCATGCCTGATGTCTAGCAACAGGGTCTCCATAGCAACAACAGGATGCTCACAGAAGCTCACAGGCTGTACCACTTTTCTGCAGCCAGTCTGGGTTTATCCAGGAGGATACAGACGCAGAAGCTGAGGCTGGATGCGCCTGGGGCTGGGATGCCAGGAGCATCACCCCACATGCTGTGTCACAGGGTGACTCTGGGAAGGGGGGCTCAGGTCAGGCTGTGAGGATCCTGGAAAGTGACCCAGCACCTGCTTTAAAACAGTAGTTCTGGGCTGGGTGTGGTGGCTCACACCTGGAGTCCCAGCACTTTGGCAGGCTGAGCTGTGAAGATAGTGTGAGCCCAGGAGTTTGAGGCTGTGGTGAGCCATGATCGCACCACTGCACTCCAGCCTGGGTGACAGACTGAGACCCAGCCTCAAAAAAAAAAAAAAAAAGTTCTGAATTGTCCCAGCCTCAAAAAAAAAAAAAAAGATTCTGAATTGTCTATGTGTCTGTTTCTTTTCAAAAGAGAAGACAGCAAACCTGTCTGTTCATTTAGGTACCCATGAACAATACTGCAGGGGGTGAAATTTTGCTCTTGCAAGTTAATCACCACTTACCCGACACACACACGTACACACACGTGAACACACACGCACACACACCCCTCCTACTGGGTGCCTCACCCACATTCTACCCCTCTGCTCCTAGAGGCAGCATGACCAGACCCACTTCACAGTGAAAACCCAGAGATGGGCTCAGCCTGTCCCACTCTGAGGCCAGGGCTCCTCATCACTACACCACAGTGCCTCTGTTTAGATAACAAAGAACCAACAGACAAGAAGGCCTTTCTCTGATGAAAAATAAAACACTGAGAGCCTCCCAAGGAAGGTCATGCAAATACAACATTTGTGGAGTCAAGCTTCCATGAGGCGATCCAATAAGAGAGACACAGCAATGTCTCGGGGCTCCAGGTCCAGAGCCCAAATTGTCAGGATGAACACAGGGCACAGGGGCGCTGGGTCTCCCGTGAAACTCCCAAGTGTGCTCATGTTTTGGACTCCTTTAACACTTTCCAATACTATTTCAATACCTTTGACTTGAGATTTTTTTCTTTTGTTTTTAAGATAGGATCTCCCCGTGTCGCCCAGGTTTGAGTGTAGTGGCAAGATCGTGGCTCACTGCAGCTGCCACCTCCTGGGCTCAAGTGATCCTCCTGCCTGCAGGCTCCTGAGCAGCTGGTACAGGTGTGTGCACCACCATGCCCAGTGGAGTCTCACTATGTTGCCCAAGCTGGTCTCGAACTTCTGGGCTCAAGCAATTCTCCTGCCTCAGCCTCCCAAAGTGCTGGGATTACAGGCATGAGCTACCATGCCCAGCACGAGTTTTTTCTTAAACACTAAAAAAGTATATTTTCCAGGAAAAAAAATCAAATTCTGCATACATCTTTGAAGGGGGTGATGTTAGCAGGACTGTTTCTGCTTTACAAACAGAGAAAGGATGACAAGAAAGGAACTGAGCACCCAGGTGAGGAGGGATGCTGGGGCCCTCACCACAGCCCTGTGCCACCCAACCGCAGGAGAGCTGCCTGTTCAACAGGGAAACCTGGAAAGGCCAGGAGGCTTGGGGTGTGCACAAGCAACACCAGGCACTCATTCCAAAACAAATGCAGCAAATCTGAACATCTTTTTTGGTGCTGAGCTCCCTTGGCAACTGCCACAGCTGCTGCTGCACAGAGAGGCTTTGTAGGCAGGTTCACGCCTGAGGTTGGCCATGAGGGCAGTGGAGAGAGGACCCACAAGGCAGCCCAGCCCAACTGGGTACATCCTCAGCCTGCCTCAGTCGTGAGAAGGGACCCAAATAGACCTGCAGGCCTACAACGAAGACGAGACCCTGGAAACAGGCCTAGAGGCAGAGAGGCTCACAGGACACACCACCCACCAGGGCAACCTGGGTCAGCCCTACTGACAGTAAAATAAACAAAGCCACTTCCCTGGATCCTCACCTGGCTCCTCCATGGGGCAGGTGACTCTTTACAAGATAATCCATGGGTGGGCAGAGCAGGGAAGCCCAGTGAAATCCAAGGTGAAGGGTCAGGCCTGCACGAGAGCCCGCTGCTGCATCTCCCACAGCAAAGTGCCACCTGGGGCACTCCCACGAGACAGCAGGCGGGGGGCGGGAGGACATCCACTGGGCGCAGCCAGCCCAGGCTACCTAGGTGAGCAGTTAGAATTTAACAGCAAACACCAACAAGGTATAAACAAGCACATGCCCTGACCTGCAGGGAGGGGGCCAGGCCTCTGGCGGGAGAGTGCAGCACTGGGTGGGAGGGCGCTCCTCGGGCTCAGTCAGACGCATCAGCCTTCAGACAGCTTCTGGAAGCACCAGTTGTGGGTATCTGAACCCCCCACAGGGGAGAGGCATCTCCCCAAAATTTTCCATGGAACTTAATTAGCCTCAAAGCCAATAAAATCCTCGTGTGGTGTCTACGTAAGCATGCCTGGTCCCTGGATCGTGGCCAGTGCTCTCCCAGCCTCCCGTGCCAGCTGTCGGCAGTGGGGGGTCCTCTGTGCTGCCCCCGCACTGCCTCACCAGGGCCTTGCCACCGTCTAAAAGAAAAGTCAATGAATCACTAAAACATTCCTCCTATAAAGGGAAGACAAATGTTTATTAAGAAATTATAGAAACCAGGTCAGACATTTTGGTATCTTAGTCATTCTTGCTAATTTAAAAAAAAAAAAATCAAAATAGAAACCCATCCTAGAAACTTGAGACAATGGGAACTTCTCTAGCCAGGAGCACTTGGAGCCATGGCACAGCCCAGTTGCCAAGGCAACCCAGTGTTTACCTCCAGTTCTGCTGTGTAGGAGGACCCTGACCATGAGCAGGGACAGTCAGCCAAGCCACCTCCTCCCAACACCCAAGGTACAGGCCGCCAGGGCATCCCCAGAGGGCGGAAGAAGGAAGCCACAGCCTCCCCCACAGTGTCTCCCAGGATGAGCAGCTACAGACAGCACAAAGAAGGGGTGCCTTCACCCTCCCTCCTCAGGCCCCCCTGGGGTCTGCTCCCCTGTATACCCACCTGCTGCTTGTCCTAAGGGCTGGAAACCCCTGAAGGCTGTTAAAGAAATGCTCAGATCCCACAGTACAAGGGGGAGTAGAGGAAGTGAGAATGGGGCCAGACTGAACCTCAGCTTGGCAGCCAAGGAGCTCAGTTCCCATCCATTAACCCGGCCAGGGCCAGGATCCCAGCAGGCTGCTGGCCCCCCTGGTTTGCAGAGGAGGAGCAGAGAGACCAGGGGGCAGAATGGCCCAAGATGGAGTACCTCATCAGGGACCAAGGGTACACACCCTCTGGCTTGGCTCCAGGGTCCCACCCTCCATCCTGAAGGCTGGTTCTGCCTACACAGCCACGGCTGGGCACGCACTGCTGCTTCCTACCCTGCTCTTGTAGAGACCGGCCTTTAAGTGATGCAGCCCCACTGGGGTTCATAGGGCTGGGAGAAACAAACATTGTGCTGCAGCCCGCACCACCTGGCCAGATGCCTCAAGACTGGGTTACTTCCAGTGGAACGATTGTTCTGAGACTTGGCTGCATGGCTGACCACGTGTGCATGCGCATATACAAGCACATACACACATGCTGCAAATACGGGCATATATACACACACACATACACATACACGTGCACACACTCACATAAATGTCCATCTTCCAAGGCCATGTGCAGTGCTAGATGTGCAAAGGAATTCAAACGCTTGGCTCATAATCCAGGGCAACTAGGAAGATCAGGGAAACAAACTTTGAAATTTCTCAAAGGCTAAAGTGAGTGAACTTAAGAATGATACAATTTGTCCAAAGCAAACTGCTGAAGTGTACTACCCAGCCCATCATTAGGGAAACTTCAAATCACAAGCTATAAGTAGCCAAGGCTGTATTTCCTGTAAGACTCTAAAGCCTGACAGTAATTCAGGAAAACCACCTACCTGCTCGCCAACACAGCAGCTCTACACCTGTGACAGTAGACACTGACAGGCTCCTGCTCTGTCAGCCGCAAAGGGGACACAGAATAAAGTGCTAAAACTAATTTCAACCTTGATAAAAGATGGTATCCTGCAAAGCCCCTCAGGCTTACCCAGAGAATGCCCTGGCACCTTAGGCCAAGCAGCAAAGTACAGTCATGCACCACATAATGACGTTTCAAACAATGACAGTCCACGTGGGACGAGAGGCTGGTCCCATAAGACGACACCCCATTTTAATTGTACCTTTTTCTATATTTAGATACAAAATGCTTACCATTGTGTTACAGTTGCCTACAGTATTCAGGACAGTACTATACTGTACCGGCTTGCAGCCTAGAAGCAAGAGGCTACACCATACAGCCTAGGTGTGCAGTAGGCTATGCCATTTAGGTGTGCATAGTAAGTGCATTCTATGATGTTCACATAAGGACGAAACTGCCTAACAACACACTTCTCAGAACGCACCCGTCATTAAGCAACCTATGACTGTAATTTTAGAAAGGGCCTGCCATGCAAGCAGAAAAAAAGGGCGCTCTGGAAAAGATAATAAAACCTTGGGCATCTTCCCTCAGAACACACAGCTGCAAGGGGCCAGAGCCCCTGTGGGTCCTAACGTGCTGCTGTCCAAGGCCTCCTTCTGCCACACCATCCGTGCTAGAAGACAAAAACAACAACTGGTGGACAAGCACAGGAGAAACCTTCCACGTGTAAGGCGGGCGGAAGAAGGAAGTAAGACCTCAGCGATGGGATGGAGGGAATCTGAGTCCCTGCCTGCCCTGCCGCACGCCACTTAGCATGCCTAGTGGGAGAGGGACATGGGGGCAGATGGCACCCCTGTGGATGCCTTCAATGACGAGTAAACAAACCAGACATGGACAGTCATGCAGGTGAGGACAACGGGGCAGTAAGTCTGGAGAGCAGATAGGCCAAACTATGCAAAGCAAGACCATGGAGAGCCTGCCAAATGCTCAGACTGTGTGTCACATTTACATATCCCAGATTCGGATGTGTGGGAACCATGTCATTAACTCCCATTTATCCGCCCTGGTCCCTGAAAATGTGTTGGGGTTTGTTGTTGCTATGATGCCCAGGTGCACCCAAGGTGCTGACCCCGGCTCCCAGATCCTGGCTTTGAGCAGCACCCCAGCCAGTGGCCCAGGTGAATAGCCTTAACCTTTTTGGTAACCCGAGACCAATGACCTGCTGGACCCATGCCCTCTGCCCCACTCCCAGTCAACAAAGGAGTCAGGTTCTGAGACTCACATACGCCTTCGCTCTATTTCCAATCTCTTTTCCAACAATTCCTTGCAGACACCCCTATTCATGCTCTGCCATCAACTTTAACTTCTACCAATACCCCTAAACCAAGTTCCCTGTATTATTTTTCTTGTTTAGTGAGCATTTAGACAATAAAAGGGTTAAAGACAAGTAGAAAGGCTCAGAGAAGTTTATCAGAGGAGGAAATTCTGGCTGTATCACAGGCCCTGCACATACTTAGGTGTGGCCCAAGAAGGACTCTCAGGTCTCGCTAACCCATGCATACCTGTTAGATCTCCAGGGAGCACCTGACCACCTCCCACATGCCAGGACACTTGGCCTCCCCATCCACAGCTTGGACCCACATATGGAAGCACAAGGCTCCTGCCATCCCCAGTGGCCATAGGTCTTGGGGTCACTGCTTTGTTCACAGGCTCTCCTTACTCCAGGAGGAAGACAGATGTGTCCCCCAACGAGGCCAGACCGGGAAAGGATGGTGGCCCCCCCAAGCATTAGCTGCCAGTGCTCCAAAAGGGAATGAGGAGGCCCCACCCAGGGCCCTGACCACTCGCCAGGCTGCTCAGGCATCACCTCACCTCCCATGTGTGTCCAGTGTACGCTGGGGTCGGGGGAGAAGCTCGTGGCTCCTCTGAGCCCACGTCATCCTCTCCCCACTCCCAAGCTTCCTCCCACCTGGCCTGTGCTCACAGGAGACAAGCACGTGACACAACTCCACCTTTAGAAGCTTCTCCTGAGACAGGAGGCCAAGGTAGGCTCTGAGCCACATGCTCTTTGGTAAGCGATTTTTGCTCTGGGCCTTCAATTCTTGCAGAGCTCTTTCATGATGCAGCGTGGGCTCCAGCTTCAAGGAGACGAGCCTGTGCCCTGTGCCTGGGGACCCAGGGTCACCCATCCATGCAGAGTAGGCCACACCCCTGTGGCACCAGCATAAGGACATTTAATCTGAGACATCAAGCTTCAGTGCTTCCCCAAACAAGTCACCTTGGGACAGACTGGCCAATGGCCACGGAGTGCAGCCAAGTTTCTGGTTAGCAAGTGTTTTTGTGTGATGAACTTCAAAAATGGAGAACAATAAACAGAATACTCCCCCTGCCAAGTGTGCTGTCTTGTTTGTCCAGAAAGATGTTGGTAAAAACCAGGGACTGGTCAAGGCTGTGTTTCTGGTGCTCGGTGCCATGCTGTGCCCTCCCCCCGCCCCCTGCCCCGCCACCACACACACACACACACACACACACACACACACACACATACACACACACACAATGCCCAACAGCAAATGGCGATCACAGCCTGGCCCTGCATCAGGAGGGGAACTGAAGCAGTGTGGAGGACACAGGAGCCGGTCACTCTGCTGGGCAGGGCAGCAGGGTGTGAAGGCATAGCCCCTTCACCACAGCCCTAGTTTCAACTGAACAAACTTCATGTCTCCCCCAAAAGCCTGCCTCACAAACAGCTGGTAACATTTGCTGGGGATGAAGACGGACCTAAGATCTAAAACTGAACTAGAAATCAGAAGTTCCACATAGCCACTATGTTCCAGGTGTGGATGCTCCCCCATTCAGCAAGCATGAGCAGGGTGCCACGTCCACTCACACACACACCCATATGTGTTTCTACACATGTACGTGGCTATGGAGGCATACGTGTTTATGGCCAAATGGCAGAGCTTTTGGTTGGGTGAGGATTTCTTCTGTGCCCAGTGCCCGATTGATGCCAAGAGTAAAACAAGTTCGAGTTTCTGTTATTTTGGCCCAGAAGAGTGTCCAAAGCCTTCTGAACTCAGTATCTCCCACCCCGAGGACTGCACTGGTGGCTGTCTCCATGACCCCAACCTCAGCCACACAGCACAGTGGCTGCTTCTGAATTGCCAAGCTGGAGAAAAGTTTATTCCCATCTCGACAGGAAGTTGACTTCTCAAGAAAATAATCCCATTTGGGGCTTTGAAAGGAAAGAAAAGGTCGGGTGTGGTGGCTCATGCCTGTAATCCCAGCACTTTGGGAGGCCGAGGTGGGCAGATCACCTGAGGTCAGGAGTTCGAAACCAGCCTGGCCAACATGGTGAAACCCCGTCTCTACTAAAAATACAAAAATTAGCTGGGCACGGTGGCAGGCGCCTGTAATCCCAGCTACTTGGGAGGCTGAGGCAGGAGAATCACTTGAACCCGGGAGGCGGAGGTTGCAGTGAGCCGAGATTGTGCCATTGCACTCCAGCCTGGGGGACAAGAGCAAGACTTCGTCTCAAAAAAAAAAAAGAAAGAAAGAAAAGAAAAACAGGTTCAGGTGTGTGGACTTAGGACAATTTTTGTTTATTTCTTGAAAGCACATAAAGACTCACCAGGACTTAGAGAGTGTCACCCGCCGTAGGCCCTCCCCAGCCCTAGGAGACAGGCTGCCTGTGGCCACAGGGCCGGCATTCAGGTGGGCTGACCAAGAACACACTCACAGTTACCCTTGAGCTGGCTATTAATACCATCTGGAGCCATTTTCATTCAAAAGAAAATCAGGGTGTCTTGTCTGTTTGGGGAAAGGAGCACCTAGGCCTCCTCCAGGTGGTCCTTTGACTTCAAAAGCCTTCCAAAGCTGAACCCAACCCCCAACATCTCTCCAGTCAAGGAAGCTGGAAGATGGAGTAGAAACCAACCAGGTGGACAGAAGGGGCTGAGCCTGGCCGCCCACCTTAACCATGTGATCCTGCAGTAGGACAGGCTAATATCCCATGCCCTCCCCCCCCCATGAGGCGATGGAAGTGCCCAGTATCACCTGTGCCATATTTTGGACCAAAATTTGTTTAAACCAGACCTGATCACGGGAAACAATCAGACCAATCCACATTGTGAGTTGTTCTACAAGACAACTGGCTTTGGGCCTTCAAATGCCAGCGTAACATAATAAAGGACCAAAAGATGGGAAACTATCCTAAACTAAGGGAAACTAGAGAGGACAACCAAATGCAATGTGTGATTAACTGGATCCTGAATCCTATACTGGACATTTTAGGAATCACTAGGGGAACTGAATATGGACTGCGTATCAGATAATATATAATATTTAAAGAGAGAGGCGAGATGGAAAAGGGAGAAAAATATAGACAAAAAATTAATTTTTCTTTCTTTAGAAAGAAAAAGAGAAGGAGGAAAGGAGAAAAATGTGGCAAAATATTACCCAATGACCCTATGGGAAGAGTATAGGAGTGTTCACTATACTACTCCCTCAACCTTTAAGAAGCAGCAAAAATCTGTGCGGGAAGCCGTGTGCTGGGGACATCCAGATTTCTACTACCACAGGGCCCTGCTCACCTGCAGTGACCTGAAACACTGGTCCAGACAGGAGTGGCAGTAGGACACAGCAGGTACACCCACCTCGGGGGCGGCTGCCCAGGCTCAAGCCCCAGCTCCAATCCCTGTTCCACCCTCACTTACTGTGTGACCTTGGGCATGATTCCTAAGGCACTGGAGCCTTAGCTTCCTTATTTGAAATTTAGTATTAATAATAGAGCCTACTTCATAGGGTCCTTGTGAAGATTAGATAGCTTGATGTAAACTAACACAAACAGAATGATGCCTGGCCCCTAGAGCAAACAGTCTGGAAGTCTTAGGATTGTGAAAGTTGAGTGTACTATTCTAGAAGTTTTTATTTTTAAAACTATTTTAATTGCTTCCTGAAAGCACAAACTGAACACACTTCACAGTGCCATGGTATCTCAAGATCCCTGCTAGAGTGTTCATTATTCCAGGGTCTCTCATGCAGACCTCAGGGATTGCTGCGGAGAAACATGTGCCTCTCCACAAATGGCCCCATGCTTGTTCCAGTGCTGGTTGACTGTAGGGCTTCTTCATGACCCATTTAAACACACACACTTACACATGCATATGTTAACAACCTGCTGGTTTGTTTCTTCCCCTGCCTTTAGCTGCCATCCATGTCTTTTGCCCTTCCCCAGTAACCAATCAGATTAAAGCTATGTGTAAAGTGGGAGCACACAGGATCTAAGGGCAGGAGGCTGTCAGAAGCTTGAGAATTGGGCTTCAGGGCACCTACTCAGAAGGATCAGGCCCCCATCTCTGCTGTGTTCCAGACATGTGAAGCCCCAGACACAGGCTACTGGTTTAATGAACTGCGTCCTATCAGTTTGCTCAGGCAGCACAGCTTCCAGCCTTCTTTCAGCGAGGGGGAAGGGGGGAGTGGAGATGGCGCCACACCAGCCCCCATCCTACTGCTCCAGGGCTGAGCGCCCACCACACACTTTCCAATCTCTGTAAAACCAGAACTGAAGATGGCCAAGAGAGCCAGCCACCAGGCGTGCGGGAGTGACAGTGGTTTTGCTGGTACTGTTTTAAACGTTCTCAATGTTCTCACACATGCAAAAGGAGAATTGGGAGAAGGAAACATTTTCAAGAAGGTGGAGTCGTGACACAATAGGTCTCTCCCTCAGAGCGGGGACTAACAAGTGTGGTCTCTTTCCTTGAAAAACATAACACAGTAACTCCACAACACATTTAACCAACACTTATCAACCCTGTCAATACCACCACTAGGTCTCAATCCTACAGAAATGCCAGCTCCTCTGCACCAAGACACACACACACCAGAGTCCACTACTACACAACTTGTAATAGCAGAAAAAACAAAAAAAAGGCAATGTAGCTGTCCTTTCCATAAGTGAAGGGTAAATAAGTTACAATGCAGCCATATAACCACATCTTGGAATACCATGCGGCTGTGAAAAAGAATGAAGATGCCTCATTTAAGCAAACACACGGAACAAAATGCCAGCAGTGAGATACTTGCTAGGATCCTATTTAAGTATGTTTCAAAATGTCTACGTGGACACACACATATGCATATGTGCAAATCCATCTAGAAGGTCTGTAAAGAAAAACACCAACGCGGGGTAACAGTGGTTTGGTGGTGGTGCAGGCTGGCACCTCCCATGCTGCATACATTTCTGCATTGTTTGAGGAGTTTCACAACTAGGGCCACTGGCAGCCTGGGACAGCGAGGGTACGAGAGGGAGGGGTGGGCGTGCTGAGCCACTGGCCTGTGTGTGTCTCTGAACAAAGCACAGGCCACCAACAAGCCTGGCTTTGCCCTGGGTAAAGGAGATCCCACCCAGATGCCCTCTGCTCTGCCAGATGCCCTCTGCTCTGCTTTCCCAGGCAGCAGCATCAGGGAGGACCTGCAGGGAGCCCAAGGGGCGGTGTGCTTGGAAACAAGTCTCTAAAGCCAGAGTGTGCCCTGGGGGAGGGGTCGCAATAATCTGTCAGGATCAAATCCTTGCTTCAGTGGGTAAAGATAAATTTCAGGTGAACCCCACCCAAATTATCACAGGAAATGGCTGACAGAATGTGATCTTACTCTACTTCCCTCCTCCACCCCAAACAGGGCCAGGTGACCACAAACATGCCTCGGGTTCTGCAGGAGGGAAGGCTGGGCACGCCACTGTGCCCACCTTTCCATGGGACCCCCAGAACCCAGAAAGGGCCCAGCATGCAGAGAGATGTTTTGACTCCAGCGCTGGAGGGAAAACAGGGCACAGAGCAGTTTTGAAAACAATTCTCTGTGGGAACAAATAGGTAGAAATGTATTCAGGGTCTCTCTGCCAAGAAAGACCAAGTGGCCATTCTGCTGGGGGCCTGCCAAGTCTCCCCATTCAGGACAACACGCAGGACTCTCCAGAGGCAGGATCTGGGCAACCAGTCTGCCCTCAAGAGGGCCCCAGCCTGACCTATCGAAGGTGAGTCCTTGAATTCCTGCATCAAAGCACCTCAGGTTCCAAGAAAATCTGCTCCTGGTCTTGCTGCTCCCCTAAGCCCCTCTTAGCAAACTTTCCAGGTCTGGACTCGGAAGTTCTAATTGGCCAAATAATAAAGTAGCACGAGCTGCAAAGATGTTTTTCTTGGTTTTGTGTTATTACGCATTGTTATAATATCAACAATTACCTAAATGTGACAGAGACCAATGTGTCCACAGGATAACTCCTGGAAGAGTGGGAGTGGGAAACCACACTGCTACACAGCTAACCAGGACAGAAAGCTCTTAGCATGCAGCTGTTCAGAGAGTGGGGGTGGAAAATCAGAGCAGAGCCACGGCCAAGGGACCACAAGTGCCTCCAGAGTCAAGGCTGACCCTTGCACTTCTCAAAGGGTCTTCACATACTTGACCTCATGTCCCTGAAGACTTTGCAGGTGGTCAGGGCAGACATCACCAAGTTGCAGGGAGATCTGGGAACCGGTCCCTGGTCACATAGAGGAACAGCACAGAGCAGCTGGCCACCTTCCTGGTTGTGATATTCACCCTCTGCCATGAAATTACTGTGGATCCTGGAAATGCGGGAAGTGGGGCGGGGGCACCTTCCCGAGCCTAATGGAGTACGGGGCCCGGCATGACCTCAGTCACTGACTGCAGAGACCCCACAATGCTGCTAGAGGCCCACAAACCACGGACACCTCAGAGCCCACGGCTGCAGCAAAGCCATCACCTTGTGCCCTGCCTTCTCAGTCATCCCTGAGGCCTGCCTGGGTTTCTCCCTTCTGCAAGATGCTCTTTTCTCCCCCAACAGCAAGCTCCTCTTCTCCCTTGAGGAACACCAGTTACTTATGCTCTGCACACCTGGGAAGGGGCTGGAAATGGGCTTCCCAGGGGTGCCCTCCACCAGATGCTGAACCAGACTCCCTCCAGAGGCAGGTTTCTGGGCAGTTCAACTCTCATAATGGGTCACCTGGGGTACCGGTAACATGCACTCCCAACTGCACGCTGGAACTGTGTGTACTAGGTCGGCATCAGGGGCCCGGAAATCTGCATTCTTCCCAACTCCCCGCCACCCCGCTGCCGGAGCCCTGTGCACTTCCAACTTGGAGGCCGGCTTCCACCCTGGAGGTAGGACTTCTGATGTCTGCACACCTGAAGGGTGGAATAGTTTCTCTGCTTCAAGAACGAGCACTGTAGCACACTGCAGACACTCAAAGGGTTGGTCCCGTGCTCTTTTGCCTGCCTTCGGTTTCCAGGCGCTCCGAGGAAACTGGCCCCACCTACAGCGGGAGGCCCGGGTCTCCAGAGCCCCTGCGCCAATATTCTAGTCAAGAGGCTCGCGCGGGGCCAGAGCCTGAAGCGGGAGATGAACCCACCAGGAAGACATCCCAAGGCTGAGGCCCTGACAAGCCGGCCCCGCCCACGACGGCGAGCCCCTCCCCTCGGCCACCCCCCTCCTCAATTCCCCGCTACCGGTGCTGCCGAGTGGCAGGCCACCCTGACAGAGGCCGTAGAAAAATTTCCCAAACATTAAGTATCCTGCCCAGCACGGGCATCATCCCCCAAAGCGGATCTCAACCCCAGCCACGCCCCAATCGCTGCCCCCACCCGATACTCAGGATCCACCTGGAGCCGAGCTGAGCCTAGCCTGGCCCCTCCCCCAGGGCCACACCCACCCTGCAGCCGCGTCCCGAGCTGAACTCTGAGCCCACACTGACTCCCACCCCCAACCTGAGCCCCCACACCCTTAACTGACCCCGAATGCCTAGAAATGGCCCCGCTCTCACCCTCTACCCCATCACCTGCCACGTGGTTTGGAGCGGCCACAAAAGCCTCCCTGGGGAAAGTTAGTCCGAGATCTGAAAGCCTCACCTGCAGACCTTGGGCCCTTTCAGTTCCAAATGGTAAAAAAAAGGGGCCTTCAGCTCTAGGGTATCCAAGGCTGCAGCTTCTTTTTATGCCTTTTAATCACTATGTGAACTATTTTACAAATGAGAGACCACCACCCTTGGTCACAAGACAACAGTATTCAGTAGACGGGTTTTGAGCCTGCCCCCAAGGTAGAAGAGGTGAGTGTCACAGAAGAACTCACGTGAGCTCAGAGGAAGCATACAATTCTTTACACCAAAATGGGGAAGGATTGCCGTCCATTAAAATATTTTCATCTTTATGTTAAAAACGAAACAAAAAGGGGGGAGGGAACCGCCACAGATGAATCAACTACAAAGTATCGGGCCGCGCGTGGGAACTGTTGCCGCTGGGCTGGCGGGGGCGGGCGGTGATCCCCAGGCTGGAGGCTCAGCGCCCGCCCTGGTGCAGGTGCCGCCCGCCCCGCACCGGCCCAGGGCAGGTGAGAGGTGGGCAGGCGAGAGGGCAGCACGGAGGATGGGCAGCGGCCAGGGCATTCCTTTCCGGAGAGAGCCTCGAGGCCGAGGAGCCTAGGGCCGGGCGCGCCCCCGCCGGGCCGGATGGGCGGGGGCTCCCACAAAGAGCCGCAGGCGGGGAGCGGGACCCGGGACCGCCCCCCGCATCGCCAAGCGCCGCCGCTGACTTTGGTTACGACAAATTAAACCTTAGAGCGCTGGAAAAATTACAGGAAGAAGAGAGCGAAGAATGTGCCGAGTGGCGAAGGAAACCTTGTCCCTGCGTGAACTTCGCCCGCCGCGCGCCGGGGCCGGCCCCTCCCCTCCTGAGCGCGCGCCCGGGCAGCGGGGGAGGAAACGAGGAGGGACCCCGGAGAGCGTCCCCTGCCCCCGCTCCGGGCGCCCCACCGTCACGAGTGCCGCCTGCGGTCCACACCCAGGCCGCCCGCACCTGCCCGCGCCGCCTCCCGGCCGGGAGGGGTCCCCGCCCCCAGCCCAGATGACTATATCCGCCCCCGCGGCCCCACCCGAGCGCGCCCGGGGAGGGGGCGTGCCCGGCGGGGGCGCGGTCGCCTGGCGGGCGCCGGCTCCGAGAGCCAAGACCCGCCTCGCGCGACGCGCGGGGCCAGCCGCGGGTCGGAGCGGCAGGGGAAGGGGCGAGGCCCCGGGCGTTCCGGCCCGCCCGGCCCCCACCTCGCGCCCCATCGGGGACTCCGGGGGCGTGGTCGGGCAGCTCGCGCCGACCCCGTCCGCGCGATCCGGGCGCCCGCGCCGCCCCACTGACCTGTGTGAGTTCTCAGGTGCGCCTTGAGGTGCGAAGATTTCCCGTAAACTTTCTCGCAGCCCGCGTAGTGGCACTTGTGCTTCCTCTGCGGGGACTCGAGGTCGGCGCGACTTCGGCCCCGCCGGACCCTTTGTCTGAGGCCGGGCTCGCCGCTCCCCGCGGGCCCCGGCTCCCGCTCGGGCTCCAGCCCCGCCTCGGGCTCCGGCTCGCTCCACGCCGGGCTGGGGGGCGCGGCCGCCGCGCCTTCGGCGCCGGGGGAGGTGGGCTCGGGGGCGGGCGGCGGCAGGCGGCAGGGGGTCCTCGCCTTCCGGGCCGCGGCGCCCTCCCTGCGCTCCGCCGGGGCGGGCGCCGGCGCTTGCTGGTTGAGGTCCGCTAGGATCCGCGCCACCACGAAGAGCGAGGCGCTGTCCTTACCGTCGCGGCGCTCCTCGACGCGGGGCAGCGTGGGGGTGGCGGCCACGGCCGCGCCCTCGGGCCGGGACTCCGGCCCCTCCCGCGGCCCGTGCACGACCGCGCGGCTCGACATGGACACGAGGCACTCGGCGGCGAAGTGGTCCACATAGGCGGCGGCTGCCATGCTGCGGGCTGGGGCCGGCGGCGGTGCTCTTGCTGCGAGTCGTCAGCCGCGCATCCGCACCCACGGCCTCGGGAGAGCGGGCGGGGGGCGGGGGCGCGGCGCGCCCTCTCCTCGGGCTGGGCTGGGCTGGGCTGGGCGCGCAGCCGCCTGTGCCGTCACCCGCGCGGCTCCGCGTCTGCGAGGCGCCGGCCCGGCCGGGCACCGAAGAGTGAGCGCATGGGGCGCGCGGGCGACTGGGGTCCCCGCGCGGCGTCAGGGGCGGCCGGTTCTAAGGATGCCGAGCGGCAACGTTAGGGACCACCTCGCCAAGTCGCGGCCGCAGCTTCGCCGCGCATTGTGGCAGGCGGGACAGCTGCCGTGCGCGCCGCGGCTCCGTGTGGGCGGCCCGGCCCCGGGGGTGGGCGGGGCCGGGGCCACATCTGGACCCGACGTCAGCCCCCAGCCACATCCTGGCGGCGCAGGTTACAGGCGGCGGCGGCTGCGGGGAGCTGCGCGCGCGGAGGGGGCGGGGACCCCAGAGCGCGCACCGGCGGAACGGAGCGGTCGCGTGCCCGCGCCTGGGCAAGGGGGCGTGACCGAGGGCCGGGACAGACGCCATTGGTCCGTGAGTGCACGGCCAGGCCAATCCGAGCCGTTAGAGGGGCGTGCCCGGTCCCGGGCCCTGCGCGCGCCAGTGGGCGTGTCCCCTGGGCCGGTGGGAGGAGGGGCGGAAACTGGAGCGGGGCGCGCTGACGCATGACGTCCGGGGGCGGCGGGCCGGGTAGTCGCGGCGCGGAGCGGCTGCTTGTACCCCCCGCGGCGGGGACACAGCGAGCACTTCTCTGCCGGAGCTTTTATGTGGTGACAGCCTTGGCCCCCGGCATGGAGGGGAGCGGTTTCTGGAGGGCGCCATTTGTTCCTCCCGCGATGGGCGCCGGCGGGGAGGCGTGTCTGCCCGGCCGGGCGCGGGGCTGCCTAGGGGCGGAACGCACTCGCGCCGCGCCCTCCGCCGCCGGCTTGCCGGGTGGCCGCGCCTAGAGCCTCAGGCCGCTCGCCCTCCCCACGCCCCTGCCTTGCAGAGCTCCGGGAGTCCGGGCGGGGCAGCTCCCGCGGGAGGGACAGACTCGGGCTCGTTCCTGGGGTCCGGGGTGCGGCCGCGCTGCCCTTCAGCTCGGGTCAGCCCGAGCAGGACTGGCCTCAGCTGGCGGTGAGCCTGGCAGCCCGGGTGGCGCGCCCACCGCGGCCTGTGCCTCCAGAAGCGAACTACGTGCCAGGGCGGCCGGCGCCGCTGCTGAGGGAACGCGGGGCCCCTTCCTCCCCATCCCGCCGCAGGCCCGCTGCCAACTCTTCTAGGCTGCCCCTCTCCCACCGCGGTCGGGGGGGCTTCAAACGCCACCAGCTGCGAGGACCCCGCCCACCGCGCCCCACCCGCCCGCTGTCTGGGCCTCCCGGAGGAAATGCTCGGCTGCGCCCAGCCCGCGCCTCCCAGCCCGGGCTGGGCCACCTTGCCCTTGACTCTCACGGTAACCCCTACCCCAGCCCGCGGCCCCAGCCATTCTCCAGGCCTGGGCCGTCCTCGGAGACGCCGGTGAATAACTTCCCACCGCCGCGGAACCGGGCTCAGCAAACCCCCTACTGCCTCGCCCCGTTGCATTGTGCTTAATGGACGTTCGAAGGAGTCAGCCACCCTTGCTGTGTTCTGAGAGGAGCCTGGAGAATGAAGGAGCCCGGGCACTCACCCTCAGTGGACCCTCGCAGTGGGAGGGGGGTGTCATTCTTCTCTCAGAATTAAGGTTAATAGCCGAGTTCGAGTTCTCACCAAATTAATTTGGGGTTGGAGCTCAGTAAGACTGGTTTTCAGGTAACCGACGAGGGACCGAAACGGCCATTCTGGGTTGCGTGTTACGGTGAACAGCAAACTGCATGGATGTTTGAGCACCCTCAGTATCTGTAACTAAAACCCTGAAATGCGGTCTCGCTGATTGAGTTGCTACCCTCTGGGGAGACTAAAGGTGCTGGACTGGGTCTGGTCCCTTTAGGAGGGTCTGTGCTTGGTAGAAAGTAATCGTGTTTCTTCCAGGCAGATTGTGTTGATGACATTTAATAAGAGACGTGTGTCCTGACCAAGTAATGATTCGGAATGTTCCTCTATTCCCACCACATGTCACAATTAGTCACTTCTTAAGGAAGGAGTGGTCCTACACCAGCTTATCAGCCACCCATACCCTCCTGGCCCCTTTCCAGCCAGCAGAATTCTCCCCAATCTTCAAGGTGCCACGTCTCCCCACTGGGTCACCCCAGCCGGCATACACAATGGTAGGCCGTCTAGAGTCTGCACTATTCTAGTATTAGGCTACTACAGCCATGAACAAAACAGGCCTGCCTTGGGTGAGGGGATGCCCTACGTGGTCAAGGGTCCTCTGCATTGATGCACCCCCCTAAGAGTTTTCCAAGAATGTGGGTCCCAAAGAATTTTGACTGTGCTCTGTGGCATTCTGTATAGAAAACTGAGCTCCTTGGCTGGTTTCTCAAAAATCCACTCATTTGATGATTGTCGTGGTGTTCACTGACTTTATCCCAAACCTACATGGAAGGGTCTTCCGGACAGACAGCTCTTCCCCAAAGAAAATCTCCTCTTAGCTAAGAGTCCATGTTTTCTTTTCTAAGTAAGATTTTGACAGAGATGGCATATGTATATGTGAGGGCTGGGTCGTCTCGTTTCAAATGGAAGCAACAGAAAAGCAGAGCAGGTGTGTCTGGGGAGTATAGAGACTGAAGGCTGAAAGGGTGGTTGAGTTTCTGGGTAAAGTTGGTGGATGGTTAGTATGTATTGACTTTAACTTCCTTCTGGAGCATTTGTTAGAAGGCAGAAATCCACAAAGACAGGGAGAACAAGAGAGGAAGTAACAGCAACGCAGTTCTTGAAGCTAAAATACTTAGCAGATCCAAGAAAATGAAACCCTGAGATAGTAGCTAGGAAGGAAAGCTAAGAACATACTCCATGGAATCCCCCAGAAGGTTCACTAATGGGTGGCACTACGTACCTCTGAATGTGAGAGTAAACGGGGGTGAAAATAAGATTGGCAGAACGTCAGCTTGAGGAGCACTCAGATGCCCATATCTGCACCCCAATTTCATGCAGCCTGACAACTGCCCCTTCCTTGTTCTGACGAAAGGCTGGATATTTATGACCTGAAAAAACTAAAAGGCAGCGTCTTGGGTAGGTGGACACCAGGCACAATTAAGGACAGAGGTACGGTAATAGGATCAGGGGATTAAATACACACATGGATACTGGATGCTGAGACCCACAAACCCCTTTTTGGGATTTCAGAATGCAAGCAGCCAGGAGACTAGAAGGGTCTTTCCTGGGGTAGCCAACCATGCCAAGGGGAAACACCCAGACATTCTAACATTTGTGGCTGCCCAATTAAACAGCCAGCTCACCCTATAGGGAAGGCCACAGTTAACACTGCCACTCATGTGCACAGAAGTTCTCATCAGCCTCTCAGTCCCTCCCAGGCCAAGGACAAGCAGGGAGCCAGAGCTGACCGGCATCTCAGGAAACCCTGTGTCATGAAATACAAAGCCACAATAGAGTTTTTAAAAAGCAAGTTGGAAGAAACAGACTATGCAGAAAGAAAGAAACATCAACAAAACCATCAATAATGTCATTAAATTTTAAAAGACATACAACCTGTGAAGGGAGAACATATATAAAGAAACATTCAGGGGAAAAAAAGTGTTCTTGAGATGTTTACAAGGTAACAGAAATGTAAAAGTAAAAAACCTCCTTGAAAGTAGAACCAAAATTTTTTTTAAAAAATGGAAAGTAGAGAAAAGCTAAATTAGTGGACCAACCAAAAAAATTATTGATCAATGAGTAGGGACCCAAACAGGTGATCAGAGAAAACACAAGAGAGAAAATCGTCAATGAATTATTAATCCAAGAGAGGCCTTCACGACATATGCTGAAAGGGAGAGAGCCCAACACAGTGGGAAAGAATAGCTCTACGCCAAGGCATATCATTGGTGAGTTTCAGAATGCAGGGGACAAAAGTGTCCTAACATTAAAACAGGTCACCTACGGATAGTCGGGTCAGAATGACTGTGGGCCTCTCCACAACAACCAGTTGAAGTTAGAAGGAAGGGAACAAAGCCATGGGAAATAAATGTAAAGGAAAATTATTTTCCAGCCTTCACCCAGCCAAACTATAAACCAAGTATTTTTCAGACGCATGAGGTTTCAAAAAATTTATCCCCCATGCATCCTTTCTCATAGTAGGAAGCCACCAGAGATTATACTTCATCAAAACAAAGATGTAAACCAAGAAAGCAGGAGACGTGATCCACAAAGCAGGGAAGTCATTGCAGGATGGAAGGGAAAGTAAGTCCCAGGTGATAGCTGCCCAGCCAGGTGCAGAGTGTCAGCAGCCCAGGCTGGAGCAGATCGGCAGCTCCAGGAACACGTCTTCAAGAGGTAGAATGAACAGAGTCCCTGTATCAGTCAGGAGAGGCTGGGCCACACTGCAAAGCTCAAAGGTTTATTTCTGGCCATGCTGCGTGTCCATAGGGAGGCACCTGGGGACAGCAGGTTGATGGAGCAGCCTCTGTCTAGAATGTGCTGGTTGCCGCACAGAAGACAAGGGATAGCATGGACCCAAGGGTGTTAACTATCCCTTCTTTCCCACACACGAAATACATTTTACCCCTCCCTGGGTGGGCCTGACCCATCTCACATGCCTTTTTAGTCTGAGTCTAGAGCCCAGAGACAGGATAACAGGAATTTGAGGTGAGGGACATTCTATGGCAGCCAGTCAAAGCCCAGGACCCCCGTGGGAGGAACAGTGGCTTCTTCATGTGGCTCATGTGGTTCCTCTTGGTTTAGAGACCTACGGCCTAAAGATGAATTGTCTGGGCCCCCGCTGCTCGTATGCACACCCAATGCTGAAAGTGCAAAGAGACAGAATAACACAACTAACAGCCTAATTCAGAAAAGGGAGGAGGGGGAGACACACAGTAGACAGTATCCATAGCAATCCTGAAACCCTGCTGGGCAGATACTGCCCCCTGCCCTAAAGTGAGACTAGTCCTTGAATAGCCTCAAATCTGCTCACTGTGGAGTTTGAGGATGGGGCAGTCAGGGCTTTACTCCACCCTCGGGAAGTTTTTCCTTTTGCAATTTATATCTCACAGTTCTGGAGGCCGGAAATTGTATTCCAGCCACAGATTGTATTAATCCTAGTTTTGGGCACTGCTAGTTTCTCAAAAATGTAGTTAACATCTTACCTAGTCTCTTTGCTTTCACTTGGTTTCATTGTATCTACTCACAGTACTTTTCAAGACATGCCTGTCTCTCAACTTAATTGCAGATCCTCTGAGCCTCTCAGTCTTTGATGGTAGAGTAACACCCTTAGTCTCTTTTCCCTGAACCTTTTAAGTTATCCAAGGTGACAATTTACTAAATATTATGCCATTCAATACATGGATGGCCATGCTTCGAGCCTTCAGAATCCATTTTCCCACTGCCTGCTTGATCAGCCACATATCTTGTTTTCTGTTGCAGCAGTGCCCCATTCCTGGTTACTATTCTCTGGACCAGTCAGGATCAGCTAAGTTATGCTACAGTAACAAATAGTTCCTGAAGCTCAATGGCTTAAAATAACAAAAGCCTAATTCTCAGTACATTGAGGGTTGGATGGAGACGTTGCTGTCTGTCATTATCATCCTCACCCCAGCACTCAGATCAACAAAGCAGCCACTCTCTGACAGTCACCATGGCAGAGGAAAAAGGGACTTTCTGTAAGGTCTTGCATTGGCACAGAAGTGACACACATCATTTCTGCTCATAACTGGTCATATGGACCGTCTGCTAAAGACTGCATGTTTGTGTTTCTCCAGGATTCGTATGTTGAAATCCTAATCCCAATATAATGATATTTGGAGGAGAGATCTTTGAGAGGTAATTAGGTAATGAGAGTGGAGCCCTCATAGTGGAATTAGTGTCCTTAGAAAAGAGACCCCAGGCAGGGCGCAGTGGCTCTTGCCTGTAATCCCAGCACTTTGGGATGCTGAGGCAGGTGGATCACTTGAGGTCAGCAGTTCAAGACCAGCCTGGCCAACACGGTGAAACCCCATCTCTACTAAAAAAAATACAAAAATTAGCCAGACATGGTGGTGCACACCTGTAATCCCAGCTACTTGGGAGGCTGAGGCAGGAGAATCACTTGAACCCAGGAGGCAGAGGTTGCAGTTAGCTGAGATCGTTCCACTGCACTCCAGCCTAGGTGAGCAAGACTGTCTCAAAAAAGAAAAAAAAAGAAAGAACAGAGACCCCAGAGTACTCCCAGAGTACTCCCTGGCCCCTTCCACCATGTGAGGTTATAGTAAGGAGATGGCCTTCTATGAACCAGAAAGTAGGGCTTTGCCTGACACCGGATCTGCCAGCTCCTTGATCTTGGACTTTCCGGCCTCCAGAACTGTGAGATACAAATTTTTGTTGTTCATAAGCCTCCCAGTTTCTGGTGATTATGTAATAGCAGCCTGAACAGACTAAGACACCATCCTGTCCACAGGGAGCCAGGAGTAGACCCATGATGTCCCCAAAAGGCAAGGAACTGAACTATTCAGGGACACATTAAGAGTTTCTCCAATACCCAATCTGACTTGAGAAGATTGAGAAAACTGGTGAAGGGTTTGGGATTGAAATAATAAGTAGACAGAAAACTAAATGAAGAGAAAAGACCATAAAAAGCTCCAAAGAAAACAAAAGGAAAGTCCGTTACAGTTGACTACTTGGCACAGTTGCAAATAGTGTTTTCATAATGGTAATAATGAATACTAAACACTGATCTTATAAGCTTTTCTGTATGGATCTGGTAGGGGAATTGGGCACTCATGTGTACACATGGCACAGGGGTGGGAGGGAAGTCCCTGTCTACATAATGGGAAGTCAATAGACACGGCTCCAAACTGAAAAACCGAGAAGCAGCGATGCAATCGTGCTGTGGTTGGTAGAATTCTAAGATGGCACCAGCATCCTGCCTGTGGTCTGTACTCACCTTTCTCCCAGTTAGTCAAACACTGAAGGGGTTTTGCAGATGTGATCAAGGTCCCAAATCAGTTGACTGGAAGATAGGGAGACGGTATCTGGGTGGGCCTGTACTAATCCTGTAAACCCTTTCAATCTGGGTCAAAGGTCAGAGACAGGGAGCTCAGAGAGAGTAGAAGCAAGACAGGGATTTGAAGTGAGGAAGAGTCCGTATTGCTGGCTTTAAAGACAAAGGGGCCACATGGCAAGGAACTCCAGCAGCCTCTGGTAGTTGACAGTGGCCCCCGGATGGCAGTCAACTGAAATGGAGACCTCAGCCCTGTAACCACAAAGAAGACTCTTACCACGTGGAGCTTGCACAAGGACCCAAGCTGCAGTGGACACAGCCTGGGCAATACCTTGATTTTAGCTTCTTGAGACCCTGAGCAGAAACCCAGCTGCACTTTGCCCAGGCTTCTGATCACAGAACCTCGAGATGCTAAACCGGTGCTGTCTCCAGCCACTAAGCTTGTGCTGTTTTGTTATGCAGCAGTGGAAAACGAATACCCATGCTGTTTGAGTCGTGGAAATAATTAGGTAAAAGAGGAAAAAGAGATAATTTCTAGGGATGGAAAGGGGAGGAAAGGAGGGAAGGACTGCTGTGTTTCCTAACAAACCTTATAGAATGACTTGACTCTTCAAGTGATATGCATGGTTAACTTAGATGTAAGGAAAAACAAAAATCAAAAGATGGGGTCAGAGACTACTAGCTGCCCAGTGAAATCTCTCCTCTCCACAGTTGCGACTCAGTTCACTTCCCGGACACCTTTTTGTTTGTTTGTTTGTTTTTTGACAGAGCCTCGCTCTGTTGCTCAGGCTGGAGTATAGTGGCACAATCTGCTCACTGCAGCCTCTGCCTCCTGGGTTCAAGCGATTCTCCTGCCTCAGTTTTCTGAGTAGCTAGGATTACAGGTGCATGCCACCATGCCCGGCTAATTTTTGTATTTTTAGTAGAGACGGGGTTTCACCGTGTTAGCCAGGTAATCCGCCTGCCTCAGCCTCCCAAAGTGCTGGGATTACAGGCGTGAGCCACAGCACCCGGCCTTCCCAGACACCTTGGTAGTTAGTTGTGAGCAGGTGACTAATTCTCAACATGGGAGTATGAGTGGAGGGGCTGCCTGTCACCTCTGCACTGGGGCTTTTAAGAGAGCAGGTCTCCATGCTGTAGCTTCCCTTCCCTGCCTGCCATTTGCATGCTTATGGCGACAGAGCTCTAGGGGATGATGGAGCCACCAAATAGAACGAGCCTGGGACGCAAAAGTCTTTTGGCCAAGAACATGCTCCCGAACCATCACTGTGTTTGAACCACAATATACGCTGGGGTCCACCTGTTACTGGGACTTAGCCTACCGTAATCAATGTGGAAAATGGGACAGGGAAGAAAAACAACAGGTGCCAGGTAGAGTGGGGCTGGACTTTTTTCTGGAGTGTGGCTCTCTAGGCTTCCTGGTGACAGCCAGGCTGTGAGATGCCCACTCTGGGCACCGTCCTCCCTTTCTCCCAGGGTAGCCATTGCCTGCAAGCCCTGCTTCTGCTCACAGAGCCCAGCCTGGAGCTGAGGGTGGTTTGGTTTATCCAGGATGTCTCATAGTGTCAGCGCTCAGTGCCCCCCAATTCAGAGGGCAGGCAATGTCCTCCTCAGCCCAGGAGTCATGTGTAAGTGCTCAAGCCCCCCACACACTCTCCTATCTGCTTTTGACCTGTCTCCTAATGTACTCATAATGTCACCAAGGAATCCTTCCATCCAAGGAGGGCTTTGACCCCAAAGCTTTTGCAGCCCTCAAGCCTGACCATTTCAGAATAGGGTTGTTGGATGAGGAACTTCTGAGAAAAACCTCATCTCAGTCACTGATGGTTTGGCGTTGTACAAAGAATGAGCCATTTTCTGTCGTATGACATGGGATCGGGGTAGAAAACTCTGTTTTCATGCCCTGTCTCCCATTAGTCCAGAGTGCAAAATAATTGATCAAGTTCTAAAGGACGAAAGCCAACTTCACATCTGGTGCACATTTACACGGGGAAAGATTAAAACCAGCAATGCTTCTGAATCCGAGCCATCGAAACACTGGAGAGGTATTTACAGTGTCTGCAACAAATGTACAAGGGAAGCATGTTAAAATGACGGACGATCCCTTCTAGGCTTGCCAGAGCAGATGGCTCCCACTCCTAAACATGAAAACTGACATGGGATCCCTGCCCTCCGTCGTGATCTGGGACGATCTCCAGCCTTGACGACAATTATCCATTCTACGTGTCCCCTTCCACTCTCACTCCTTGGTTGTCTGCCATTCGTAACTGGTGATCCTCTCCCCAGTTAGGTCTCAGGGTCAAATGCTGCGTTTTATCCCATTGACTCTGAGATTCCTGCCAAGCCTCTGATCAATGGCAATAAACCCCCACCCATCAGCGCTCACCAGGCACATTGACACACACAGGAACTCTACACAGAAGGTGCCATTCATTCACATGTCCAGGTGAGAAAACTCAGCCTCCATCAGGCCAAGAGACTCCGAGAGCCACACGTAGCAAGATGCAGAGCCCAGGCTCTTGGCCTAGAGTCCTTTCACCTCACACTGGTGCCCCCACTGCCAGCCTACAGGAAGCTAGCCAGTTAACGCAGGGACTTACCAAATCAATTCAGGGAGAGCCAGGCTGGTTCATTCTGGGCTGTCATGGGAATCCATTCTAATGAGTGTTCTTATTAATGGGATTGGGAGGATTTATCATGAACAATGTAGGCTATGATTGCCTTGAATTCTGGGCTGTTTGCATCTAGAGCTGAAAGATGGCAAGGATTAGCCGTTCCGATACACATGAAGTTTTTCTTTTTGTTACTGCTAAAGTGAGTACCAGTCAGTAGCATCTAGGCACCATCAAATCACAGGAAGTGGAGCTGGAAATGAACTGCTAGGTCACTCATGGTCAGGTTGAGCTCAGCAATCAGCACACATGGTCTGTTGTTAACCTGGGGGCGGCAGGCAGTGAATCCTCAATCTATCATGTTCTTCATGTATTCAGTTAGTTTTATGGGCCCTGGGCTGTCTTTGTAGGACAGTATATTGAAGAGTCAGGAGCTCTTGCCCTGATTTTATAGTTCAACAAATTGATTTAAAATATTTTCAGAATATAGGTCTCAGTAGTTCTTTCTATCTGAGCCTCTTTGAACTGGAGCTTTCTGATTTGGTATGGGGTGTGAACTTGTTTCCTGTGTAGAGCAGAGAACTGCACCAAGAGGGATGTTAATATTCCAGGAATAAAAAAAAGACTGTTTTCCCCTCAATGAAAGAGAAAGGAGAAGAAGTTAAAAATCAGATTTAATCATATTACAGGAAACTTGAGAGCAGCCACAAGGCTGCCATTTCCAACCTGAAGTCACTTCCTGAAAGTCCAGAAATCATTCCCACTGGAAACCACTGACTGGGACCCTTTGAGGGGTCTGCATTGGGTCTGGTGGGTGGATACAAGGTAGATCCTTAAACAACTCCTCTCCAATGGGGTAAGAATGCCCATGGCTCTCAGCCAGCTCTGGGGTCAGTCACCAGCCATCTCCCCTTGGCGCCCGGTGCCTTGGATGAGCAGCCATTCAGGAAATAGGTGCCCAGTCAATGGGGGAATTCTCCAGCCACATCTGTGGTCTCCTTGAAGTCTCTCCTCAAAGACCTTTATCTGCCCAGGTGTCATTATGACGCGGTAATCCTGGACTGAGACAGCTCAGCTCAGGAACTGCAGCCTGGATTCCTGGGCCTGCTGACAGTGAGACATCCAGGGGAGCTGCCCATGAATGTAACCACCCCAGCGGTGTGCACACATCTCTACTACAGTGGCTCCACCGCGTGCCTGCAACACAGAGAGGACCGGCTGGCATGGGGGCTGCCCCTGATCTCAGGGAGACCTTCAGTGCAAGCAAGGAGGGACCAGGGATCCCCTGAGCTCATGGCCCTGCTGAGCTGAAGGAACCCCCTGCTTCAAGGCAGAGATTGTTCATACAGTGTTGTTGCAGTTTCTTAAAAAATGGCCAGTCCGGGCACGGTGCCTCACATCTGTAATCCCAGCACTATGGGAGGCTGAGGCAGGCAAAATCATTTGAGGTCAGGAGTTCGAGACCAGCCTGGCCAACATGGTGAAACCCCATCTCTACTAAAAGTACCAAAAAAAAAAAAAATTAGCTGAGCATAGTGGTGCACGCCTGTAATCCCAGCTACTCAGGAGGCTGAGGCAGGAGAATTGCTTGAACCCGGGAGATGGAGGTTGCAGTGAGCCAATGTTGCACCACTGCACTCCAGCCTGAGCCACAGAGTGAGACTCGGTCTAAAAAAAAAAACAAAATGGCCACACACTTATTTGATGCTCCTGCCATCGAGTCTGGGCCACTGGTGACTGCTTTGGCCTAGAAGGGCAGCCTTGTGACTTCCAAGGCTGGGTCATAAAAGGTGGGGCAGCTTCCTCCTGGCTCCCTGGGCACGGGCACTCACACATACCTCTGCTTGGGGCACTGAGCTTCATGTAAGAAGTCCAACTACTCAATCTGGTGGGTGTTTGGGGACGGGCCAGCTGAGCCCAGCTTTCCCTCCATCCCTGACACAGTGCCAGGCATGTGCATGGGGCAGCAGGTCCTTAGCTTTCCAGCCCTGGGTGTTCCAGCCCTGATCTGTTGGAATCATCCAGCCTTACAGACCTCCCAGCTGAGGCCTCAAATGGGAGGAGCAGAAACAGATCATCCCTGCTGGGCACTGTCCAAATTCTTGACCCACAGAAGCAATGGTTATTGCTTTAGGCCATTACGTTTGGGCTTGTTTGTTACACAGCAACAGTAACTGGAACAAACAACTTGGTTTATAGTTTCTTTTTTCTTTTTCTTTTTTTTTTTCTTGAGATGGAGTCTCCCTCTGTCACCCAGGCTGGAGTGCAGTGGCACGATCTTGGCTCACTGCAACCTCTGTCTCCTGGGTTCAAGCGATTCTCCTGCCTCAGCCTCCCGAGTAGCTGGGACTACAGGCACACGTCACCACACCCACCTACTTTTTTTTTGTATTTTTAGTAGAGACGAGATTTCACCATGTTGGCCAGGCTGGTCTCGATCCCCTGACCTCGTGATCCACCTGCCTCAGCCTCCCAAAGTGCTGGGATTACAGGCGTGAGCCACCGCGCCCAGCCTATAGTTTCTATAAACCAAGAAACTACTGGTCAAGTGCTCAAACACAAGAAAAGGATCCCTTTCAACCCTGGGGGGAGCAAATGTAGTCAACAGACAGGCTCCAAACTGAAAAACTGAGAAGCAGTGATGCAATCGTGCTGTGGCTGGCAGAATTCTAAGATGGCCCCAGGATCCTGCCTGTGGTCTGTACTCACCTTCTTTCTCCCAGTTAGTCAAATACTCGGTGTTTCTGTGAAGGGGTTTTGCAGATGTGATCAAGGTCCCAAATCAGTTGTGGGGGAACAACCGGTGCTGCTGGCCTTGGGTCTGACGTCTGCACTTGACGGGTGGGCTAAGGCATTTTCACGGGGATTTGACCTATACCACGTTTGACTTGGGGACCGACTTGAGACTTCCCAGTACTTGCGGCTGCCGGGTGGGTCCCCGCTGGTGAGCTATCTGCCTCCTCACAGCCAGCTTCCTCTGAAGGGAGGAGGGGTGCCCATCCCACACCACTCTTCCACCTGGCCACTGTCCACGTGGGGTCCTTGCGGCCCAGTCACCTCCTCAGGGAGATGACAGGGATGATGGCTGTCTCAGACCTGGCCCCTCTGACACAGTCTCCATAGACCCATGCTTCAGTACCTGCCTTATTGTATCATTATTTAAATGGAAAAGTACTTAAAAGCATAATAAGTTAAAAATTGCTGATAACCTTCATTTTCTTCAGGAAAGAACCATTTCTTCACTCTTTTCTGCCATCAACAGACTAGTTTTCTCTTTTTACACATTATGACGGCCACTGCTAATTGTTTACTGTTAGGCAGCTATTGCTGCATAACCAAATACCCCAAAACGTAGTGGCTTAAAGTAACAATAAACATTTACTACCATGTTTGCAGTTTCTGTGGATTTGGGAGTGGCTACAGTGGGGGATGCTGGCTTGGGGTCTCTCATGAGATTATAGTCATGACATTGACTGGGGCTGCTGTTGCCCCAGATTGGGGTTGGAGAATCTGCTTCCATGACAGTAACTCACACAACTGGAAAGTTAGCACTGGCTGTTAGTGGGAAACCTCAGTTCCTTCCCACTTGGACTTTTCCACAGAGCTGCTTGAGCATCCTCATAACATGGCAGCTGGCTTTCCTGACCTAGAGCAAGTGATCAAGAGGGAACAGCTGTTCTTTTTATGGCCTAGCTTCAGACATCACAGAGCATCACTTTTACCCTATTTATTAGTTGGCTCTTCTGAGTTACTAAGTCTGGCCCAGATTCAAAGGGAGGGAAATTTGGCTCTGCCTTTTGAAGGGAGAAACTTCCAAACATTTGGAGACATCTTTCAAAACCACCACACCTGTCCAGTATCTGTTATTCCCTTCCTTCTGTAACTGTATTCTAAGCAGCAAGGTACCTGGCTAAAAAACATTTCCCAGCCTCCCTTGAAAGAATTGGAGGTTACTGAGATATAAACAGAAGTTGTTAGGTAAGGCTTGCCAAAAGCTTTTTAAGAATGGGAACAAGTAGCTAAAATGTACCCTTTGCCTCTTCCTGTTACTGGCTGTTTGGAATGCAAATGTGATAGCTGGTACTCCAGCAGCCATTTTGTGAATATGAGGCAACTCTGAGACTGGAAATCATATGCTAAAAATCAAAGGGAAAGTGGAATGAAGCCTGGGTCCCTGGTGACATCATGGAGCCTCCCATAACTTACTTGGACTGCCTAACACTGAACTTCTTTTATTGAGGGGGGTGGAGGACTGACATTTCTTGATATTTCTTGATATTTAAGCCAAGGTTACTACCAGATAAACACAGATCCTGGCCGAGCACGGTGGCTCACTCCTGTAATCTCAGCGCTTTGGGAGGCTGAGGTGGGTGGATCACCTGAGGTCAGGAGTTCGAGACCAGCCTGGCCAATATGGTGAAACCCCGTCTCTACTTAAAATACAAAAAATTAGCTGGGCGTGGTGGTGGGCACCTGTAATCTCAGCTACTTAGGAGGCTGAGGCAGGAGAATTGCTTGAACCTGGGAGGCGGAGGTTGCAGTGAGCTATCACACCATTGCACTCCAGCCTGGGCAACAAGAGCCAAACTCCGTCTCAAAAAAAAAAAAAAAAAAAAAAAGCAAAAAACCCACAGATCCTAAAAGATAAGCTCACCATAGTTCTTTTTTCACAACTGGCTTATATAGACTCCATCATGGTATTTCTAGGCCCTCTTCCTTCACCGTGGGTATATCTTCCCAAGGGCCTCTGAGCAGAGATAAGGGGGAAAAAAATACAAATCCCTGACTCGCCAACCTCCCTGGCAGCTGGGCGTGCCAGGAGACCACACTTGGGTCCGTGGGATCTAAGGGCCCAGCACGATATCTGTGATTTCCAAGAGACCCCGAACTGGGAGAGAGGAACCCTTGCTGCCTTCTGCTCTCCCTCCACCCACTGCCCGGGACCCAGAGCCTTGCCGGTGGCCCAGGAGCCCCCCACGGGCAGAGGAGCTTCTGCACCCACCCTGCTGCGTCCTCCGGCTACATAATAAGAGAGAATAAGGAGGTCCTCTCTTCCCGCAGCAGGGCTGCCCCTCGCACATACGGCCCTCTCCAGTGCCAAGTCTGGACCCAACGCAGCCCCTTGCGAGGATGCAGTGAGCAGAGCTCACCAGGGGGCCTTGGGAGCTCTGCTGGAGGGACCTGCAGAAACAAGGCTTGGGGAAGGACAACTGGATGCTCAGACAGGAGGACCACCTGGCAGTGACTGCTGTGGGCAGCCCCCTCTCCTGGCTCTCATCCTTTCTCTTGCAGATGCTGCAGCTGCCCCTCTCTGCTGGCTTTGCCCCTTTGGCTCTTAGCATCCCAGGGCTTCCTCTCCTAGCAGCCTCATGGCTCAGCTTCAGCACCCTCTGCTGACTCTCTGAATCTGCAGGGACAGACCCATTGGGGGAGATCTGGTGGGCAGCTGGTGGCTCTGCCATTGGTTCTCCCAGCAGGCCACCTTGCAACCCTGGTCAGCAGAGTGGGCTGCCCCGGGGAAGATCTCAGATCCAGTCTGTCAGGGGAGCACGGTGAGAAGCACGCAGCTGCAGCCAAGAAGCTTCTGGGGCCCCCAGGGGCTGCCCAAGGTGCGCTGTGCAGGGCAGAGGCTGGGCTGGAGTCCTGGCTGGACTGCCCCAAATGCCTGGCGCCCTCATCCTAAAGTGGGGAGCATCGTCCTGCCTCTCATGGGGCTGCCACATAAATATCTCCTCGGTGCTGAAGAGGGCTCTGCAAGGCACTTGATCCACAGGAGACGACCACCCGGGGCTGCAGCAGGGTGAGAGGGCAGTGCCCAGAATGCCAGGACTGTCCAGGACACATGCCTTCAAAGTCAGGGGATACAGCAGAGAGCCTAGCAGCTCCTGTTTTTCTCCTCAACATTCTGTTTCAAAAATTTTCAGCTGGTCGCAGTGGCTCACGCCTGTAATCCCAGCACTTTGGGAGGCCGAGGCAGGTGGATCACGAGGCCAGGAGTTCAAGACCAGCCTGGCCAACATGGTGAAACCCGGTCTCTACTAAAAATACCAAAATTAGCCGGGAGTGGTGGCACACGCCTGTAATCCCAGCTACTTAGGAGGCTGAGGCAGGAGAATCGCTTAAACCTGGGAGGTGGGGGTTGCAGTGAGCCAAGATCACACCACTGCACTCCAACCTGGGCAGCAGTGGGAGACTTTGTCTCAAAATAATAATAATAATAATAAATCAACCAGAAGCCAAAAGAGTAGTGCAAAGAACACGCTTTACTCTGATTCGCCGGCTCTTCAGTGATTGCCATGTTCACTGTATTTCTCTTTCCATCTCTCTGTCTATATCTCTATATTTTTTGAAATGATTTGAAAGTCAGCTGCTGACATCACAACACTTTGCCCTACACATTTGCAAAAAAGGAGGACTTGCTCTTGGATAGCCGCAGAGCCTGTATTGGACTGAAGAACTTTATTGTTAATCTATGAATATTGTATAATATGCAGACCATATTTACATTTTTGCAATGGACTCTTAATCTCTTTTCTATCCAAATAGCTCCTTTTTTTTTTTTTTTTTTTTTTTGAGATGGAGTCTTACTCTGTCACCCAGGCTGGAGTGCAGTGGCGTGATCTTGGCTCACTGCAACCTCCGCCTCCCAGGTTCAAGCAATTCTCCCACCTCAGTCTTCTGAGGAGCTGGGATTACAGGCGCCTGCCACCACGCCTGGCTGATTTTTGTACTTTTAGTAGAGACGGGGTTTCACCATGTTGACCAGGCTGCTCTCAAACTCCTGACCTCCAGTGATCTGCCTGCCTTGGCCTCCCAGAGTGTTGGGATTATAGGCGTGAGCCACTGAGCCTGGCTTAAATATTGCTTCTTTATCAACCAAACTGAGATCTCTGTCTTCAGAATGCTGCACTCTCACCCTGGTCATACCCCATGTTAGGGCTTTTCTGGAGCCTACCCACCTCTTCGGGGTGTGTTGGGAGAGTGCCGGTGAGGGTGGAGAAGGGAGCTGCAGGGACCAGAACATTTCATCCTCTCACTGCCACCGTTGTCTGTAAAGATACAGCTAAGCTCTGACAAAGGCACCGTTGGTTTTCCTGCCCTTTAAGAAGTTTGCTTCCAGGACCACAGACCTCCAGCCCCACTCTCAGCGACCCTAGGCCATGGGGCTGTTCTCAGGCTCACAGCCATCTGTAGCCCTGCCCCCACCCAGTCACCCTCCCATCCTTTCTTAGAGATAAGACAAAAAAAGAGTACCCCTCGTCTTCCCCCAGTGTGCTCTCCAGAAGGCAGGGGGTTATGTCTGGAAGAAATTGGTGATTACTAGGAAATCGTCTACATTTGTCCACCCATCATGACACCAAGCACTCAGGCTTCTCAGGCTCCTGTCTCATCCCCACAGATTGAATTTGGTCCCCACATCCCCAAATTTATGTGTTGAGGCCCCAACCCCCAGTGTGACGGTGGCCTTTGGGAGGTGATTAGGTCATGAGTGCGGAGTCTTCAGGATAGCATTAGTGACCTTTTTTTTTTTTGAGATGGAGTCTTGCTCTATCACCCAGGCTGGAGTGCAGTGGCACAATCATAGCTCAATGAAACCTCTACTTCCTGTGTTCAAGCAATTCTCCTGCCTCAGCCTCCCGAGTAGCTGGAATTGCAGACGCCCACCACCAGACCCGGCTAATTTTTGTGATTTTAGTAGAGTTGGGGTTTCGCCATGTTGGCCAGGCTGGTCTCGAACTCCTGACCTCAGGTGATCCACCTGCCTCAGCCTCCCAAAGTGCTGGGATTACAGGCATGAGTCACCGTGCCCAGCTGGATTCGTGACTTTTTAAGAAGAGAGGGAGGAGAGAGAAGAGAGAGAGAGAACATCTCCACCATGTGCGGTAACAGGAGGAAGACGGCCATCTCCATGCCAGGGAGAAAGCCCGCTGCTGGCGCCTGGATCTTGGACTTCCCAGCCCCAGAACAGTGAGAAATAAGCCACCCAGTCTGTGCTATTTTGTAATAGCCTCCTGAGCTGATAAGACACTCCATGATGCAGGAATTAGGCCCCCTGCACAGGAGGGAAACCTGCTGCAAGAGACACAGTGGGCCACACAAAGCCACGCCCGGGACCTATGTTGGAGCCTGTTGATCTGTTAGATCAGTTGACAGCCAGTTAAACAAACAGGGGTCTCCCATCATAAGAGGTTGGCAGGTGGGCCTTCCCAGGGCCAGGGAAGTGGCTCAGGGGTGCCCACAGGGACCCGGCTCCTCTACCATCCTTAAAGTGTTGGCTTTCTGCTCTAGAGACACTTGTCACTGCTCCAGGTCTGCAGCTGGAGTCAGAAGCCCGGGGAGGCTGGTAGAAGCCAGCAACCTGTGCCCTCCGTAAGAAGAAGCTGCTTTTCCAGAAGACTTCTGCTTCACTTTACTGGCCACAGGGTGCTTGTCCCCGCCAGCACTGGGGGAGATGGGGGAAGCAAGTTTCTGACCTGGCAGCTCTTGTAGGGGAGGTGGCACCGGAGAGTGGCTGGGCACATCCATTGGATCAGCCCATCCAGTGTGGGCCACCCCCGGGGTCTTATTACAGACCCTGAATTCTGACTCAGTTGCATAACTTGGGACAATTTGGGGAACTCATTCAAATTCCAAGTGCCCTTTAAGGTTTAATTGGATACGTAGCAAATGAGCATGCTCTGAGGTGTGGGTTTTTGCTTTCCCAGTAGTGGGGGAGCAGAGGATGAAATGTTTCTAATTCCACAACTCCCTTCTGCCTCTCTGAGATGTCCCAGGGTTTTCCTGGTGAGAATTGTTAGCCTGTGTGTCCGAGGGTTTTCAAGCTCACTGTAAGCTTGATCAAGGCAGCTCTGACCCCCAAAAGCTTCCTCGCAGGTGCGATGGGGGAGTCCCTGGGACCTAAAAGGAGGGCAAGCACCGGTCCTTCTCCCCACAGCCTGCAGCTGGCTCTGTCTTCCCCCACAAGCTGAATGGTTGTGCAGCAGGGGTGCAGGCAGGGGAGGGTGGGGCCCAGGCAAGGGCTCAGCTCCTCCTGGGCTGTGACACTGAGGTCCCGCCCACAGCTCTCCTGCTGGCCCGGCCCACCTGCAGCCTCTCCTTGGGGTCTTCCCCACACCTCCCTTTCTTGTTGAGGCTGCTGGGCCTTTCTCCTCCTGAGCTCTGGCTTCTGCACCTGCTGCATGTTGATCCTTCCCACAGCCCTGTTTCCTAGTCATAGTGTCACCTCCAGCTGGGCCAACCTTTCCCCTGGGGGCTGTGCTCCTGGCTCCTCAGAGGACACACCTCTACCCCAGTCCACTGGGTGCATCATGGACTCCTTTGACCTCCCTCTGGTTGGTTTTGGACTTCAGGGAGTCCCAGCAGGAGATCCCCGGGAGAAAGAAGGAGGGAGCCTCCCCCAGAGTCTCTGCAGGTGGGCTGTGTCCCTCAGGAGCAGGCGGTGGCTTTCAGGGCTCCTCTCCTCATGCTGTTTGCAGGTTTGCTGCACAGCCTTCCCACCCCAGGGTGACTCAGTGGTAATGGCCCCCTTCCCTGCTCTGATCTCTGGAGGGGATGGCCTTCAACACAGCTTTTCCTACACAGTTCCTGTCTCTGTCAAGGCCTCAGGAAAGGCCGCTGCCTGCGGGTGTGCGGAGGCCTTCGCATCTGTGACTGGCACGGCCCTAGCCCCTTCAGGTGAGCCAGAGGCAAGCACTAGTTAAGACTTTCTCCTGTAAGTCAGAGTAGCGACAACATTTGCATTTGGAATACAGTCGTGAAGTTAATTTAGTTTCATGAGCGCTGGCTGATTGCAGGCACTGAGGTGGAGCTTCTGGGCTAGGTACCAGGTGCCAAAATGCAGGTGCTCACAGCCGGGACACAGGACCATGCATGGAGAGAAGGCAGCAGGGCTCAGGAGGAGCTTCTGGGGAAGAGGAGGGGTGCACAGGGCTCGGTGGGCTAACAGGAGTTTGTGGATCCATAAAAGACACAAGGGAGTGGTATGTAATGGACACAGCCCCAGGACCAGTGAGGAAGGGGGAAGTGCTCCACAAGGAAGGGGATGCCACTGACGGCAGGCACCCCAGGGACGCAGCGAGGGCGGAGGGCACTGTGCTTGCCGCCAAGGCAGCTGGATGCTGTGGCAAGGCCATTGAGGAGAGAGAGAAAGGACTGAGAAGCTCAGAAGGGAAAGGGGAAAGGGCCAGGGGAAACTCTGGGACCGCTGTGAGAAGCATGCCCCGAGGGGCCGGGACCTTCAAACCTCGGCTCTGCTGTGTGATACTGGGCTGGCTAGTGAACCTCTCTGAGCCTGTTTCCCCATTTGAAGAGTAAGAAAAACACCTGTTGTGAGCGAAGCATCAAATAATGCAATGCTGCAGCGTGGGCGCCGCACGCTTGGGGTTTGTGGTTTTCTTCCCTCTTCCAGCCTACACTGGTGACCTTGGAGTCCTCACCTCGCCATGGCCAGCCCCAGGCCATCCCCCCAGGCCCTTTGGGAACCAGGCAAGTTTCCCCCACCACCCACCCCACCCCTCACAATGTGTTCTGGATGATGCCCAGGGCCTCGGGGTCTGCCCCTGGCTGTGTCCTAGCAAAGGCATCAGGCGCGGCGCAGAGCCTCGAGGCAGCCGCGGTGCAGGGAGCAGGTGCTGGCAGCTGCCGTCAGCCCCACAATGTGGCTTTTGTCGGCCGGGGTAGCTGTGGAGCCCAGGAACAACCAATGTCGGGGAACAATTCCCAAGGCTCAGCCTGAGCGAGGCTGCAGCTCTCAACAAAGCCACCGAGAGCCGTTGGGCAGGCGCTTTTGTCATGCAAATACAGGCGGGGGACCGGCGCACTCCCCTGCATGCTAACCACTTTGTGATTCAGAGGAAGCCAGGGCCCTCCCGGGAAAGGCGGTGGCTCCTAGCTTCCCTGGGCCTGCCCTGCCTCTCCCATTGTCCTCTCCTGCACCCGGCTTGGTGAGCATCATGCTGGGCCTGGGACGCAGGCCCGGAGGCTCAGAACTCACAGTCTGACCAGGAAAGATGCAGAGGCTGGAGGACATCACCCCAAAGTGTGCAGCTGGCCTGGAAGAAGGAGACTGGGGAGCTGGGAGAGGGCTGAGCGAGGAGACCCCTCCGAGCAAGCCAAGCTCCCAAGTTCGGACCAGCCAGCCCGGCTGAGGACAGCATCTCATGGGGGAGAGCCTCAGGGGCAGAAGGACTGTGCATCCCAAGGCCCCAATGGGGTGGCCGGTGACTGGTTCCAGGAGAGCCTGGCTGGTGTGAGGAGGGCCCGTCTGCGGGCTCCTGGTGCACAAGGCTTGCATGCTTGAATGGGGCTTGGAGAACAGGTCAAGGGTCCAGGCCCTCTGGGCGGGGCAGGTGCCCCAGGGCTGGGCCTGTGTGCCCTTAGGAAAGGGCCTGACAGGGGCCTGGAGACTCAGGGTCCATCCCGACCCCACCCCACCAGCCCAGATGGCTATTTGGCATGTTGCTGAGTTTTTCTGAGCATCTGTGTGCTTATCTGTAAAACCAGCATCGGAATAAGCTCCATTTTAGGGCCACGGTGAGACGAAATAAAATAATCCAGATAAAATGTTGAGTTCAGTGTTCAGCATGTACTAGGCTCACAATGGATGATATCAACGGACAGCAATTTGCAAAAATTTCCAAACTTAGAAATGCAGATACTAATTTCCCAATAATGCTACTTCTAGGAGTTTATTCTACACATATTCCCACATGTGCAAAATGACATATATTCAAGGTTATTTTTCACAGATTTGTGATGACCAGAGATTGGAAACAGCCCAACTGTCCATCTAGAGAGCCTGGTTAAATAGATGATGGTCTGTCCATCCATGTCACAGAGTAGTCTGCAAATGAAACAAGAACGGGGTGCCCTTTGTGCACTGACACAGGGATCTGACCTCACAAGGAGACACAAAGGAAGGACCCCTGCACAGCCAGTGCCTGTGGCCCAGAGTCGGTGTCCTATGAAAGGAATGGGGCCAGTATCTTGGGGACCCAGGCAGCCTGCTGGGCAGGGACAGAAGGTCCACTGGGCCCAGGGAAAAGGTTGGGGCAGCAGGAAGGGCAGTGTGCCCATTTCTCTCTCTCTCCTTTCTTCTCTCTCTCTCTCTCTCTCTCTCTCACACACACACACACACACACACACACACACACACACACACACACAGAGAGACTTGGAGATAGAGACTTTCTCCTGCAAAAACAGACCATCTTGGGCAAGGTGGAGCACACAGCTCTGTAGGCTAGAATAACACAACCAGTCACCATAGCAACAACAGGGAGTTGTAATTTTCAGACTGTGAGCTGCGCCAGAACCCAGGGAGAGGATGCAGGCCACCAGCAGGGCTCCCTCCGGGCAGGTGTCTCTGTAACCCGGGGAATGGAGGCCTCAGCCACCTAACCTGTAAAAGTAGGATCTGATCCGCACACCGCTGCCCTGTGATGCCTTGGAGGAGAAATTGAGAAAGGCTAGGAGCTTTGAAGCAGGCTGAGGGCTCTCCAAAGCGTGAAGGCTGTTAGCCTCTCCCAGCACGCCCAGCGGGGATGCCTGGTCCCCTTCTCTGCTCCCGAATGCCCTCATTAGAGACGCCTGTGTGCAGCCCTGAATTTCTATCATAAAAGCATCTTTCAAATGAATAAATAATGACTAGAGAAAAGGAAGAAAGCAGATTGCATTTCATTGGGCAGGAAAGTTGCTTGGTCTCTCGGGGCTATTTGGCCAAGCTGCCCACAGGTGCCCACTGCGTGAACACAGGTGTGAGTCCCCACCAGATGCTGTTCATTGCTTTCTAAGTACCCTCGCCCCCACCTCCACCCCAACCCCAGCCCCATCCCAGCCCTTCCAGCTTGCAAAGTCATTCTATCATGGCTGTCTCTCCAAAAAAGAGCCATTTCCCAGGAAGGCACCACCCTGACCACTGGCCTTGTCCCGTGGCATGAAGCCAGCGTCACTCTGGACATTGCTGGCTGAGCTGGTTGGACTATGACTGTGGTGGCCAGCACCTCCCAGGCCTGACCCTGCAGAGAAAGGCCGAAGATGAACTCTGACCCCTGGGTGCAGCCACCCCAGCCAGCCCAGCCAGGCCCAGCGGGCAGCACCCCTCTGTCCCCATGGGCCTGGGATGCAGTGTCCCATTTTCCCTGGTGAGACTGGCCTTGTGGGCTATACAGGGGGCAGGAACTAGCAAGGCTATTCAGGGCCTCACCGAGGGGAAGGGCCACTGTCTCCATGGCTGCCAATTTCTGGCGACGTCCCCAGTGGTCTTCCTCCTGCAGGTTCTCAGGCGGTGCCCTCCCACTCCAGGCTGTGCCTGGCTGGGGGGTGGGGGTGCAGGCCAGGCTGGCTCCGGCTCCCACTCACACTAGTGCTACAGGGCTATGGTCCCATCCCTTAGCTGGGCTAGAAACGGAGAGGCGCTAGGCTTGGGGCTTGGGGAAGGGTCCATCTTCAATAGCTTAGTTCTCAAACTGTGTTCTGGGGTGGGCAGGGAGGGTGAGCCACACTCCACAGGCAATGGTGAGTGCTTGAAAACGCCTTTTACAAACTAGTGAAAACAAACACAGGAGTATGCTGAATAGCACACATCATCCCATGACGTTTGAAGGCAGAGCAACATCTCTTGCAGGCAGCTCTGCAGGGGGCCCTCTTGGGCCTTATCACTCTCAGTTGGTGGTAGACAAAAGTCTGAGACCCCCATCGCATGAATTTGTGTTCCTGTCACTTTTCACATGCATTCATGCTGGTGCATGATCTCTAATCTTTATAGGAGTCATTTTATCTCCTTTGGAGGGATTTGGGAGTGAGGAGTTGAGAGGCAAGGCTTTAAAGGAGCTTGAGGTCACCTCCCCTCACCCACTCCCAGGTGGAGTCAGCCCCTGAAGCCCCTCTTCCAGCCAGGTAGGCCTGGTTGTGGCTCGTGGCTCCGGGAAGGGAAGGCTGTGTGGGCGGGGTGGTTGTGTGGGCGGGGTGATTCCTCTTGGCTTGGCTCAGGGGCCCAGCGCTGTCCCAATCTTGTTTGGGGTGTGGTCTCTTTTATGCTGTATAATGACTCAAAAAAAAAAAAAAAAAAAGACCTTGTTCTTGAACAAACCAAGAATATCTGTCCCAGCATAATGACAGAAATATTGTGACAAATTAAGCATCTGTCATTGAGCTATCAGGCTCTATTTTAGGTTAAACCTGCTTAGAGATTACGCTCCTTTCAGCTCAGTGCTGCCTCCCACTGTGCCCTGTAGGCACTCTGAGGCTCTGGGGACAATTGTTGGGCCTCACCGGGCCCCAGTGGCTCCGTCTGAGATTCAAGGGGGTGGGCTTAGCCCCTGCTCAGACACTTGCGGCACATCCAGCCAGCCTAGGGAAATTTCATCTACTTCTCCACAGTCCCCATCCCCTCTTCGGCACCCCCATCTCCCACCTAGGTCCTAACGGCATGTGGCACTCAGCGAGCTCCAACTCTCGCTGGACAGTGGGAGTTGTAAAGGGAGCAAGGTGCCCCTGCTTGTCCCTGGCAGAGAGAGCCCAGGGACCCCACGAGGGGTCTAGAGGTCTAGAAACAGGCATGCACCATCTCCTTTCTGGGCCAGGGCCGGAGGGACACACACAAGGCAGCTGAGGGGGTCGAGGTCACCTTCAGGCCACTTGGGGATGGTCTGGAGCCTGTCCTGCTGTGTCCCTCAGCCCCCTCCGTGCCTGGAACTGGCCCCACCCCAGCAGCCCCCCATTCCTAGAGGAGACTCCAGTGACTCGATTTCTCCAAGGATCTCTGTATTTGCAGTGCTTAGTACTTTATCTCCCCCACCGGTCTCAACTTCACAGAAGAGACAACTGCCACAGAGAGGCGACCTGCGTGTGCTTCCCCAGCCACTTCTAACCTGCCGACCTCATGCCCTCTTCCCTAGCCTGCAGGTCCTCTGCCAGCCACACCTGGGGCCATGACGTCCCCTCTCAGGGAAGAGCCAGGGACTCCTGCTCTACAGAAGCTCACCCCTGGGTGGCTTGGACTCATAGCCAGGCCAGGGAGTGCGGAGTGGCCCCCCAGCCAGACGCCACATTGCATTTTGCAGAATGCGCCATTCCGCACGGCCCCCGCACACGCTGCTCCCTGGCCTGGAATACATCCTTGAGCATCCTTTTTCTGCTCTGGGAGCCTTCTCTGCCCACACACTCTCCTGGCAGCCTGGGCACTGTGCAGTTATTTAGGGCTGTTCCTGTTCGTTTGCCTCCTCGGCTTCCTACCAGACTGTGAGCTTCTTGGGGGCTGGTCTGGACTCAGGGGACCCAAGATGGGCCTCATGGTGTCCAGGGAGGGTGTGCAGACCTCCCTCTGTCCCACAGTTCCCACTGGTCCCCTCTATGCATACAGAAAGGTCCAGATGGCGGAGAATGTTCCAGGCCCAGAAGCATCTCTTCAATGATCCCTTCCTGAGTAGGGGTGTCCATAAGGTGCTGTCCCCTAAGTTCCCAGAGCCCCTCACGGCTGGGGCCTTTCTCCACGGGTCTGGGAAAATCAGTCTCAGCAACCAATTGCACCTAATTATTTACAGGACTGAAATGGGTTAGAAATCTTGCAAGATTCAGGCCCAGTAGAAAGGCCCTTTTGCATTTTTAAAAAATCTCAATGCAAATCCAATGCAAAAAAAAAATAAAAATATCTGAGGGTGTTTCTTAAATTAAGTTTGACACGTTACTGTGTCATTCAAAAAAAAAAATAACCAAAACAGGCCTTTCCTGGATTTGTTTCTTAAACATTTCTGTGAACGAGAAGCAATTTCCCTGCCAGCCCCTCACTCCAGATGGCCTAATCCCCTCGGGACCTGCTTCAGGCCCGATAACATCTCTTGGTGAGCTGGTCACAGTAAGGCCCTGCACTCACTTCTCGGCAGGGTCCCCAAGGGACCTCGCCACTGGGCAGCCGTGGCAGATGGGCTGTCCCTGCCTGCCCACACACAGCAGCCATCCCCACGAAGCAGGGGATGGTCCCTGCTGGCTGAAGGATGGCTGTTTTTCTCAGATCCAGGCCAAGTCACTCGGGCAAAAGGTCTGTTCCTTCCTACTGAATGCTCTGTTTGTAGCAATGCTAGGGCAACCCAAAGAGGACGGACTCTGTAGAGAGCCCATTGACACCACCCTTATCTGCCAAGGGAGGAGCTGAGGAGGGGCTTCCTGCCCAGCATCGCCAAGGGTGTTCCTGAGAGCCGGGCTGGACACCAGGGCCCTGCCCTTGCCCCACACAGGCTGCAGGGGAGCTGTGCAGGGCTGCACAAGTGTGCGTTCTCAAGGTGAACAAAGGCAGTGGGGGTGGGGAGGGGCAGGGAAGGGAGAGTCAATGCCATCCCTGGTCCAGATGGGAGAAGGTCCCAGCTCAGGAGAGCCCCCACCCCCACCCAGCTCTGGGAAACTCTGAGGCATCCCACACAGGGCCCTCCAGACGTGACTTCCCGGCTGCTGCCCACCAACTGTTCCCCACGGCTGCCCAGCTGCGCCTGCACGAGGCGCCCAGCCAGCCCAGCCAGCACCGAGGGGTCGATGTTTGGGGGCTTCAGGAGCCACATTTTTATACAGGCTGAAAATAGAGTTGGAGACTTTTAATTTTGCCGATTAAGGATGTTGTCATAAAAACAATCTCTAGGCACTATAATAATTTCATTTAAAAAGGATGTTTTAACATTTCAAAAAACTCATATTAAAAATAATAGAAACATTCAGCATTACAGACATGGGCAAAGCTGTCCTCTTTTTTCTCATTTCACCCAGGACCAGGGAGCTCTGTTAGGAATCCCAAGGCAGGCTGAGTTGGTCCAACCGGTGGCCTGGCGGTCCCAGGGTACCCCACAGGCCCTACTAGTTGGGGACTGACAGCCAGGCCTCCGCTGAAAGTTTCCTGTTCCCCAGACACAGCCTCCAGGGGTCCTGGGTGACCCCTGAAGAAGCCTGGCCAGCCCAGGTGTTTCCTGGAGAGCGCCTGGCCCCAGGCCCTGGAGGGGTTGGGCGGGGTGGATCCTCCCTCCGCGACCTGGCATCTCTGGCTTCCAGGGCTGGCACTGCTGGCCAGGACTGCCCCAGACACTCTGCGTGTGCTCAGAGCCAGCTGCCACACAAAGCCGCATTGTGGGCCTCCTCTTGGCTGGCAGACACGTGACAGCAGAGGGTGGGTGGTGGGCTGGGTGGGTGTGCCCCACTGCCTTCTTCCTGGTCAGGGCTCAGCATCCTCGCATCTGACCCCACATAGCAGGAGCCAGGCCAGGCAGGCTCTGGGGCCTGGGTGGGGGCATGAACAAACACCGAGTTGTAATCATAGTGCCCTGGAGGAGGGCTATCATCCAGGGGCCCCCAGCTGCACTCCTTCCAGGGGCGGCCAGCACCCAGGCCACAACTTCTCCCAGAGCTTGGTCCTTCTGTCTCTGCTCCAGCCCAGGGCCCCCACACTCTCCCTTTCTCTTGCAGTTGATGCATGGACGGCTCTGACTTAGAGCCTCAGCCCGGGCCAACTCGGCTGCAAGGAGAAAAGGGAGCTCCAGACCTCAGGGCCTCCAGCCACCTGGGGGTCTGCCTCCAGGAGCGCAGCTTTCACACAAACAAAACGAGCAAGACTGCTCTGCCCATGCCGCCCATGCCTTCCTGCAAGCCCCCAGTCCTGCTCAAGGCTCCCACAAACAAGGAAACAAATCAACAAGAAACACCCCAAATGGAGAAGAGAGAGCCCTCCCTGGCCCGAGTGTTGTTTGGAGCCTACCCTTGGGTTCCTCTCCTTTCCAAACCTCCCAACAGCACAGCCTGCACCCTGGGGTGACGGGGATGCCCGGGTGTGATGAGGCACCATCTGCACGGTGGAATATTATGCCATTCAAAAATACCAAGACTCCACACTAACATGAAAAGAATGCGGCTGGGTGCGGTGGCTCACGCCTGTAATCCCAGCACTTTGGGAGGCCGAGGCGGGTGGATCATGAGGTCAGGAGTTCAAGACCAGCCTGGCCAAGATGGTGAAACCCTGTCTTTACTAAAAATACAAAAAAAAAAAAAAAAATAGCTGGGAGCAGTGGCAGGCACCTGTAATCCCAGCTACTCGGGAGGTTGAGGCAGGAGAATCGCTTGAACTCAGAGGGCGGAAGTTGCAGTGAGCTGAGATCACGCCACTGTACTCCAGCCTGGGTGACAGAGTGAGACTTTGTCTCAAAAAAAAAAAAAAAAAGAAAAGAATGCATGCCCAGCCATTTCCCTGGGAGGCCCCATCTTGGTGAAGGGGGCACCACGCTCCTCCTGGCCCAGGCCAGGTGATGCGGTATTCCTTTAGAGTCCTCCCTCCCCTCCTTCCCTGCATTCCCCTGTCACCCCCTGCATGGAGGCCAGTGCCACCATCAGAGCTCCTATTCCGGGCCCTCCTCCAGTGGTGCCCTCCCCACAGACAAGGAGTCTGTGGGCCCAGGAGATCTGCCCACCCAGACCTGTGCCCCTTCTAGACCATGCAGCTGGCCCTGGGGCCTAGAATTCCCCCCAGACACCTCCACCTGGGCCTCATGGGTCTCCCCGGGTCTCTTCCTGATAGGGGTGCACAGCTGTGGGCCTTGCGCCAGAAGGGGCAGCTGTTTCCAGTGATAATCCCCATGTGGGCTGGGCTGGGCTCGGCTGGGCTGGGCTAGCGGGACTGTGGGATGGGCAAGGAGTGGGAGACGAGGGGAACCGGCGGGGCCTAGGCCACACTTCTGTGCAGAACGGATTCCAGGATCCTACACTTGAGGCTGGCCTTCCGGTCATTGTGAAGACTTAGCTGTCAAGGTAAACGGATAGAAGGTATCCCATCAGCAGTGCGGTAGCTGAACCCATCACTTTCCTACACCAGGACATTGTGACATTGCGCTATAATGAGGAATATGCATTTGGCCTTTGTGGTCTCCCCACCCTCTTTCCTGCCACATGGCTTCTAAAACTCTTGAATCTCCAAAGCCATAAGTGTCTTTTTGTGTGCTCATGGGAGGGACTGGTGGCTAGGGACTCCTGGGTAGAATCAGGAGCGGGATTGGTTGCCAGGGGAACCAACCAATAATCAGAGGGTTGGGATTTCAGCTCCACTACCCGCCTTCAGAGAGGGGAGAAGAGCTGAAGGTCAACTTGATCACCAATGGCCAGTGATGTAATCAATCAGTCTATGTAATGGAGCTTCCATAAAAACCTGAAATGACAGGTTGGGAGAACCCTATGCTGAACACACAGAGGGGCTGGGAGGGTGGCACGTAGAGAGGCCCGGAAGCTCCCACCCCTTTCCACGCTGACCACCTGTGCATGTCTTCCATCTGGCAGTTTATCTGTATCTTTTATAAGATCCTTTAAAATAAACCGGTAAACGTAAGTAAAGTGTTTCCCTGAGTTCTGTGAGCCATTCTAGTAAATGACTGAACCCAGGGAGGGAGTCCCGGGAACCCCTGATTTACAGCCTGTTTGTCAGAAACACAAGTGACAACCTGGACCTGCAATCAGCATGTGACGGGGCGGGGCAGCTCTCTGGGACTGAGCCCAGCCCTTAACCTGTGGGGTCTGATGCTATCAAAGTAGATTGAGTCAGAATTGAGTTACACTGTAGGACACCTGTTTGGCATTTGTAGAGAACTGCATTGCTTGGTGTGGGAGAAGCAACCCACACTTCCAGAGACTGGAGTGGTGCACACAGGTACAGAAGACACATGGCTTGCCCTTCCTGCACAGGTGTGGAGCAGGTGGGCTTTGGGGTGCGCTCAGCCCCGCAGCCCTGAAAGGTGCCTTGATCTGGCCCCCGTATCACTGCCCGAGCTGGGGCTCAGCCCCTCACTTCCGCTAGTCCCAAACCCACTGCTTTCCCAAGCCTCTCCATGCTGAAGGAGCAGCTCTGACCAGACTCACCCAGGCCCTTTTGGCCCCTTTCCCCACGAGCTCAAGGCCTAGGACTTCCCTTGGTTGTCATCACCCATGTCCTTGCAACCCACCCCAGGGTTTTAAGGCTGACTTCCCACTAGCTCTGTCTTATCCCCGCATACCCTTCTCCCCACCCCTGGTGAGCTCAATGGGTGGCCGGCCCATTGGCTGTGACCCCCGTTTCCCCACTATTTGAGGCTCACCTTGATGTGCCCCCTCCTCCCTGCCAGTGATGTGGGGACCGTCCTGGCTGGCCACTACCAGCTGTTTGACTCTCTCCCCACTTGCTGAGAGGGGCTGAGGACCCTGTCCTGCTGATGAGACATAAACAAAAGTCGGCTGGGAATTCCTGGCTAAGGTTTCCTCTCTGATAAAAGAGACCCACAGGAAGAAATAGTCTAGCATGTTCCACTGGACTTTTGCCATTGTCAGGATATCACATCTTTTACCAGCCAAGGGTGAGGCCACACCCGGAGGAGGGCCACACTCAGGGAGACACCCTGGAGCCTGGCATAGGGTGCCCACTGCCACCCTGCCTCTGCACTTTCTGCTACAAGATCCTCAGTCCCTGTTGCTCCTCCAGCTTGAGCCTGGGTCTTTGTCACTTGCAGCCAAACAAACACCCTACACCTGGCACTGCCCTGCAGAGCCTCGTCTGATTCAGTCCCTGGCCTCCTCCCAGGACTCAATCCCTGCTGCCTTTGTGCTCTGGCCCCCTGAGGCAGAACACCACCCGCCAATGTGTACCTGAAAGGCAAAGGTCATCCCGCATCCAGGGCTGCGTCCTGCCCTCTCCTGCCCCTCCCGGCGTCCTGGTGGCAGGCCAGATGCCCGTCCAATAGAGTTCAGTTGAGTTTGTTGACACAATGCATTTTTTTTGTAAAACATCCACTGTGAACCTGCTCCTTTTGTTGTGCAATATCTTTAAAGTCCACATGGTATTAGATTTGTGAAGTAGGAAAACATTTCTCCCTCCCTAGAGATTAATTAACAGCTTCTATTACAGGTCTGCAGTCTCTAACTCACAGTTCCAAAATCTAAATATTCCTGAAAACCAAGACTTTTTCCATAAGTTTGTGGCAAACTCATTTGGTGGCAAAACCTGACCTGGTCAGATATAAGGATAGTTAAAGTCTTAGTGTGAATATTTGCATGTTTCACAGCAAAAATGTATGAATGTGCTTGGTCATGAGTTGCCACCCCGATCCTGTTAGCATGTTACTTAACATACATATGCAGTTTATTACTGGTCTAAAATCCAAATGTTCTGAATCAGAAAAGCATCCACCCCCAAGGGTTTCTAATAAAGAATCACGGAACTGTGTTAGATAGCAAGCGCTTTATAAATGTTCTTTATTTTCCTTTTTTTTTGCCTTGACTGCCAAGAAGGTCAAATTTAAATAATTAAGCTTATTCACAGCAACAAGGCTTTGTCTCAAGTTTCTTAATACAATTATCCTGTCTTTTTATAACTTGCCTTTAAAAAAATTATTTCCACAATATAGCTTTCTTGAATTGGTGTCTTTTATTTAATTCTGGTTTACAACATAATTTTTTTAAATGAAGATAAACTTACAGCAAATTTGTGACTCCAGAAGGCTTCTATGGACTATTGGGACAGATGGTCTGTAAGTGTCTCTGTCTGCCATCCCACCTCCTAGGGGGAAGGAGGGGTGGGGCTGGTCCTATCGTGGATCGATTCTCCCCGTGCATCGATTCTCCCTGTGCCTCACTGCATGTCCAGGGGAAACAAGGGACACTCCCCTGCCATCCCAGCAGCCACAGCCCTCGGAGGCTTCTCAGTGAACTCGTCCATCCCACATCCATCCTGCCACCATCCACATGCAACAACTCGCCTACTTCGGGTCAGTGCAGCAAATAACTGGCTTGTAAATTTGCATCATCAACAACCTCCCTAATTCTTCCATCAGATCCACCCTGCTAGGGAGACCCAAACATAGCATTTATAGAAGTCATACATTATGAGCTAATTTTTTCATACAAGACTATTTGTGTGGATATATTGACAACAGAGTATACATGTTTAGTGCTACAATAAAAAGAGTGACAAGTGCTAACTGATGGGGACTATGGGTGATTCTTTTGGGGGACTTGCCATTACATTCTAAATTTTCAATGATGGATAGGTATTACTTTTGCAGTAACAATCAGGAGTACAAGTTTGTGTTTAATTGCTTTGCAAATATTATCATAGAGCTGCTTCTTAGAGTATGGCAGCCTTTTTCTAAGAAACAGGCTTCCCTGGATCTCCCTAAGACAGTTTCACGGGACTGTGTCAGAAGTCTGAAAATGCAATCAGGCTGTACAATATTTATTTCAATTAAATTTCTTAGGCTATCTCTTTTATCAGGTAACATTTTAATTTTATGTATTTTTTTTTATAGACAGGGTCTCACTCTGCCACCCAGACTGGAGTACAGTGGTACAATCATAGCTCACTCTAACCTTGAACTCCTGGGCTCAAGTGATCCTCCCAAGTGATCCTCCCTGCTCAGCCTCCCAAAGTGCTGGGATTACAGGTATGAGTCATCATGCTCCACCAGGTAACATATTTAAAAAGCAACTTAGAGCTTTGTCTACATGCTGTCAAAGCAGTCCAATAATTCAATAATTCTGATTAAAATAAGCAGACTTTCACTTCCAGTTAAGACAGAGCACTGGCATCACACTAGCCTTCCTGCTGCAAACAAGTTGGAAACCAGACAAAATATATGAAAAAACTATTTGCAAATAACAGGCAGTGCAGGCACATGATCCCTCAGAGCAGCTAGGCAGAGAGCATGAGCCCTACAATCGACCTGGCTTCTTGCCTGCAGGCATTTCCCAGCCCTGGGACAGAGAGGGGATCCAGCAGAGAACAGTGGTCTTGCCGAGCTGAGGAAACTGCAACTGGAGTTTGAGGAGGCAGAAAAAGGGGCTCATAGGCCAGGCATGGTGGCTTCTGCCTGTAATCCCAGCACTCTGGGAGGCCAAGGTGGGTGAATCACTTGAGGTCAGCAGTTCAAGACCAGCCTGGCCAACATGGCGAAACCCCATCTCTACTAAAATTACAAAAATTAGCCAGGCATGGTGGTGAGTGCCTGTAGTCCCAGCTACTCGGGAGGCTGAGGCAGGAGAATTACTTGAACCCAGGAGGCAGAGGTTGCAGTGAGCTGAGATCATGCCAATTACACTCCAGCCTTGGCAACAGAGCTAGACTCCATCTCAAAAAAAAAAAAAAAGAAACAAAAAAGAAAAAGGGGTTCATGAATCTGCATGGGGTCACCCTGAGTCTCAGATGAACACAGATGTGTACCTATATAGGGCAAGAATCCATGGGGCTGGGCATACAACCACAATGCACAGGTATAGGCAGCTGTAGACATTGCAGTAACCAGAGCTCACACAGGTTGGGAGGCCCTCAAGTTCTGGCCAGCCAGAGGAGAGAGTCCTCACTGAACACCAAATTACAGTCATGCACTACATAACGATATTTTTGGCCAACGATGGATCACATATATGACAGGAGTCCCATAAGATTATAATGGGGCTAAAAAATTCCTCTCACCTAGTGACATCGTAGCCATGTGACATTATAATACAACACATTACCTTTCCTATGTTTAGATATGTCTAGATACACAAATATTTACCATTGTGTCACAGTTGCCTACAGTATTCAGCAGCACGTTGCACAGGTTTGTAGCCTAGGAGCAATAGGCTGTACCACATAACTTAGGTGTGTAGCAAGCTATACCATCTAGGTTTGCGTAAGCACACTCAACACTCTATGTTGTTTGCACAACACAATTGCCCAATAATGCATTTCTCAGAATGTATCCCCCTTCTATAGTGGCATGTGCCTGTAGTTCAATAGAGAACACAGAAAGAAATGACCCTAGATAAAGCCCTAACAAAGTTTTAAAACAAATCTTGAAAGTTTCAAGTTGATGCACAAAGGAATTAAGTGCCTATCGGAACAAAGTGCAACACTCTCTAAAGGAAGACAACAAAATCCAGATATTCAATAACGCAATTTTCTCAAGTCCAGCATTCCATAAAAATTATTAGACATGCAAAAGGCAGGAAAATGTAACCCAAAACAAACAAACAAAAAAAAGAATCAATAATAACAGACCAAGAAAAAGCAGAGGTGATAGAATTAGTAATCATGGACTTTAAAACAACTATTATAGATATATTCAAGGATTTTTTTAAAAAATGCAAACATAACAAGGGGAGACATTGAAATCACAAAAAGAAAAAAAAAGGAAACTCTAGAGCTGGAAAAATACCCTATCTGAAATGAAAAATTGACTAGATGGAGGTAGGCTCCTGATCTGGGCGAGAAGAAATAAGCACCTTTCATCTGCCTTTCCACTGAGTGAAATGATGCTTCCTGGACAGAAGGCAAGGGGCAGCCGCCTGAGAACTCTGAAAAAGCAATGGTAAGCTGACAGGGGAATGAGGCCAGAAGCCGGGGGGCCACCAAATTAGTGATGTATTTCCCATGTACTTTTCCTCCAGTATTACCCAGCCTGGACTCAAAGCCCCTTCCCCCAAAACCTGGGAGGGCACAATGGGTGTGGACAAAGAGCACTCCAAGAGAAGCCTTCTCTTTCTGCTAAAAGAGCAGGAAAGGGGAATCCTGAGAGTCAGAGAGTGAGAGGAATACCCTGGTTATTTTTCTGTCCTCTCCCTCCCAGCCTCAAGCAATCCCACAGCAGCAGGGGTGACAAGGGCAGTGGCTGTTGGAAGGGTGCCTAAAACTCTAATGGACAGGAATCCTTCTCTCTGACCAGAAGAGCCATGGTACCAGGAGTGTAAGACAAAGTGTCATTGTTTTTTCTCTCCCTGGATCCTCCCACAGATTGGCTCTGGATGCAGTCACAGTTGTGGGAAGCGTGTAGCAGAGTGAGAAACTAAAGCCTGGCCTTTCTGGCCACAGGTTGAGAAAGGGAGGCTCCAGAGGAGATAATGGAAAGAAAAGGTCTCAAGAGAGAAAGCCCATAGAATTGTGTATGAATTTCTAGGCTCACTTCTGAGCTGCGTCGGCATGGATCTGTTCCTCATAGCACACCACAGGCTTTGAGAATTGAGCTTACAGGTAGACCACAACCCCAGGTCCCAGACAAGCCCATGGAGAATGCACAGGCAGAGCAGAGTCACATAGTATTATTGCAAAGCCTTTGAAAACTGAATTGACATTGGAACCACAGCCCACAGGTGGTGGGTCAGAACCTGTAGCCCAAACCTAATCAGGTCAATTGTGTATTAAAACAAAAATGTCAACATTCTCTTTGGGATTTAAATAAGACACAGAGCCTTATAACATAATATCCAAAATGTCCAGGATACAACCCAAAATGCCTTGTATTTAAAGAACCAGAAAAATCTCAAACTAAAAGGAAAAAGACAATCAAAAGGCATCAACCCTAAAATGACACATGTTGGAATTTTTAAAGACTTAAAGCAGCTATTGTAGCCATGCTGCAATACCTAAAGGGAAACTTTTGAGATGAAAGGATTGAAAATCTTAGCAAAGAAATAGAAAATACAAACAAGAAACAAATGAAAATTTTAGAACGTAAAGCTGCAACAAGTGAAATTAAAAATTCCCTGGATGGACTCAATAACAGAATGGAGAGCAGAGGAAAAAGTCAGTAAAGTTGAAGCTAGAGCAATAGAAATTGAATAGCAGAAAGAAAGAAAATCAATGTACAGAGCATCAGGAACCTATGGAATAACATGAAATGATCTAATGTTTGTATTATTGAAACACAGAAGGAGAAGAGAAAGACTGTGGTACTGATATAATATGTGAAGAAATACCAGCTGAGGCCAGGTGTGGTGTCTCACGCCTGTAATCCCAGTACTTTAGGAGATCAATGCAGGTGGATCACGTGAAGTCAGGAGTTCAAAAGCAGCCTAGACAACATGGTGAAACCCCGTTTCTACTAAAAACACAAAAATTAGCCGAGTATGGTGGCTCATGCCTGTAATCCCAGCTACTCAGGAGGCTGATGCATGAGAATTGCTTGAACCAGGGAGGCAGAGGTTGCAGTGAGCTGAGATCACACCACTGCACTCCAGCCTGGGCAACAGAGAAAGACCCTGTCTCAAGAAAGAAAAGGAAAAGAAAAGAAAGGGAAAAAGAAAAAAGAAAGAGAGAGAGAGAGAGAAAGAGAGAGAAAGGAAGGAAGGAAGGAAGGAAGGAAAGAAGGAAAGAAGGAAGGGAAGGGAAAGGAAAGAAAGAAGGAAGGAAGAAAGGAAGGAAGGAAGGAAAGGAAGGAGGGAAGGGGAGGGGAGGGGAGGAAGGAAAGAAAGAAAAGAAAGACGGATGGAAGGAAGGAAGGAAGAAAGGAAGGAAAGACTACTGGCTGAGAATTTCCCGATTTGGTGAAAGACATGAACTTACACATTCAAGAAGCTCAGTGCATCCCAAACAAGATAAACTTAAACAAATTAATGAACAGACACAGGATAATCAACTGCTAAATACAACGACAAAGAAAAGAATCTTGAAAGCAGCCAAACAGAAATGAAACATTAAACAGGGGATCAAGTATTTGTATGATGATGGATTTCTCATCAGAAATTACAGAGGATAGAAGAAAGTGGCACAGCATTTAAAAAATACTGAAAAAAAACCCCAAAACTGTCTGCCCAGAGTTTTCTGTCCAGTGAAAATATTCCTTAGAAATGAAAATGGTATAAATATATTGTAAGATGAAGGAAAATTAAGAAAATTCATTGCCAGTAGATCTCCTTTAAGAAAAAAAAAATCTAAAGGAAGTTTTTTTTAGATAGGAGGAAAATGACACCAGAGGCAAACTTGAAACATTGGGAATTTAAGAAGAAAAACAGAAATGGCAAATATATGGGTAAATATAACACACTATCTTTATCCTCTTAAATTCATTAAAATATGTATGACCATTTAATGTCAAAGTATAACACTGATGTGATTTTCACTGGGGGTAGTATCACACATGTATCATATATGGCAACTATATGATAAAGGGAAAAGGGTAAAGTATGACAGTAAAATTTTTAAATTTCAGCCAGGTGTAGGGGCTCATGCCTGTAATCCCAGCACTTTGGGAGGCTGAGGCGGGTAGATCACTTGAGGTCAGGAGTTCGAGACCAGTCTGGCCAACATGGTGAAACTTTGTCTCTACTAAAAATACAAAAATTAGCCAGGAATGGTGGCACGCGCCTGTAGTCCCAGCTACTTGAAATGCAAATGCAGCAGAATCACTTGAACCCAGGAGGTGGAGGTTGCAGAGAGCTGCGATTGTGCCACTGCACTCCCGCCTGGGCCACAGAGTGAGACTCTGTCTCAAAAAAAAAAAAAGTTTTTAAAATTCCACCTAAAGTGGTAAAATACTAATTCTATGTAGATTACAAAAAAGATATATATATATATATATATATATATATATATATATATATATATATATATAACAATGAATATTGTAATCCACAGTGCAATCACTTAAGAAAGTACAGAGATATCATTTAAAAATCTGAAGAATTAAATATAAATTAAATACTAAACATATTTAAATAATCCAAATAAAGGAAGGGAGGGGAAAATACCAGAATAAAAAAATCAAGGAACAAATAGAAAACCAACAAAGAAATTGTAGATCTAAACCCAAACTTCAAAAATTACATTAAATATAAGTGTTTAAACATACAAATTAAAGGAGAGAGATTATAAGAATGGAATTAGAAAACAAGAACCAATTGTATGCTGTCTATAAGAAACCCATTTAGAATATTATTATATGGATAAGATAAAGGTAAAAGGATGCAAAATGATATACCATACAAATAGGTTGGAGTGGGTATATAAATATTAGAAAAAGTAGACATCAGAGCAATGATATAAAGGTCTATTCACTAAGAACACATAAAAGTCCTAAATATGTATACAGCTAACAATGGAGCTTCAAAATAAATGAAGCAAAAGCTGACAAAACTGTAAGAAGAAATAGAAACACTCACAATTATAGTTTGAAACTTTAATACCTTTCTCTCAATTACCAATAGAAGAAGTAAACTGAAAATCAGTAAGGATTTGGAAGACCTGAACAACACCATCTACCAAAAGAATCCAGTTGACACTTTTAGAATACTCCATCTGACAATAGCAGAGCACAAATTTTTTCTTTTCAAGTACATGTGGAATATCTAACAAGATGGATTATATCTTGCATCATAAAATAACCTTAACTAATTTTTAAAAATTTAAATAATTCAAAGTATGTTCTCTGACAATAATGAAGTTAAACTAGAAATCAGTAACAGAAAAATAAGTGGGAAGTCAGCAAACACTTGTAAATTAACACATCGAAATAACTCGTTGGACAAGAAGTCTCAAGAGGAATTAGAAAATATTTTTGACTAAATGTAATTGAAAATATATCCAAATTTGAGGGTATAGCTAAAGCATTGGCTAGAAAATTTTTTTATCACTTAATGTTTTTATTAGAAAAAAAGAAATAATTCAAAATTATTAAATCTAAACTTCTACCTTAATCAAGTAAACAAAGGAAAGCATAATACACCCAAAACAAGAAGAAGGAAGGAAACAATAAAAATGAGAGAAGAAATCAGCGGAGGCAGAAAAATAATAGAGAAAATAAATGAAACAGAATAATTGTTCTTTGAAAAGATCAGTACAATTAGCTAACTTCTAGTCAGGCTGATGAAGAAAAAAGAAAAAAGATAAAAACTACCTATATCAGCAAAGAAGGGATATCACTACACACCATAAACATTAAACAGATAATAAGGGAGTTCCATGTACAAATTTATGTATGTACCTATATTTTAAATTTTAGATGAACCAACTCTTTTTTTTTTTTGAGATGGAGTCTCATTCTGTTGCCCAGCCTGGAGTGCAGTGGCATGCTCTCAGCTCACTGCAACCTCCACCTCCTGGGTTCAAGTGATTCTCCTGCCCCAGCCTCCTGAGTAGCTGGGACTACAGATGCCCGCCACCACGCCCGGCTAATTTTTGTATTTTTAGTAGAGACAGGTTTCACCACATTGGCCAGGCAGGTCTCGAACTCCTGACCTCATGATCTGCCCGCCTTAGCCTCCGAAAGTGCTGGGATTACAGGCATGAGCCACCACGCCTGGCTGAACCAACTCTTTAAAAGCTACAAACTACCAAAACCCACCCAGGGAGAAACAGACAACCTGAATGGTCCTATGTCATTTGAAGAAATTAAATTTGCAATTAAAATTGTTTTGGAACAGAAATTTCTAGGCTCATTGGTGAATTCCACCAAACACTTACAGAAGAAATAACACCAATTTGACACAATCTCTTCCAGAAAAATAAAATAGGAGGAAACACTTCTCTACTCAACTTATGAAGCCATCACTACTCTGATACTAAAACCAGGGAACAGTGCAGGAAAAGAAAACTACAAACCAATATCCTGCATGAACAGAGACACAAACAACCTCAACAAAATGTTCTCAAATAGAATCCAGAAATATATTTTTTAAAATACCTTATACCTAAATGGGGTTTATCCCATGAATGCAAGGCTGGTTCAATATTTGAAAATTAGTCAATATAATTCACAATGTTAGCATACTAAAGAAGAAAAGCCATATGATAATGTCAATTCATGCAGAAAGTATTGAAAAATTTCAACATCCATTCATGATTTAAAAAAAACTTTGCACAAACTAGGAATAGTGGGGAAAATCCTTAATATAATCAAGGACATCTATGATGGTAAATTACTGAATGCATCTCCCTAAAATCAGGAACAAGGCAAAGATGTCTGGTCTCATCACCCCTATTTAATATTGTATTGGAAGTATTGGCAAGTGCAATTAGGTGAGAAAAAGAAATAAAAGCACACCAATTTTATAAGAAAAATGAGCTGTTCCTATTCACTGGTAGCTGCCTATGAGGAAAATTCTAATGAATCTACACAAAAGATTTTGGAATTAATTGATGAGCCTTGCAGGGTTTCAGGATAAAAGGTCAACATGTAAAAGTCAATTGTATTTCTATTTACTAGCAATGTACATTTAGAAACCAAAATGTAATACAAATATCTCTTAAAGCTTCAGAAAGTATAATCAACCTCATTTACAATAAGAGAGATGAAATTTTAACTACACTGAGGTATCACAGTGAATATAGTGAACTATTAGAGAAATAAGATAGAGGGAAGAGCATGAGATATGCATAAAATATAACTATGGGTTTGTCCAAGAAAATGCTAACACTGCGGCTTGTGGGGAAACTGGATGATTGAGAGACTGGGAAGAAAGAAAGAATTCAGTGTACAAATTTCTTTTGTACATTTAGGATTTTGGATCACGTGAATGACTTTGAAACACATGAAAAAATAAATAAAATTGAACTCTTAAAAAATTGTTTAACCACAAATTTTTTAAAAATCACATATAGTTTCAAAAAATGAAACATTTATGATAAATATAACAAAACGTGGTTGAGATCTATATGCAGAAAACTACAAAATATTGACGAAAGAAATAAAAGAAGCCCTGAATAAATAAAGAAACATGCTTTGTTCATGGATTGGAAGACAATATATTTTATATGTCAGTTTTCTCCCAGATTGATCTCTAGACTCAACACAATTTCAATCAAAATCCCAACAATGGGGATGGTTAATGGGTACAAAAATAAAGTTAGAATGAATAAGATCTAGTATTTGATAGCACAACAGGGTGACTACAGTCAACAATAATTTATTGTACATTTAAAAATCAAAGTATAATTGGATTATTTACAGAACAAAGACATGATAAATACTTTAGATGATGGATACCTCATTTACTCTGTAATTATTATGCATTGTATGCCAGTATCAAAATATCTCATGTACCCCATACATATCTACACCTACCATGTACCCATAAAAATTAAACATTAAAAATTTTTAAAAATCAGCAATACTTATATACATAGACAATATAACTCTAAAATTTATATTGAAAGCAAAAGATGTTTGAATAGTTAAACAATTTTAGAAAAGAAGAATAAAGATCAAGGATTCACACTACCCAGTTTTAAGACTTACTATGTATTATAGCTACAACAATGAAGACAGTATGATATTGGTGAAGGGACAGAAACATAGGCCAATAAAATAGATTAGAGTCAGAAATAGACTCACATGAAAATGGCCAAATGATTTTTTCAAACATTTAAAAAATTTAGATATAATTCACACACCATAAAACTATTCTGAAGTGCACAGTTCAGTTGTTTTTAGTATATTCAGAAGTTACGCAAACATTCTCACTGCCCAGTTCCAGACCATTTCCATCATTCCTAAGATTAAAAAGTAACAACAACCTGTATTCATTACCAGTGACTCTCATTGTCCCTTCCTCTAGCCCTTGGAAACCACCAATTTGCTTTCTGTCTGTGGGGATTCACCTATTCTGAACATTTTGTATAAGTGGAATCATATAATATGTGGCTTTTTGTGTCTGGTTTCTTTCACTTAGCTAAATATTTTCAAGGCTCAGCCATGTTGTCATGTTTCAGTACTTCCTTTTATGGCTGCAGAATTTTTTGTTGTATGGGTATACCACATTGTGTTTATCCATTCATGAGTTGTTTCCACTTTTGGCTATTTGAATAATGCTACTAGGAACATTTGTGTACAAGTTTTTGTGTGGCCATACGTTTTTATTTCTCTTGGGACTATACCTAGGAGTGGAATTACTGGGTCATGTGGTAACTCTATATTTAACTGTTTAAAGAACTGCTAGCCTGTTTTCTAAAGCAGCTGTACCATTTTACATCCCCACTAGCAGTGTATGAAGGTGCTAATACCTCCACATCCTTGCTACCACTTGCTGTTATCTGTCTGAGATATTTGATTATAGCAACCCTGGTGGGTGTGAACTGTTATCTTATCATTTTGATTTGCATTTATCCTGATGGGTAATGACGTTGAGAATCTTTTCATGTTCTTATTGATCATTTGTATCTTTTCTTTGGAGAGATGTCTATTTGAATCCTTTGCTCATAATTTAGTTTTTTAAATTATTGTGCTGTAAGAGTTGTATATATATATATTATTTTCCTGGATATTTGACACTTGTCAAATATATTATTTACAAGTATTTTCTCCCATTCCATTGGGCTGTTTATTCTCTGTAATAGTGTCCTTTAAAACACATAGGTTTTAGGGCCAGGCATGGTGGCTCATGCCTGTAAACCCAGCACTTTGGGAGGCCGAGGTGGGCAGATCACCTGAGATTGGGAGTTCGAGACCAGCCTGACCAACATGAAGAAACCACATCTCTACTAAAAATACAAAATTAGCCAGGCATGATGGCACACGCCTATAGTCCCAGCTACCAGGGAGGCTGAGGCAGGAGAATTGCTTGAACCCGGGAGGCAGAGGTTGCAGTGAGCCAAGATCGTGCCATTGCACTCCAGCCTGGGCAACAGAGTGAAACTCTGTCTCAAAAATAAAATAAAATAAAATTAAAATAAAAAATAAAACACATAGGTTTTAAATTTTGATGCCAATTTATCTATTTTTCTTTTATGCTTTAGCTGTCATATCTAAGAAACCACTGCCTAATCCAAAATGATGGAGATTTATGCCTATGTTTTTTTCTAAAATATTATAGTTTTAGCTCTTATGTTTAGGTTTTTGAAACATTTTTAGTTAATTTTTGTAAATAGTATGAGCTAAGGGTCCATCTTCATTCTTATGCTGTGTGGGTATCCAGTTGTCCCAGTACCACTTATTATAGAAACTATTACTTCTTCCATTGAATTGTCTTTGTCATGCTTGTTGAAAATCAATTGCCCATAAATATATGGGTTTACTTGTGGGCTCTCAATTCTATTACATTGATCTATATGTCTATTGCTATTTTACATCCACATAGTGTTGATTACCATGACTTTATAGTAAGTTTTGAAACTGGGAATTGCGAACCCCCAAATTTGTTCTTTATCAAGAATGCTTTGGCTATTTTGGGTTTCTTATGTTTTCCTACGAATTTTAGGATCAGCTTGTCAGTTTTGATGGTACACCAAAAAAAAAAGTTTATTGTACTGTACGTTAATTTTAAAAAATAATGTAAGTCTGAAAAAACACCAGATAGGCTTAACAGAAAATGTGATGTGACAAAAGGAAAGGCAGTAAAATGGAAGACAAGGTACTCGAACTATCCAAGCTAAAGCACAGAGAGGGAAATGACTGGAAAAAAATGAACTTGTTAAGGAGTGTAACATCTCTAAAGATGAACAATGTCAAGGGGTGTAACTTATCTCTAATTGCAGTCCTAGAAGGGGTCAAGGGCAGAGAAAATGTATGGAGAAACGATAACTGAAAATGTTCTGCATTTGATGAAAAATATAAACACACTATTCTAAAGAATGCATTGAAACCTAAGAAGAATGAATGCAAAAAGCATCATGGGCAATGTCATTATATTCAAATTGCTAAAAACCTGTGATAAAGAGAACATCTCAAAATCAGCCAGCAATAAAAGACACACTATGTCCCTCACCAAGGAAGAGGTACAGGTGGCAAATAGGCACATGAAAAAATACTCAACATCACATGTCGTCAGGGAAATGCAAATTACAACAACAGTGAGCTACCACTGCACACCTATCAGAATGGCCAAAATCCAGAACACTGACACCACCAATTGCTGATGAAGAGGGGGAGCAACAGGAACTCTCATTTATTGTTGGCGGGGAACTCTAAATGCTACAGCCATTTTGGAAGACAGTTTGTGGTTTCTCACAAAACTAAACATATTCTTAGCGTACAATACAGCAATGTGCTCCTTGGTATTTACCCAAAGGAATTGAAAACTTTAGTCCACTGGATGTTCATTTGTGTCTGAAATACCTGCATATGGATGTTTATAACAGCTTTATTCTTAGCAGCAATCATGATGCTCTTCAGTAGGTGAATGAATAAGTAAAACGTGGTACATCCCGACAATGAAATACTATTCAGTGATGAAAAGAAATGAGATATCAAGCCATGAAAAGACATGGAAGAAACTTAAATGCATATTACCAAGTGAAAGAAGCTGATGTGAAAGGCTACAGACTGTGACTCCAACTATATGATACTCTGGAAAAGCAAAACTATGGAAACAGTAAAAAGGTCAGCGGTTGTCAAGGGTTTCAGGGAGGGAGGGATAGGCAGGGCACAGAAGATTTTTTTAGGGCAGTGAAACTACTCTCTATGATACTATCATGGTGGATAAATACCATTATACATTTGTCTAAACCCAGAGAATTAATGACACCAAGAATAAAAACTAATGTAAACTGTGGACTCTGGGTGATAGTGATGTGTCAGTGTAGGTTATCAGTTGTAACATATGCACCGCTCTGGCAGGGGATGCGTATGCGGGGGGAGGTGATGTGTGTGTAAAGGCAGGCAGCATTTGTGAAATCTCTGTGCCTTTCACTCCATTTTGCTGTGACCCCAAAAAATAAAGTCTCTTTTTAAAAAAGGTACCTTACGTATAGGGAACAAAAATAATAATGACCATCAGAAACAATGCAGGGCAGGAGACAGTCAAATGGATATTTTTTAAGTGCTGTGGAAGACAACTTGTTAACTTTTCTCGTTCAAAAAAAAAAAAGTCTTCAGAAGCAATGGACTGTTTACAACAATAATAATATTAATATGCTGTGGAATTTATTAAATATGTGGACATAATATATCCGATAACAGTGGGATGGAAGGCTAACAATGGGAAGACAAAGGATGAAAGAAATGAAAGTATATCACTTTAAGGTTTTCCACCTTATGTAAGCAAGTATACTATTATTCGATTAGTTAATGACAGATCTTGTAAACTCTAAATCAACTAGTAAAAGAATAAAGATAATACATATAGCTAATTGGCCAATGGAGGAAATAAAAATGGAATATTGAAAAATACACAATTCAAAAAAACAGAAAGAGAAAAAGGAACAGATAGACAAAAAGTAGACAAGTAGCAAGATGGCAAATTTAAAGCCAACTATTTCAATATCTAAAAAAAGAAGAACTAAACTAAAAGCAGCAACGGCCATATTGAATTAAAAAAAAAAACTCCCAAATACATGTTATCTATAAGAAATATATTTTTAATCTAAATCCCAGGGAGATAAACAGTAAAAGGATAGAAAAAATATGTATAATGTAAACACTAATCATAGATAGTAAGAATTGCTTCATTTATATCAAATAAAATAGACTTCAGTAAAAGGAATACTGCTAGAAATAAGGAGGAGTATTCATATTAGTAAAAGTGTCCATTCATCCAAAGGTATAACCTTCTGCTATAGATTGAACTGTGTCCCCTACAAATTTATATGTTGAAGCCCTAACCCCTGTGGTGACTGTATTTGAAGGGCCTTTAGGAATTGATTAAAGTTAAATGAGGTTGTAAAAATGGGGCCCTGATCTGAAAGGATTAGCGTATTTGTAAGAAGAGGAAGAGAGAGGCTGGGCGCAGTGGCTCACACCTGTAATCCCAGCACTTTGGGAGGTGAGGGGGGGCGGATCACCTGAGATCAGGAGTTCAAAATCAGCCTGGCCAACATGGTGAAACCTTGTCTCTACTAAAAATAAAAAACTTAGCTGGGCATGGTGGTGCACACCTGCAGTCCCAACTACTCGGGAGGCTGAGGCACGAGAATTGCTTGATCCTGGGAGATGGAGGTTGCTGTGAGCTGAGATCACGCCATTGCATTCCAGCCTGGGCGATGGAGTGAGACATCATCTCAAAAAAAAAAAAAAAAGAAGAGGAAGAGAGAGGGACTCTTCTTGGTCTGTGTATGCATGCACTGAGGAGAGGCCACATGAGCACACAGTGAGAAGGCAGCTGTCTGCAAGCCAGGAAGAGAGCCCTCACCAGGACCCAACCATGCTGCCACCCTGATCTTGGACTTCCAGACTCCAGAACTGTGAGAATACATTTCTGTTATTTAAGCCACGCGGCCTATGGGATTTTGTTATGGCGGTTATGTTTAACCATGTTAAATGTGCATGCACATAATAAGAGAGCTTCAAAATATATAAGGCAAAAACAGCTAGAACTGAAAGGAGAAACAGACAAATCCACGATTACAGTGGAAGATTTCAACACCCAACAGACAGAAAATCAGCAAGGATTGAGAAGACTTGAACAACACCATCAACCAGCTTGACCGAATTGACATTTACACAATATTTCATCTCCCACTGCAGACGACACATTATTTCCATGCTGGATCATAAAACAAGTCTCAATACATTTTAAATGGCTGGAAATTATACCAAGAATATCCTCTGACCGCCGTGGAATCAAAGTAGAAATAAATCACATAAAGTTGTCTGGATATCCCCCAAATAGTTGGAAGTCAAACAGAATACTTCTAAAAATTCCACGGGTCAAAGCAGAAATAACAAGAAAAATTACAGTCTTTCGAATTGAATGGTAGTGAAAATACAACCTGTCGAAATCTCCAGATACAGCTAAACAGTGCTTGGAGGGAAACGTGTGGCTCGAAACACTTACATTAGGAGAAGGGTGGGTGGCAGCCAGGACCACAGCCGTGTGTGAATGATGCTTTGGAAGGGGCTCCAGGACAGCACATGAGGGGCAGCTGGCCAGGCAAGGGATCAGGCTCAGGGTCCTAAGCAAACAGAGCCAGAGAAATGTCTGTGCCTTTTGCACATGCACACACACACATGTGTGTGTGTGCATGCATGTGTGTGTGTGTGTTTGTGTGTGTGTTTTGGGTTTGGATAGAAGGTCACTGAGCACCAGAGAATTCCTTCAATTGCACTTTCTGCCTGAAAATGGAGAAATGCCTCCTAGTGTTCAGTGCCACCCAAATACCTGGAAAGCAGTTTGGTCAGTGGGGGTCGAGGAGGGTTAGACCTGGTGGGGGTTGGGCAGCTGAGACCTGAGGGTGCAAGTGTGGGGGCAGGGGGCTCAGGCACCCCACCCAGGAGTTTGTCTAAATTCCCACAGCCTGGAACTGACTCCCCCGGCATTCTCATTCTCTCTGGGTGGGGACAGGACGGAGCTGCTGTGTTCTGACCTCACAGTGAAATCTGAATAATTGATGCCCAGTCTAATGTTTCGCCCAATTGTCATAAAGCAAGAAACACAAGCCCAGTGTGTGGCAGATGAGGCCCTGGACAAAGGGCTGTTTTCATTGCCCCCTTTCCCGGCCTCAGGTCTGCGAGGCTCTCCTCCCCAGCACATGATCTGTGACAATCATCCTGTGTTCTCCTGCCCCTCCCCGGGGAGCCATGGGAGGGATTATCGGGAGGTGGCTCCCCCAGGGTAGGAGAGGGCTGCGCCCCCACCCCCGCATGTGTCATCTGGAGCGTGTGCCCGACCGTTGCTTGATACCCACTTGGCACAGCCTTCTCTCTGCCGAGGGCTGCCAGGAGAGCTGCTGTCAATACAGAGCTCTCACCCAAACAAACAGCGCAGATGGGTCCCCAGGGGCCTGCGAGTTCCCAGCTCCAGCTCCATGTGCTGGGGGGTGGGATATGAGGAGTGGGTGTTGGGGACAGCAGAGGGACTCCCTGAGCCCCAGGCAGATGGGATAGAGCCCAACCCTGTTTGGATTTCTGGCACTGTTGTCTGGGGGTAGGGCTCATTTGTCACACCCCGAGGGGAAAATACACAGTAAATGAACTTCAAACATACTCAGCTCCATGAGCAGGGGACAGGTGACAGACCTCATTTAACTTGGCACCCAAGGCCATGACAGCATGTCTGGGCCAGGACAGAGCAGCGGCACAGCGGTGTCAGTGCCAACCTGGTCACCATAGGCGCTACAGAAGCCGGGCCTACGGGCAGGATGTGGCTTGTGTTCCCTGCAAGTTTTCCCAAATCAGTCATATATGCAATCTCGGAAAATCACAGAAATCTTTGGTGAGCTCAAGTTTAACACTCCCACCCTCCCCAAGTTAATAGGACTCGGCCTTGGAGTGTGTTTCTAGGTTTGGGCAGGGAGAAAGGGGCTGAGCCTCTTCCTCATGAAGAGAAGATGGGGAAGAAGGTGAGATTTGGGGACCAGTGTGTGGGCTGTGTGGGCCACAGTCAGCAGCTTGCAGGCCCTTCTGGTTTGTCCATTGAGAAGACACTCTGAGAGCAGGGCAGGCAGCAAATGAAAGTGTGGGCCGTTGTTCAGAAAGCAGGAAGGGTGTTTTTCTCTGCTATTTAAAATCAGCCCTGGGCTCAGGGATCCCTGTGGGGCATGTGCAGACCTCCCAGGTGCCCAGGGCTCTGTCTCATCCGTGGAGTGTCTGTGCAGGACAGCCGGGGCCTGTGGCAGGGCAGGTGGCAGCCCAGAACACCTAACAGGGGGTGTGAAGGAAGCAGGGAAAGGAGCCTTGGTGGATGCTCCATTGCCCCATTGACTTCACTTACAAAACACACATTCAAGGATAAACTCATTAAGAATCCCAAGAGCGGAACCCCAGGGCACGGCCGAAGGGGTGGCATGCGTGGGAGCCTCCCCTGCCCGTGAGGCCTTCTTCCCATCCAGGACAAACTGGCCTCCTGCTGGGGCAGGGTGGAGTGGGGACCATGCCAGGGATGGGGCACCGTTGCAGGACTGGAGGTTTGGGACAAACCTTAGCCCCAGGCGGCCCAAGGCAGCCACAGTGCAGAGCAGAGGGGAGACAGCGAGGGCTGCTGAATGCAGGGTGGGAGTGGACACCAGGCGCTCCGCCCCACACCTTCCTCACAGCCCTCATGCCCACCCCACCCACTGGACAGAGACTGGTTCACAGCCTGTTCCTCCCCAGTAATTGTCCTCTGCCTCAGGGAAGGTCCCTCCTGAGACAATGCTGCCACCAGTGGGACAATGACCCGCCAATGTTGCTGGTGCAGAGGCCCAGCCCCTTCAGGGTGCGAGGGCATCGTGAGCCTGTCTCTCTCTGTACCCCGTCCTGCCCTCCTCACTGTATGGAGCATGGGTGGTGAACCAGGGGGACTCTAGCCAGGGGAAGGGGTCCGACCAGCTGACGCAACATCCTAGTGGGTAAGGGACCTGGAGCCGGAGGACGGGGCTGCTCTGAGCACCACTCAGAAGATGATGGAGAATGACAACCAATGAAATCAAAATGGGAAAGTCAGAAGTCCTCCCTGATCTCCGGCATTTGGGGAATTTGGGGGATGGAAGTGAGAGGTGGATCACACCAAGGACATGGCGCAAAGTTACTGCTAGGTGTAGTGGAGCTCTCAGCCTCCAGGGGTGTCCCAAGCTAGGTCAGGACCTCGGTAGGGAAGGGAAGGGACCCTGAGATCTGGGACGGGGAGTCTGGGGAGGTGCAAGTGAGGACCTAGAGCTTCGGATTCCTATGTACATGCAAGGCCTGTGGAAGTGACCACTCCCCCTTAGGCAATAGTGTCCCTTCCCCCAGCCAGCTTGAAGACTGCATAATGGCCTCAAGCTGGTGGTGTCTGACAAGACAGTGCTTCCTTCAGACGCACCTCCACCATCCCTCCAGGCAGCCAGACTGATGGGAAGGGTCAAACCCCAATGCAGCCCGACTGGAGAGGACTGGACCTGCTAAGGGAGTAGAAGCCTGGTTTTGATTTTTAAAAGAATTGGAGTGAAATACATGTAACATAAAAGTTGTTATTTCTGGGTGTAGAGCTCCCTGGCAGTAAGTACACTGGCAACCGTCACCACATCCATCTCCAGAACATTTTCATCTTCCCAAACTGAAACTCTTCCCCATTCATCACTAAGTCCTCACTGCCCCCTCCCCCCTAGTCCTGGCAGCCACCATTCTATTCTCTGTCTCTGTGGATTTGGCTACTCTGGGTTCCTTATGTAAGTGGATTCATACAAGATTTGTCCTTTTGCTACTGGCTTATCTCACTCAAAGTAATGTCCTCAAGGTTCATCCAAGTTGGGTCATGGACAGGGAAGGCTTTGATGCCAAAGAAGCTGCAGGCCCAGGCTGGACCAGGAAGACCAGTAGAGTGTGCCTGGGCCTGGGCCTGAGGATGCCGGAGCACAGGATGAGGGAGAGCCTGTCAGTGTGGGCACACCCACCCTGAGGCAGAATTTCACAGCCAGCCAGGACCCCAGGAGATCTCTGATGCGGAACTTCACGGCCTGGCCTGCACCCCAGGAGACCCCTGATGTGCAATGTCACAACCCAGCCAGGACCCCAGGAGATGGTGTTACCATGTGCTAGAGTGATTCTTGGAATGCCTGGGAGGGGACAGCTCAGGACCAAAGGCTCTGAGTAAGGCTGGAAAACCCAGGAGGTCTGATGGACCCCCATACACCAAAGTGACAAAGAGCACTGGTGAGGGGGTGGCACGTGGTTGAGAAGTCAGTGGTGCTGTCCTCTGAGGGTCAGGGCTGACAGTAGAGGTTTCTAGAGGACCTTAATAGCAACAGGGATGATGACAAAGTCTCGATGGCATAGAGAACAGATGGTGCTGCTTAACCTTCAGAAGCGAGGTGGATGCAATTATCTCAGCAGATGGCCACTCCAAGTAGCATCTGGGGCCCATTGTGCAGAGAGCCGCAGAGGTGGTTCCTCAAACCCAGAGTCCACAGAGGCAAGCTGGGTAGGCAGTTAACAAGGGCATGGCTTAATTGTGCGATAAACAGTACCCAGGATGGACGACCAGGAGGCTGAGGGCAGCCACCTCCCACCCCCAAATCACAATCCTTTGGCTGGTTTCTGGCCCCAAGCCAGTCCTCAGACCCAGAACCCAGACTGAAGGAGATACCAGATCTGTGAAGACTGACCTGCAAACCCTGGCAAGTGTGGGCAGTAATGACTCCTCCAGGCCTTCCCCAAGGGGCTCCTCAGCCATGGACTTGCATTTCCATGCACAGGGGAAAGGGAGACATCCAGAAATGTGTGGGACTCTGCTGGACGCAGGATCTGAGTTGACATTGATGAGTGGAGGTCCCAGTATCTCCATGGGCCCATGGTGGGGAGGAGCATGAGGGACCAGATCCCGAGTCTGGCTCACTGTGGTCAGGGGTCACCTCTCCACCACCTGCACATATGCTTAGGATGGAGATTCCCAGCAGTCAGCAGAACCCACATGGATTCCTTCACCTGTGGGGGAAGAGCCATCAGAGCAGGAGGGCCAAGTGGAAGCCTCTGGGTCTCCCCTCCCCTGGCCAGGATAGCAAATCAAAAATGGTATCACATGGCAGGGGGGAAGTGGCAGAGATTAATGCCACCCTCAAAAAGTTCAGTAGTTCAGGGGTGGTGGTCCCTGTCATATCCCCATTTAATTTACAAGCCTAGTTTCTACAAAAACCAGATACGTGGTATCAGTGGCAGTGGACCATCCAAACTGAAGCAAGTACTGCCCATTGCAGCTGAGGCATCAGAAGCAGTGTCTAGGGTAGAGCAGAAGAATGAAGCTCAGGGGCGTGGCATGAACCCATCCATCTGGGACTGTCGTCCTTTCCATTCCCATAAGAAGGGGACCAGGAGCAATTTGTATTCCTGTTGGGTGGACAACAACACACCGTTATCCAGGGGAGCCCAGACCATCTGGTCATTCTATGAATGGATGATTCATGTCTATTGGGTTCTACCCGCAGATGGCTTGTCCTCCAGGCTCACCACACAATGATGTGGTGGTTCTTTGGCAAGTCCAAAAAATAAAATAAAAATCACTCATGCCATGGTCACGGTGGGAGCCAGCTGAGGGGTGACGCGTCCAGCTGGCCTGCTCCCTAGAGTCAGGGGCAGGAGGCCAGCCCCAGGTTGGGGGAACCTGGCAAAGGAAGGGGTGCTGGAGAGTGTCACCATGCATGTCAGAGGACAGGGAACCCGGAGCGGGGTGGGGTTCGTGTCTGACATGGGAGCAGGGCAGGCACTGTTCCAGGCCTAGGAGATGGGATCACTTTAGGGAACAACTGGGCAGATGCTGGAGGGTCTCCAAGACAGGCTGGGGTAATGGAGCATTGTGCACAATAGCCTGGCAGAGCTCCCACAGCCCGTGTGGCCACTCTGCGATCCAATCAGAAATGGCCCCTCTCCTGTAGAATGAAGGGCAGGACTCTGGGTGGGACTCAACCTGCACAGCAGCACCCAGAGCCCGTGCCAAGTACCCAAGAGCTGACAGGCAACCGGGGCATGGCCTGGAGACTGCAGCTGACCGTGAGGCTTGCATTCCTCCAGCCCCTCTGCTGCCAGCCCAGCTTTGCGTCTTCTGCCTTATAAGTGTCCAGGCATGAGCCACTGTCCCTCTCCTCTACAGTTCCTCATGTGCTAACCGCAAGTGGAGCAAATGCTATGGATGGGCTGGCCGCACACCCTCAGACACACAGGTGGGCTCTCCTGCCCCGTACTCAATCCTCTCCTTCATTCTACTCTGTGAGCAGCTCAGGGCAGCAGAGCAGTCGGTTCCAACCAGGCCTCTGGGATCCTCCTTCTACCGTGGGGACTTATCCCGCCATTGCTCCTTCCAAAGGGGAATTCCAGAGCCAGATAGCAGGATAATAAAAATGCTTCCACTTTTTCCTTTGGGAACCAACCGAGAGCAGGGAAGGAGCCTGTGGCGCTGTGAACTGGCCAGTGGGCAGAAGCACAAGTCCATTCTCCCTGCATCTACATCCAGCCAATCACCACCCCTAGGCCTCATGGTCTCTGAGAAGTGACAGTAATGAGGCCGACAGGCTCCTCCACCTTCCCCAACAGATGCATCATCCCCTTCTCCAGCTGTTCTGGGAGCTCAGGAAATGCCCCTTCCTGTGGGGCCCCTGGCTGGAGCCCTGCCTGAAGAAAGGAGCAGTGCTTTTGCCTCTGGCCCACGAGGGTGCTCAGAAAGGGCCTCACATGCTCAAGGCTGGGTTAGGATCTGCTGGAGCCTCACAGACACCAGGAACCAAGGGACACCCAGCAGGGGTGAATGAGGGCAGCTCCCAAGCCCTTAACAGCTGCCCTGCAAGTAGAGGACTGCAGGCTCTCGCAACCCTTGACTGTGCCGCGCACCCAGGACACTATTCTGTTGTTTGTTTTCAAAGGAGATCTTACTGAGATTGTGAATAAAGATTATGAGAACAAATAGAGCCATGTTTCCTCAACATCAGCTGTTGCCCTTTCACGTGTTGGTGCGAAGTTTATTTGTCCAAAAGGTTTAGGAGGCTAAGCCATGCTTCTTTTTTCTTTTCTTTTCTTTTTTTTTTTTGAGAGAGTCTTGCTCTGTTGCCCAGGCTGGAGTGCAGTGGCACGATCTCGGCTCACTGCAAGCTCCGCCTCCTGGGTTCACGCCATTCTCCTGCCTCAGCCTCCTGAGTAGCTGGGACTACAGGCGCCTGCCACCACGCCCGGCTAATTTTTTGTATTTTTTTTTTTTTAGTAGAGATGGAGTTTCACCATGTTGGCCAGGATGGTCTCGATCTCCTGACCTTGTGATCCGCCCGCCTCGGCCTCCCAAAGTGCTGGGATTACGCGTGAGCCACCGCGCCCGGCCCATGCTGTTTTCTTGACTGTGCCCCAGAAACTTAAGACACACAGTAGGTCGCATCCAAGAGAGAACATCCGGGTCACCTGTGTGCCTAAGCAGCCCTAAGAACAGGGCTCTGTGCAGAAGGAGGAAGATGCCTGGGTGAGAGACACCGCATACATGCAAGGTTTCTGTCAAGAGGCTCCCCTGGCCTGGATGGCCCTGGGGGTGAAATTAGTGTCTTTAGGGAGAGTTGCAGAGCCTTTGAGGCTGCCCAAAGGACGGAAGTGCAGCCCATGGCTGTGGCGGGGGAGGGCAACACTTGTAACAGAGAACAGTGCCTCACTCAGGCCTGCCAATCCACACGTGGGTGGAGGGTCCTCTTTCCCTTTGAGACTGTAGGCTTCAGGGTCATGGGGTCCCCCTTCGCTCACCTCTCCTCTGAGGAGTGCATTGGTGCATATTTGAATCCCGTCAGGCCTGAGAGGCAGTTCCTGGCCCCACGGAAGCTCCGGATGGCAGCCTGGTCAACCGCATGGCATCTGGGGGATACGACTCATGTCCAAATCCCTGTTCCACTGCCTGCTGGCCTCATCCTCTGAGAGGATCGGGTCACTTCTGTAAATGGAAGTTTCCAGATTTATAAGATGGGAGTAAAATCACACCTACTGCCCCCAGGGTTTTGTGAAGATGAAGCCGGGTAACAAAGGTGAAGCTCTTGGCCTGGTATTGGCCACTGTGCAGGAGGCAGGAGACGCTGTTTGCGTGTCGTGGCCCAGGTCGGAGAGGGGCTGCAGTCTCCAATTCCAGCTAGAGTGTAGCAGGATGAGCCGTAGACAAAAGCCCTCAGACACCCGGTTAAGGAAGGATTTGGCTTTATTTGGCCGGGAACTTCGGCAGACTCACGTCTCAAGAAGGGCTTACAAATCTAAGGGGTTCCACGTGAAAGGGTCATGATAGATTGAGAGCACATCTGGTTAGAGTGGGGGCGGCGTTAATCTTTTAACCTCAGGCCTGGTCACCAGTGGCACCGGCTGGTCTTGCCACTGACTTCATTCCTGTTGTTTTTCAACTTTTACTTCCTCCTTCCCTTCAGAGACCGGAGACAGTAAAATAAATGGCCTCTCTCCTCAGGAGGACGTGGTCAGAAGTGGCTCAGGCCCAGGCAGGCCTCCGCAGAGGGCCTGGATTTTAAGGACCATCTGATGAAGCTCTCAACCTGTTCCCTGGAGCAGATGGAGCTCCCAGGGCTGCCGGCAGAAGGACACAATTCATCCAGCCTGGTTCTGAACCCAAAATAGCCATCCTGCTTAGGGCAGAGCAGCTTGCCCACTATCCTCCACGGGTGCAGGTTCCTTGGCCCAAGCTAAGCTCCATCTCCCACAGGAGGCTTGGAGCTCCTCCACCTGTGGGGGCAGGGCCACGGCGGGGGCCTTGGGGCTTCTTTGGAAACTACCAGGGTGAGGCAGGTGTCAAGGGCAAGGAGGTGGGAGGCCCCAGGAGCAGGATGCACAGGATCTGGGCCCGCCCACACCTGAGCCCGGCCACACCCACCTGGATCCTGTCCGGCTTCTACCAAAGGCCACTCCTTGCCTTGCATTGTGGTCTATTTTTTTCTTTTAATTGTCAATGACAGACCAGTCTTCTGCAGAGGCTTCCTGAAGGGCCTTTAAATTTCCAAGTCCAAACTCCTCAGCCTGGCAGCCAGACCTGCCTGGCCTCTGCCAAACTGTCACCTGCAGCCCCTGGAATGAAAAGCGTGAGTCTCCCTTTCCCCCTGCTCCATGCTGGCCAGGCTCTGTGTGGAAAGCCCACCTGCTCCTCCACCGCACAGCCCAGTGGGTTCAGAACTTCTGCTCATGCCAGGCTCCTGCAAACAGAATGGGAATCATTGACGCAACCCAAGCCTTTTGGGCCATGCCTCCCCCCCGGTGGAGTCCCCACCAGGGCCATATGCCATTTCGTCCTCCAATCTGGGCTTGGTGTTTTTATTAGCTCCATTTTACGATTGAGGTTTTCGAAGCCAAAGACAAAAAGGCTGGCTCTGGGACTGAAACCTTGGGCCACGCAGAGCCTTTCCGGTGGCCTAGGATCCCCTGAGGTGTCCATCATGTCCTTTTGTACCAGGCTGGCCCAGATTCCACTTGGGCCTCCTGACCAAGCTTTGCAAACAGGGATCAGCATGCCTGCATTCATCACTCACTGCCAGACACTGGGCTGGGGCTGGGGAGGCAGAGATGGGCAGCTGAGGTCCTCCACCCCTGTTGGGAGCTGAAGGCCTCCACGTGGCAGAGGCAGAACCACTGGGCAGAGAGCCAGGGCAAGGGGCTCCAGAGAAGACACCGTCACCTCCCGGCATGACAGAGACCACAGCCAGCACACAGTAGGCACCTTAATATCCACAGAGCAGATCAGCACCAGGGATGCATGCCCAGGCCTCAGCCCATGTGGCCCCAGAGAGTGAAGTGTCAAGCCCTGGTCTAGAACCTTCTTTCCTGCATCCCTTCCACGACCCCACAGCCTGAGCCTCAGCACCAGCTCTGCCCACGGGGATGTCTCAAACTCCGCCTGCTGGGTGCTTTCTGAGGTCACGTTTGGCCTCTACATCACTACAGTAAACATCAGCCTGAACCATGCTCCAGCCGTGGCTAAGTTGTAAGTCGATTTTATCTGCAGCCTGCTATCCCAAGGGCCTCTGGGTTCTTAAATCTGGCTGCATCAACTCCCAAGACTTAACTGGTCTTAGTGTCTTCTGAGGAGAAAGAAACTGCTTCCTGCCTCCCCACATTGGAACCCGGCCCCAAGAGGAGTCACTCAGTCAATATCCACCTTGGAGCTTCACACCACCATCATGTGGGGGCCCAGATATGGGAGAAGTCCCTGCGAGGTCGCAGCGCTTAGACTCATACTTGTGCTTTCCAGAGTCCCCCTGGCCGGTTCTGACTATGTGAATTCTGCTGTGCACAGGGGGATGCAACCACAAATGGCTTGTACTGCTGGAAGGATGGGAGCATTTCAAAGTAAAAATAAGAGCCATTGAGTTAAGTTGGCAGCTTCTGTGCCAGAGTACTCTGTTGGCCCTCAGCTCCATGCCTGCCCACCCTGCTCTCCTTAGTAGTCAAGGGGCTAGAAGCCTGAAAACTACATTTCCCAGGCTCCCTTGCAACTGGTTTCTGGTTAAGTGCTGCCAATGGGAAGTGGACGGGTGGGAGATAGGAGGAAGCCACTTTGCTCCTGGCTGTAGCTCCAATGGTGGCAGTGGGGTGATTGCTCCTGCAGTGACAATGGGAGTGGCCCCAGCAGCATTAGTAACAGAGGCAATGGGGATAAGAGGCTGGGCATCAGGGTGGCCCCTTCTCTGGGACACAGTTGGTGTCTGCAGAAGCTCAATACAGGCGCAGAGCAGGAGCAGCCTCAGATCTCTGTGTAACACCCTCTTGGCCCATTTGCTCCTCCAGCTTTTACAACATCTTTGTCATCGATTCCAGCACTAAATACCCTCTGCTTAAAATGCCTGGGATAGTTTCTGTTTTCCTGGCTAGAAGTTAACTGATTATAGAGTTGTTTGCCAATTAGATGTTTCCAGGTCTGGGCATTAAACCCCCTAGGCATTAAACTCCCCTGATTCTTCCAGAGGCCACCGTATCCTGGGCCCTTCCTCTTTCCTATCCCTCCTGGACTTGCACCCAAAGCCCTCCCCTCTCACCCCAGTTGGAATCACTTTCCCTTAGCCCACGCTTTACCCTTCTTGAAGCACAGACTCCTGCCATCCTGGGGGCCCTGGTCAGTGGGGAGGAACACACAATGCTTCAGGACCTTCTAGGACAGTTTCCCTGAGCCATTCTGGGCCTGAGGCCTCCATGTTTACACCTTTTCAGCTTCCTGTGGACCCCAGGGATCTCTTGGCTTCTACATGGAGGGAGCTGCTGTCATTCCAATCCTTTTCCCTAGGAGCTCGGGGCCCTAGCTTCTAGGGAACACTACTTCCATTCCCCTGCTCACTCTCTTTCTCTTTCCCCAGCTCACTCTTCTCCCTCACAGCTTATTTCTGATGATAATATCCAAAAAACAAGATCACGATGTGGTCCCGAAAGCTGCCACATCATCCTTACTAATGATAGCATTCTCTGGAAGATGACATTCACTGGGGTTCAGAGGACATATTGCTGAACCACCCCAAACAGTGATCTATTATTTCTCATGATTCTCTTGGCTACTATCATCCCATGGCATTGACTAGAGTCACATTTTTGGCTGTGCTCACTTGGCTACCAGTCTGTGTTGGAAGGTCCCCAAAGCCTTCCCTCACCTGCTTAGTGCCTTAGTGGTCCTCCACATCACCTTTCTATGTGGTTAGCTTGGGATTCCTCACAGCCTGGTGGCCCCAAGGCAATATGACTTCTTACATGGTGTAGAAACATGGGTTTGTGTGCCCTGCAGAGCTGAAGGAGAGGGCAGGACTTCAGGAAAATGGTGAAAAGGTTCAGGACTTCTCGAGAAACCATGACCCAGCATCAGGGCCCAGACTGCATTCTTTGGGGGCCCATCCAATGCATGTGCCCAGGACACTCTCTCTTAGCCCTCCCTTGACCACCATGGGCTCCTGTGCATGTTAACAATGCCTGATTGGGAACAGCAGTGCCTAGAAGGTGACCAGCAGTGCCAGGGTGATGTCCCCTGGAGGGGAGGAGTCTACAGATACAGCAGCAGCAGGAGCTGGCAAAGAATCTCTCCTTGACCAAACCAGTCAGCCTCTACTGAGCCCTCTTCTCCACTCAGCGTCACCTTTGGTCTATAAAAACTGCAGACTCTCAGCGCAAATGACTTTGTCCCTCTGCACCCCCCACCCATCACTAAGAGACTTATAAAAATACCAGCATAGCTGTTAACAGGCGTGTCCCTAGGATGATGCCCCAAGTCACCCTCAGGGGCCTGCCCGAGAGAGCGCAGTGCTGCCAGGAGAATTTACTGTTTGTCACAGCCACAACCTGGTGACAGGTGGATAGGCCCCTGAACCCTCTCGTTGAGCAGCCACTTCAGAAAGCTTGCAACTGTGAAGGCTTTCGCTGCCCCTTGAGAATGTAAATCTGCCACCACCCAGAACTGTCTCCACAAGGTCCTGGGAGCTGCCTCTGCAATGCGAACTTCCAGAGGCTCTCACTCTGGCTTTGCTCCCAGTCCCTGTGGGAGGCAACGGGGCTGACTTGGGTGGGCTTCTTGCTCTAACCTGCACCATTGTCATAAAGACACTAAAGGCTGGGCGTGGTGGCTCATGCCTGTAATCCCAGCACTTTGGGAGGCTGAGGCGGGCAGATCACGAGGTCAAGAGAAGAGATTTTTTTAGTATACAGGACACGCCTGTATACTAAAAAAAAAAAAAAATTAGCTGGGCATGGTGGCAGGCGCCTGTAATCTCAGCTACCTGGGAGGCTGAGGCAGGAGAATTGCTTGAACCCGGGAGGTGGACGTTGCAATGAGCCAAGATCACGCCACTGCACTCCAGCCTGGGCCACAAAGTGAGACTCCATCTCAAAAAAAAAAAAAAGACACTAAAGACACAAGGAATTTGCTTCTCCTCCAGATGAGCACCAGTTATCATATCCAGGTGGCCTAGTCACTATCACACCCAGGTGGCCTAGTCTCATGGACCAAAGCTCCTTAACATCCCCAGTGTCTTCTTAGTACATGCACCTTTACCCCCTGCCTTCTGTTTCAGGGAAGTTGAGCTCAGTTCACCCTGGTCCCTCTTCTGGATTGCAGTCATTCTTACTCAATAAAGTCTGTCCTCACCCCTTTAATGAGTGCCCAGCTTCGCTGATCTTGGAGAGAGGCAAGAGGCCAGCACTGGCATCTCACCCTCATTCCTACCAGGGTGTGTCCCAGTGAGGCCTGGGCAACCCAGGCTGTGTTTAGATCCCCTAGTCTCTTCCATCTTTAAGGAGCCTCTCCAAGGATTAGTGACACATAAAGCAATGCCATTTTGTCCCCGGTGGTGGGACAAAACTTTTTCAAGACCTAACTCAGCTCCTCAGGACCTCCTCTGTCATGAAGCAGGCATTTGGTGACATTCTCCTGCTGCACTGGCATTGTTCCCCAGGTCTGCAACTGGCGGCATGTGTTGAGATTAGGGCCACAGGTGCAGCAGCTGGACTCAAACGCTACCCTTATCTGGGTGGACGGACTGCCGCTGTCTCCACAGGGGCCTTCAGCCTTAAGGTGCCAAGTGTTGAAGAGAGCAGAGGGCAGGGGGGTCAGTCAGACCAGACTGGAGCCAGGAACCACAGGGCCACCACCCTCAGGGACACAGAACATATCACTAAGGTATGGCCTTAAAGGACTTTGCCGGCACAAGCAGGATGAGACCATGTGAAGGGGAGGCTCCAGGGAGGGAGCTCCCGGTGTGGGTGTGTGCGTGTGTGCATGTGTGTGTGCCTGCATGTGTGTGTGTGCTTGTGCGCATGTGTGTATTTGTGCGTGTGTGTGTGTATTTGTATGTGCGTGTGTATTCGTGCATGTGTATTTGTGTATTTGTGCATGTGTGTATTTGTGTGTGTGTGTATTTGTGTTTGCAGTGCAGCTTCTGCATGGCAGGTGGGCTCCAAGACTCAGGGTTTGGGCGGGGCCTAGAAAAGAGATGTTCAGGCAGGCGGCAGCATGGGAGTGGGGCAGCTGGTCTGGCAGCCCCTGAGAGGGCAGCAGCGGACAGGAGGAGCCCTTGGGGCTGGGGCTTTGCTGGGAGGCACCTGGCTCCTGCCCCACTGATGGCTGGGGTTCACTTCCTGGCCCTGCCATGGAGGCTGGGCCCTAAGCATGCCTCTAGCCCCCAACTCAGTCTCCAACCCATGAGTGGCCCCAAGTCCCCAGAACTTTGCCTTCTGAGGAGAACTGGCAGATCTGAGACTGGGCTGCGGGTGGGAGCGGGCAGGCCTGATCAGAGCACCTTCTGGAAGGTGGGGAGTCAGAGCAGGGCTTCCGGTCAGTAGCCCCGGCCCTAGACGCCCTTGGGGGACCTGTGCATAAAGGATAAAGAATGGTGGACTCCAGCCTGAGCTGCAAACTCATGACATGCACCTCTTCGGGATGAGAGCAGCTCCTTTTCAGCCCTCCTGATTTCTGGAGCCACCTTTGCAGCGGCCTCTGCCCTGCCATCTGCCTTGGCACATCACTGTATTCACCTCACTGCCCAGTTCTGCTCTGACGCCTGAGGGAGCTGCTCGGAGCAGGTCCCAGTGTACCCTGAGATCCCTTCGGCAATATAGCAGTGTCCCACGACTGGAGGGGGAGGGGGCAGGGCGTGAGGGAGCATGCAAGGTCCCGGACAGGGACTCGCTGCTTCTCCAGCCCCAGCTCTGAACAAGTGGGGACCCCAGCGCAGGTGTGAGACTCAGTCAGGGCTGCTCAGAGAGTGGAACTAACCCACTCAATGACAAAGAAACGAGGCCCCACTGTCCCTAAACAAACGCCACTCGTCCTCTGGCAGAGGGGTATCTTTTGGGGATTTGAACATGATCCCACCCTTCTTTTTCTTGCCTTTAACACAAACCACACAACAGCTGCACCCGCCTTGCAGACAGCAGGATCTGGGTTGAGCCCTCAGGCCCAGCTGCAGCGACATTGCGTGTTTTTGTCTTTTTGTGGTTTCTCCCTGGGGTTAGGCAATGTTTCGTTTCTCAGCACAACGACCCACTGAGCAGGCCTCTCTCCGCGGTGTCAACAGTGTCATCAGTGGAGGGGGCTGGGGCGGGGCGGGGGGGGGGGTTCTGCGCTGTGCCTGCCTCTGGACTCCTTCCCAGCAGATTAACTCATTAGGAAGCCCCAGTGTTCCCCAGAGGTGCTGGGTGGAGGGGGACGCTGGCCGAGGGGTGTTCTAGTGAGATTAGGATATAGCCAATGCCTAAGGCGGTGTGCACTGCTCTGGGATAGGGGCCACGTTTATCACCAGTCGCCCGGCACTGGCATCTCAACTAAGAAGGCCCCAGGCTCTGAACCAGCAGCCCCTCTGACAGCTGGGCCAGACTAAGCTGGGGCCCCATGATGTCCCGGCTTCCTGGAAGTCAGCCCCATCCCAGTTTCTCTTCTGTCTCACCCTCTGCGTCCCCAGCTGACCCCGTGGCCTCCTCTGAGGGCTACCCAGGGAGTCCCTGCAGGTGCCAGGTGTTTACCACATGTCGCCTCACTTCCAAGATGCAAGGGGTCACTAGAGGGCAACAGCAAGGCTGTAACGTGGGGCTGGAGCCCCAGCCTGGTGACTGCAAGACCACCCGGCTCTCTCCTTGCACCATCAAGGCACATCAAAGGGCTGCCTTCACACCTGTGTGCTCGGCCAACCCATGCAGACTCCTGCACCCGGGTGTCGATGCCCCCTCAGCCTAAAAAGAGACTCCTGACCCTGGGGCTTGGGGCCTTCCCAGGGACTCCCCAGAGCTTCTGCCTAGACAGGCCACCCCATGCCAGACTCCAGGTCCCTGATCCTCCTGCCCCCCCACCAGACCCTGCCCTGTTTGGTGGCAGCCACAAGAGCTCTCACTGTGGAGAACCCTCCAATATCCTAATATCCCGCCCACTCCTGAGTGCTGTTCGGCGGCTGCGGTCAAAGTCCATTTCGACAGCCCCGTTCACTCTCCTAGCCTAGCTCACAGCTTGGGTGGCCTGAGACCCTAAACAAGGTCGGCTGGGAAAATCTATTGCTTCCCTGATATCAGCAATGCCGCAGCAGGCAAGGCCTTTGCCTTCCTCACCCCTTGCTGGCGGCCCAGTGTCTAGAGCACCACACCAGGAGGGAGGCCCCCCGGAAGGCCCTCGAACAGCAGAGCTGAACGTGCACAGCTGCCTGCCCCAGACCTCTCTCTGTGGCAGAAAACGAGCTGCTGCCCTAAGCCTCTGGGGTGGGCCCCTGTCCCTTGTAGCCAGACATTTTTCTAGCTGCTGCCCCAATGGACCCTGCAGACCGGGGGCCCTAGGACCACCGAGTGCAGAGGTGGGGGCGGGTGCCCTCTGCCCCCTCCACTCCCTGGAGCCCAGCAGTCTGGGCAGTGGGGTTACCCCCTAAGGGATGCCACAGCCCACCAGCTCCCCACAGAGGCGGCGTCCTGAAGCCCCTCTGTCACCGTCTCTTAGTTGTCCTTTCTGGCTCAGAGCATGCACAGGGAAAGGCAGGAGGCAGGGACAGGTCTGCAGGTGAGAACCACTGGAATGGACTCTGCCTGGGGATTATTTGTGGCCAGTCCTGGTGAAGGTGCTTCCTGAAATGCCTTCTCTCTGTGCCCCTTTGATACTCCCTACTCCCCTATCTCCCACAGTGGGGCCTTTCCTCCCGGCAGCCCCCTCCCAGTGCTTAGTCCAGGGTGGGGAGATGGGGATCATGGGAGGTGCTGGGGAGGTACGGTTCATGTGAGGCCTGGGGACCTTTGTATGGGGTCCCTAAAGCTGCTCCACTCCTTCCCTAGGGTCCCCAAGCCCAGGACCTCACAGTCGCCCCTGCCCCCTGCCCCTCATCCCCCTCCTTCTCAAAGCCAAAAGGTTCTGCGTGCTGCTCTCCAGGGCTCCTCCTCTGGATCCTAAGCCCATAGCTGAGTTTAGGCCTCAGCCTGCTAAGTGCACGTTTCCTGAAGCCCACCCATAGCAGGAGACACAAGAAGGGGTGAGGGAGGGCTGCCGGGCAGCCTAGGTGCCACTCGGATGGCAGGGGTGTTGGGGCCGGTCCCCTGCCGCCCCCTGGAGCTGGCAGTCCATTTCAGAAGCAGAAACAGGAAGTCCTTCCTGACTGCCAAGCAGGGCAGGGCAGGTGCTCAGTGTGGCCCAGCTGCTCAGAGCAGGCTGGTGAGGCCCTGGCAGCAGGCACAGCAGGGCCCCGACAGCAGGATCCCCAGCCGAAGACACTCTCTGGGCCACAGGACAGGGAGCCGGCCACAGGATCAGCCCACAGTTCGTGGCTGGGAGCTGGGCATGGGAACGAGAAGAAAGACCAGCTCAGGAACCGGCAACCACAGTGGGTTTCGGTTCAACCAGCGTTTGCGGAACCCTGGCTTTGTGCCAGGCAGAACACTCAGCACTGGAAAGGCGCCAAGGGGAAGGTGGCGCAGGCCTGCCCATCTCAGTTTCTGCTCTGAGCAGACGGGTCACCCAGGAAAGGGCCACTGCAGAAACACGTGGAGATCAGACAAGACACAGTGGGGCTGGTCCCCGAAGAAGCAGTCCCCAGATGTTGGCTGGGTGGGGAGGGGAGTGTGGGGTTCAAATCAGCCAGGGAGGGAACAGGGCGAGAGCAGGACAGGCCGGGCCTGGCTAGCGTGTGGCTGGCACACAGCTGAGGGCAAGACAGATGGCTGGGAGCAGGCACTGTGCTCAGTGGAACCTTTTCAGGACCCAGGCTGGGGAGAGACAAGCTGAGAGCAGAGGTTCGGGAAGATGGCAGGGTGGCGGCGACAGCATTGCAGAGGTGGGATTGCCCTGGCTTTCAGGGGGGCATCACATCAGGGCCTTTGAGCTGAGCTGCAGAGTCTAAGTGGCATAGGGAATTTCCCAGCTCAAGTCAAGAGAGCTAGGACATAGTTAAAACCTGGAAAGGACGGGCAGGTAGAAGTCCAATTCCAGGTTCAGCCTCATTGGGTAAATGACGCATCGAAAACTATGCACGTGCTGTGGGATAAATTTCCAGAGTCTGCATGCTTAGGCCAGATTCTCTAGAGCAAGAGAGGGCCTGCCAAAAGGTCAGTGCATGATTCAGGTCTTTTGCAAGTCACCAATTCTAGCTGACTTTACACTGAAAGAGGAACTTGAGACAAGGAAGCCACGCTGGAGCTCCAGAGAGCCCTGGGGAGGGTGCAGCAGAATCACCTCAAACTCTCTCTGCGTTGGCTTGGAGCTCCTTCCTCTGCAGACAGATGCCCTGTGCTCCCAGACCCTGCCATGGGAAATGACTGTCCCAAATCCCCCCAAGTTTATGTCTCGGTAAAGTGAGCTAGGATCTCCTGGGGCCAGTTCTGCACTCCTGAGGAGGGGGCTTTGGTTGGTCAAGTGCACATCCCTGCGCTAATCCAGCGTAGCTGGGGCAAAGTCAACTCATCCGGATCAGAAAGATCAGACCCCAGGAAAGTGCTGAGAGGCGCTGAAGGTGTGGGGCTCATATACATGCACCCCAGAACCTGATTTACTATGCCCAGAGAAGATGGCATATGGCCGTGTGTTTGCCTTCCAGAATCTCAATGCAGCCTTGTTTGCATGTGATATGTGTGACATGGATGAACAGCAACAGATTTAGGGCCAGATAGGCTTCTTGATTTTTGTCGGATGTCTACAAGCCTGGCCTGTAGTGTGACCCCTTCAGGTGTTCAGCTTGGACAGTAAACAGTCATCAAGGGCTTGCCTGCCACACCAGGCTGTACCCTGAGGGTACAATGTAAAATAAGGTCCCTGTCCATAAAGGATTACCCAGGATCCAGGAGGAACTGGTGATAGGTCACTGTTATGTGCACTAGAAAGAGAGCTTAGATATTAACTTGCCCCTGGTTGTTTTTGCGTGTGTGTATGTGTGTGTGTGTGTGTGTCTGTGTGTGTGTGTATATTGAAGAACTTTTTTCCCCAAGCAAAATCCTACCTGAAACTCTTAACACGCCAGAGACATCCCCAAAGAGAGGGGTGACTCCTCCCCTGGAGTAATTCCTGAACAAATCTTTGGAACCAGTTTGAAAGCTAAACGGGTCTTCACACCCCCAATGCTGGGTTTTTCCTCCTCCCCCAGGCTGCCTCGGCCTCCTTCCTCTCCACAGCACACCTCTTCTGAGTCCCAGGGTGAGCCTCTCTGGGATCCACAAAGACCGTGGGTGCCAGGAGGCAGAGTCTGGAAATCAGAAATGCCAGCTTTGGGCCATACATGGAGAGGCTGGGGATGAGCTGGTGAAGATGCCCCGTGGTGCTGACTCAGGGCTCCTGCAGCTCCCACCTCCAGACCCTCCTCTGCCTGGACTCCTGTGGGCTGCCCCTCAGACCACAGCCAGCCCATGATTCCCCACTGGACTGACCCACCTAAGTCCTCTTGCACCCCGTAGAGCATCGATGTGCCTACCTCATTTTACAGAGGAAATAACTTCCAGATAAGCCAAAGGAAGCCAAGGCAAACCGTGTCTACTCTGCCATATGTCACTTACATTACCTTATTAATCCCCACAATCACCTTTGTCTTTACACCTGAATAATCTGGAGTCTGAGCTCACTCATGTCCTCAAGCTCACACAACTGGTGTGGCCGAGCAGGAAGTTTAGACCAGATCTCTGAGATTTCAAAGCCCTCACTCTGCAACAAAGGAGCATGGATTGCCAGTGGCAAGCGGAGGACACGGATCCCAGGCCCCATCTCCCATCCATGCATCTTTGACAAAACATGGTGAGTTCTCACCTTGTCCCTCCTGACTTAGAATCCTGAAAGGGACCCAGTGCCCATCAAACAACAGCTGGGAGGTTGGATCCCTGCCAGCCACAGGCGCTGCTGCTTGCAAAGCTCCATCTTTCAGCTCCACTGACTTACCCCAAAGGTGCATGCCTTTTACTGCTCCATACCCTGAAACGTGCTGTTCCTGCTGCCTTGAGTGCCCTCTCATCCGGGGTGGTCCACCCTGATTACCAAGGGGAAGCTGGGTGCTGCTATACACCAAGGCAGAAGGAAGGTCCAGAAGCCAGGGGGAGTCTCTGGGGTTCCTACAAGTACCTGCTGTCCGGTCATAAAGGTCAGTGAGGAAGTGCAGCAACAACCAAAGGCACAAATAAAGCCTCAATGATCCCATCATGTAAAGAGCCCCGACTAGCTGAGCTGCAGGCAGAAGGCGAAGGAGAGCTGCATTGGCTGGAGAGCACACAAAGTTGTAGATGCCAACAGGCCTCAGGACTACTTATAGGGGCTGGGCTTCATGGCTTATACCTATAATTCCAGTGCTTTGGGAGGCTGAGCTGGGAAGATCCCTTGAGGCCAGCAGTTCAAGACCAGCCTGGACAATCTAGTAAGACTCCGTCTACTAAAAATACAAAAAAATTAGCCAGGCATGGTGGTGCATGCCTGTAATCCCACCGACTCAGGAGGCTGAGGCATGAGAATCGCTTGAGGCCGGGAGGCGGAGCCCACAGTGAACCGATGCAGGTGCCACTGCACTCCAACCTGGGCAACAGAGTGGGACTCTGCCTAAAAAAAAGAAAAAGTACACAAATTGTAAGTGTACAACCCGACATAAAGCACACATCTGTGTAACAGCATCCAGGCCAAAAGCACATGGCCAGCACCCTAGAGCTCCCTCTGGGCCCCTCCAAGGCCTACCCTCCACCCCCTAGAGTGACCATCACCCTGACCCTAACCCCAGGTGGCAGTTCTGCCTATTTGAACTTTGTACGAATGGACGCATATTGTCTGTACTTTAGGGCCTGGCTTCTTTCTCTCAACTCTCTGTGTCTAAGAGTCATCTCTGTGGTTCTGTGTGATTGTGCATGGTTGATACTCGTAGTTATGAAGATTTCATGTACGAGGATAAAAGCAATTATTTGTCTATTCTACTGTTGATGAATATTTGGGTAGTTTTCAGTGTTTGTCTACTACAAAGTGCTGCTTTCATCTTTTTTTTTTCTTCTTTTTTTTTGAGACAGAGTCTCACTCTGTCACCCAGGCTAGAGTGCAGTGGCGCAATCTCGGCTCATCGCAATCTCGCTTATCACAACCTCTGCCTCCCAGGTTCAAGTGATTCTCCTGCCTCAGCCTCCTGAGTAGCTGGAACTGCAGGTACGCGCCACTAGCCCAGCTGATTTTTGTATTTTTTTTTAGTAGAGACGGGGTTTCACCGTATTGGCCAGGCTGGTCTCGAACTCCTGACCTCATGATCCACCCACCTCGGCCTCCCAAAGTGCTGGGATTACAGCCATGAGCCACTATGCCCGGCCTGCTTTGATCATTCTTAGGACCTATCTTTTGGTGAACACACACACACACACACACACACACACACACACACACATATGTATTTCTGTTGGTTATATTCCTAGGGGTGGAATTGCTGGGTCATAGGCAAGCACATGTTCAGCTTTGGTCATGCACCTGTCTTCCAAAGTGATAACGCCAAGCCACTCTCCCCACTGCAGTCTGGTTTCTCTCCATCCTCAACTATGTTTGGGATTCAGTCTTTTACATTTTAGCCTTTCTAGTGGGTAGGTGGTGGCATTGCATTTTCTCCCTTCCCTCCCCTCCCCTTCCCTCCCCTCCCCTCCCCTCTCTTTTCTCTTCTCTCTTCTCTTCCCCTTTCTTTCTTTCTCTTTCTTTCCTCTCTTTCTCTCTCTCTCTATCCCTCCCCTCCTCCTTCTTTCCCTCCCTCCCTTCTTTCTTCTTTTTTCTTTCCTTTCTTCTCTTTTCCTCTTTCTTTCCTTTCTCTTTTTCTTTCTTTTCATTATTTCTTCCATCCTTTCTTTTTCTTTCTTTTCTTCTTTATTTTCTTCTTTCTTTCTTCCTTGTTTCCCTCCTTCCCTTTCTTTCTTTCTTCTTTCTTTTTCTCTTTCTCCCTTCCTTCCTTTCTTTCTTTTTTCTTTCTTTCTCTCTCTCTCTTTCTCTCTTTCCCTCCCTCCCTCCCTTCTTCCTTCCTCCCTCCCTCCCTTCCTTCTTTTTCTTTCTTCTTTTCTTTCCCTTTCCTTTTCTCTTTATTTTTCTTTATTACAGCTGAGCTCTAACACCCATCTGAAGTGTACAATTCAATGAATTTTAGTATATGCAGAGTCATACAGCTATCACCACAATCAATTTTAGAGCATTTTCATCACCCCCAAAAGTAACCTTATAACCTTTAGCAATCACCTCCAACACCCCCTTCTCCCTATCCCTGGCAACCACTAATCTATTTTCTGTCTCCATAGATTTGCCTATTCTGGACTCTTCTTTTCTTTTCTTTTCATACAGGGTCTCACTCTGTCGCCTAGGTTGGAGTGCAGTGGCATGATCCCGACTCACTGCAACCTCTGCCTCCTAGGCTCAAGCAATCCTCCCACCTCCTGAGTAGCTGGGACAACAGGTGCACCCCACCACACCTGGCTTTTTTTTTTTTTTTTGTATTTTTGGTAGAGATGAGGTTTTGCCATGTTGCCCAGGCAGGTCTCAAGCTCCTGAGCTCAAGCCATCCGCCTACCTCCGTCTCCCAAAGTGCTTGGATTACAGGTGTGAGACACAGCACCTGGCCTATTCTGGACATTTCATATATATGGAATTAGGTCATGTGTGGTCTTTGTGACTGGCTTCTTTTAACTAGCATGATGTTTTCAAGGTTCATTCATGTGGTGGCATGTCTGTCAGTACTTCATTCCTTTTAATGGTCAAATACCATTTTGTTGTACAGAAACATCACTTTTTGTTAATCCATTCATCAGTGGGTAGATATTTGGATTGTTTTCACTTTTTGGCTCCTGTGAACATTGCAGCCAATGAACATAGCAGCACATGACTAATGGTGCTATGAACATTCACGTCCAGGTTCTTGTGTGAACACACATTTTCATTCCTCTTGGAAACTCTACTTAGGAGTGGAATTGCTGAGTCAAATGGTAACTCTAGGTTAAACTTTTGAGAAACTACCAGATTGCTTTCCAAAGTGTCTGCGTCATTTAATATTCTCACTAGCAATGTATAAAGGTTCTGATTCCTCCACATTTCACCAACACTTATTTCCTTTTTTAAAAATTATAACCACTCTTTTGTGTGTGAGGTGATATCTCATTGTGGTTTTGACACACTGTAGTTTTGATAGGTGTTTCCTTGATGACCAATGAGGTTGAGCACCTTCTCATATGTTTGTTGGCCACTAGGACACGCTCTTTTGTGAAGGGCCCACTCAAGCTCTTTAACCAGTTTTTCTGTTGGATTATCTTCTCTCTTCTTGTTGATTTCTAGAAGCTCTTTATATATTCTGGACATAAGTCTTTTATCAAATATGTGTGTCACATATACATTCTCCCAGTTTGGTTTTTCTTTTTATTCTCTTAATAAATCTCTTGAAATTAGTTATTCATTTTAATATGGTCCACTTTATCCATTTTCTTCCTCTCCTCTTTCTCATTCTATTCTTCTTCCTCGTCTTTATCTTTATTGTCCTATTTGGAATCCCTTCAGTGACCTCAGAAGCCATCCACCCATAGTCCCTGTGGACATCAATTTTGCCATAAGGGTCAAGTATGGTGGCAACTTGCTGTCCCCAAGTCTTCTTTTTTTTTTTTTTTTTTTTTTTGACATGGAGTCTCACTCTGTTGCCTAGGCTGGAGTGCAGTGGTGCAATCTCGGCTCACTGCAATCTCTGCCTCCTGGGTTGACACCATTCTCCTGTCTCAGCCTCCCGAGTAGCTGGGACTATAGGCGCCCGCCACCACACCCGGCTAATTTTTGGATTTTTAATAGAGACGGGGTTTCACCATGTTAGCCAGGATGGTCTCGATCTCCTGACCTCATGATCCACCTGCCTTGGCCTCCCAAAGTGCTAGGATTACAGGCGTGAGCCACCATGCCCGGCCGCTGTCCCCAAGTCTTATCTTCAGTAGATGCTCCCTTCCAAGCAACCACAGGTGACAACTAAGTAATTGCAGTGCCACAGGTCACCAATGTCCTATTTTCCATGGGTAATGAGTTTATCTCTGCTTTCATATTCTCATACTCACACAGGTCAACAACCCAACCACAAAGACCCAGCTTGGAGGGTCTGTTTCCTGAAGCAGTACTGACTCAGCCTGGGAGACAGAAACCATGCTAGGTATTTCACATATTATGCAGAGAACCGATTACAAAGGTGTTGGAAGGATAAAGGAGTAGAAGGGAGGAGCAGGCCAGGGAACAAGAGGAAGAAGGGGAGGTACCCACAGATAAGAATCACTAGTACCCTTTGTCTTGGTCCATTCTGGCTGCTATAACAAAATATCATAAACTGAGTGGTCTATGAACAATAGGAATTTATTTCTCATAGTTTTAGAGGCTAGGAAGCCCAAAATCAAGGTACCAGCAGAATCAGTGTCTGGTGAGGGCTTCCTGGTTCACAGTCGGTGACTTCTTGCTGCGTGCTTACATAGTAGAAGGGACAAGGGGTCTCTCTTGGGCCTCTTGCATAAGGGCACTCATCCCCTTCATGAGGGCTTCACTCTCAGGGCCTAATCACCCCCAGCAAAGGCTTCACCTCCCAACACCATCACCACAGGAGTTAGGATTTCAATATATGAAACTGGGAGGGACACAAACACTCAACCCATTGCACCACTGGGCTAGAGCCCAGAGTCAGCACCTGCTGCTGCCCTGGTGGAGAAGCAGGGGCTGTGGGAGGAGCTGGCACTGCTGTTCTGTATCGAGGAGGATGCATCTTCTTTGCCAGAGCTGTGACTGCTGATAAAGGTGCCGCCTGTGCTCAGGCTTCTGGGGTCCCTAATCATCCAGCTCCTGCTGCTACAACTGCCATGCTGTGATACGGACATTCCTCTCTTCCTCCTGCCTTTGGAGCTCCTGCCACACCTCCTATGTTAGGTGCTACCACAGGGCCTAACCAGAAGCCAGTGGGTGAGGTGCCTGGCACATGCAGAAACCCCGGAGCCCCAGAGCAGAGCACAGACGGCGGGTGTGGGCAGCGACCCTGGCAGCCACCAGCACAGCCCCAACCAGGCTCCAGCCCCACTTGCCTGCTCTTGGCTCCTTGAAGCCCCGGGCTCCCCAGGGCAGCTGGCACACCCTCCACACTTCTCCCCTGGGCTGAGTGCAGCTCACACTCTGGGTGTGGCACATAGGCCATTTCTGGAAGAGGCTTTCCTAAGCCCACAGGGGCTGCACTGTCTCCTGCTGCTGTTTTCTGCACATCTTCCTCACTAGAGGTGAGTTTCCTGAGGGCAGACAACAAACCTCACTTAGGCCCAGGCCATAAACACGGTGTATGTTTAGTGAATTTGTGAATTAAGAATGAAGGAATGTGGCTCTCGCCTGTAATTCCAGCACTTTGGGAGGCTGAGGCGGGCAGATCACTTGAGGTCAGGAGTTCAAGACCAGCTTGGTCAACATGGTGAAACCCTGTCTGTATTTACAACACAAAAAATTAGCTGGGCTTGGTGGCAGGTGCCTGTAATCCCAGTTACTCAGGAGGCTGAGTGGGGAGAATCACTTGAACCCAGGAGGTGGAGGTTGCAGAGAGCATAGATTGCGCCACTGCACTCCAGCCTGGGTGGCAGCGTGAAAACTCACAGGCCTGCCGTTGGGAAAATTATAGAGTAGGTTGGGGGATTTTCTCTCTGGAGATCCCCTTTCCACACTCTCAATTTCTCTATTGCTTCAAGTTCCCGTCCTGACATCTGGCCACACCACACCGCCCTCCCTCAGGTCCTTCCTTCTGGCCCTGCACCTGGTGTCCAAGGGTGTGTAACTGGAACTATGTTGTCAATGGCCCAGACCCGAGCTTTGTGGCATAAAACACACAACTAGCTATTTATAGTCAGGGCTATTTATACAGAGTTTATGAAAAAATAGTTATGTGGTAGAACAAACTTGGAAAATTCAGGTTTAAGCAGATTAAACATGATCCTCTACTACAGAATTTCTCAGCTCCTGAAGACATTAAGGTGTCACTCCATAAAGGGGGCTCATTAGCTCAGTTCCCCAAACTTATGGAACCACAAACTCCTTCTTTTTAGGAACACCTAAGCAGAGTGTAGTAATTGATTAGTTATAACTTTAAATATATGTAATTGATCTATCTTTAAAGAGGTAACACATGCCCATAGAACAACACTCAATAGACAAAGTCAGGTACACAGAATAAAAAATGTGTCTTCCTTCCCGGCCAGCCACCCAGTCCCCCGCCCCAGAGGCAACCGCTGTCAGTAGCAGCATGCGTTTCTTCTCAGAAATGAGGCACAGCTTGTCACCCAAGATGGAGGCTTCCAGGAGGGCTGTGGATGCTTCTGGCTGCCCCTGCTCCTGGCTGCCCCTGCTCCTGGCTGCCCCTGCTCCTCCCATAGATGAGCCTGCTATGGTGGCCGCCACTGTTCTGCTCTGTCTAGCCTTGGGCCCACATTTATCCCTTTTTGTCCACTTTTTCAGAACCTGGAGGTGCTGCTGTTGCTCCTCACAGGTGGCTCCTGTGCCCCAGGCAACAAGCCAGAGGCACCAGTACCCTGGGCATGGCTCCCTTTCATTTACGACTCACTGTAGTTACTTTAGAGCCTTGGAGTGTTCTCTGGGATGAAAAAGATCAGGAATAGCTCTAGGCTGTGGCCTGGAGGAGCCTTGGGATCTCTTCATCCTTTGGAAGAAGGTGAGTTTCTTGGAAAATATTCCAGAAACGGCTCGAGCAGTTGTACCATGCTATTGTGCAAAAGAACGTCCAAAAACATCCTCACTTCTTCATGGCATGGACTTTCTCTGGAGTGGAGTGGGAGTGGTGCCAAGCACATGATGACAGAAGATCATAAAAACGGGAAATGGAATGGGTTTATTAGCTATTTGCTGCCGTGTAACCAGTTACTCCCAAGCCTCGCAGCTGAAATAACAAACTTTTATTATCTCATGAAGTTTCTGAGGGTCAGGAATTTGGGAGTTACTGAGCTCTGCAGTTCAGTCTCAGCATTGCATCGAGTTGCAGTCCAGACACACTGGCCAGGGCTGCAGGCATCTGAAGGGTTGACTGGGGCTGGAGGTCTGCTTCCAGCGTTACCCAGGTGGCTGTTGACTAGAGGTCTCCATGGGCCATTGAGCATGCTCAAGACATGGTAGCTGGCTTCCTCCAGAGCAAGAGAGACAAGAGAGGGCAAGCAAGGAGGAAGCCACAGTGCCTTTCAGGACCTGGTCTCCAGAGTCACACTCAGTCACTTCTACCATGTTCTTTTTTTTTAAGTTGTTTTATTGAACTTTATTGTTTATAAATAAAATATCATAACACAGTTTGTGTAGTGTCACTGACACCAACTTCATAGTGAATTTTCTGCCTGAGATAATTCAATTTCAATGAAGGATCAGTGACACAGACATATTATGTATATATGATGTACATATGCATATATTCTCCACAAAATGTAATTTTCTGCATATAGTATGAAAGTGCTATAATGATTCATTTTGTTTAATGAACTCAAAATATAGCTAAATATATTATTGTGCATTAATTATAAGAATTAGTTTTCATGCTTTGCATAAGAAGTTTTTGGATTAGCATAATTTTATTATATATATTTTATTATACAATTTTAAAGTTAGTATGTTTGCTTAAAATATTTAATATATAACACTCATTGGCAAATGACAAAAGAAATCCCCCTGCAAAATAGCATTTTATTAAATGCTTTATTTATTTATTTATTTATTTATTTTTTGAGACAGAGTCTTGCTGTGTCGCCCAGGCTGGAGTGCAGTGCCGTGATCTTGGCTCACTGCAACCTCTGTCTCCCAGGTTCAAGTGATTCTCCTGCCTCAGCCTCCTGAGTAGCTGGGACTATAGAAGCGAGCCACCATGACTGGCTAATTTTTGTATTTTTAGTAGAGACAAGGTTTCACCATGCTGGCCAGGCTGGTTTTGAACTCCTGACCTCATGATCTGCTCACCTTGGCCTCCCAAAGTGCTGGGATTACAGGCATGAGACACTGCATCCGGCCTAAATGCTTTATTATTTATTAAAACATTGGAGGATAAGCGCAGTGGCTCATGCCTGTAATCCCAGCACTTTGGAAGGCTGAGGTGGATAGCTTAAAGCCAGAAGTTTAAGACCATCCTGGGCAACATAGTGAGACCCCCCATCACCCCCCGCAAAAAAAAAGCCTGGGTGTTGTGGCTCACACCTGTAATTCCAGCACTTTGGGAGGTTGAGGCAGGCAGATCACCTGTCAGGAATTCGAGGCCAGCCTGGCTAACATGGCAAAACCCTGTCTCTACTAAAAATACAAAAATTAACCAGGTGTGGTGGTACATGCCTATAATCCCAGCTACTTGGGAGACTGAGGCACGAGAATCGCTTGAACCTGGGAGGTGGAGGTTTCAGTGAGCCGACGTTGCACCATTGCACTCCAGCCTGGGCAACAAGAGTAAAACTCAGTGTAAAAAAAAAAAAAAAGGAAAAAAAGAAAAATAAAAATTTTGGAATAGCTCTTCATAGGAAAGTTATCTCTTACTCTGAGTTCATAGTACTTGTGAGTCTAAAAATTTTTTGATTTTCCTGAAAAAGAAGAAAATAATTCTGGCTTAAGTTAGCATCTGGACTCTTCACAGATTTAGGTGGAAAAGCTAGAGGATTCACATTGAACATTGTATTTTGTAAGCCCCCAGCTTTGACCCTACCATGGTAGAGAGTTGCTAATGATTTCTCTTGGTGAAATCTAAGCTTTAACAACATTTCTAAGTCGCTGATGTATCTGAACCCATAAATATCTTTGGAGAAATGACAATGACAACATTTTGCATGATTTCTTTCATTCATTTGTGTATTAAAATAATTATCAAGCAGCTATTATATGCTAGGCAGAGCGCAAGGTACTGGGAATAAAAGAAATGACTATGACAAGATTACTGTCCTCCAGGAGCTGTGAGTTATTTGCAGATAGACACACGCTGTGCGAGAGAACAACCCCTAAACGTAAGTAACTATTTTTTCCACACTATCATTTCTCTACATACTATTCATTAGAAGTGAGTCACTAAGTACAGCCCACACTCATGGAGAGGAGATTTGATGGGAAGAATAGCAAAGCATTTGTGGACTATTTTAAAACCATCACAATGGGGATGGGGGACCAAACACGGGGCCAGCTAACAGCTGGTGGGTCCTGATCCATCACTAATAAGCTCTGTGATCCTAATTGATTAGCTAACTCCCCGGGCTCAGTCTCTCTCGTGCAGTCTGGAGATGATGCTACTATATCTGTCACAGGGCCAGTTGTTCAACACAGCAGGGAGGCAGATAGCAATTGAGTCAAGGGCGTGAGCTTTGGAATCAAATCCCTGCCCCCACCACTTCAAGTCTCTGAGCCTCAGTTTCCTCATCTGTATCATTACCTACATGCCAGGTTTGTGGAGAAATAACTTGAGGCAAGTATGTGTAGAGAATTGGTCTTGAGTGAGTCTAAACTGAGCCAGCCCAGAGACATCTATTTGCTGGAGAAGACAAGGGGTGTTGAGAAGGCATTTTGCATGTAACGCGACCAGTGGAAGAACATGCTGGAGGAGACCTTCGCCCCATCACCTGCAGGTTCTTGTGACCCCACAGGAAGCCAGCCTCCGCCTTCATCATTTTCCCCAGCTGGGCTGCCTTCTGGGAACATGACCAAAATTTTGGATCTGGGGGAAGAATTCAGCTGCTCCTAGGACTAAAAGCATTATCCCCAGACTGAAGCCAAAGGCACCCTTCACTATGATCTCTCACTGTTTGGAGATACATGCAAACAAATGTGGTCATATGGCCCTGCTCAAACCCTGGTGGCTTGGAACACTCTGGAAGCCACCTTTCGGAGTGCACCTGGGGCACATGGAGACTGGAGTCCCAGCTTTGAGGAGAATGCTCAGCTCAGGACTGGGTGCTCCAGGCTCAGAATCAAACTTTTGTGAAGTCCAAAATCAGTTTTAACCCATGATTTCTGGGCACCTATCTCTGAGGATCTTCAAGTTTTTCTGGAAGGCGAGTAGCATGTCAGTGGCAGGATGTTCTATTAGGGGCTCTAATAAGTTCTAGCGATCCTGTTCCTCTGGGAGCCAGCTCTGGGTCTAGGGGCTTACTCTGAAGCAGGCTCTGTAATGCAGGGTGCTGCTGGAAACTGGAAATATGCAAGAAACTGCCTGCAAGGATGTGCAGTTGCACGCACAGCGACTTGGGCAAGTCCCCACTGGAGAGGCTCGACCCTCTGGTAACCCACGGGACCTGATTTTACCTTCCTATGGGGAGTGTTTGACAGAAGGGCTGCTTGTCCATTGCGCTGAGCAAGTCCTCCAAGGTCTGCAGGCCCCTTCCCAGGCAAGGCTGCATGCCTGAGACAAGGGAAAAGAACATGGAACAGCCAAAGACTTCCTCTCCGCCTTGAAATCATGCATTTTTGCTTTTTTTGTTTCTAAAACAGAATGGAGAGAAGCCCACGTCTCAAGACCCGAAGTGAGCCTAGGATTTGAGGTTGTCTGTCACCTCAGGGCCCAACCTCTGCCCCAAGGGGGCAATAAGAGGTTGGGACACTCCTCTCTCTCAGGACCCCAGAAGTCAAGTGTGGGTACAGGCAGCCCTTCTGCCATTGGCCCCAGGCTGGGTCAGTGACTCCAGTCTTGGGCATGGAGTAGTGCTAAGGGTTAGAGAGTCTCACCTTCATGCTGGACAGCACAGCTCACATCTAGGCGGCACTTGGCACACTAGTCTTTACATGAAAATTGGAGTGAGTCGTGGATGGTGCTGGCCTCTTGGCATCCCCTAAACTCTGTCTTGCCACTGGAATGTGCAGAGAAGAAGACCACTCTGGTTTTTTTTGTTTGTTTGTTTTTAATTATACTTTAAGTTCTAGGGTACATGTGCACAACATACAGGTTTGTTACGTATGCATACATGTGCCGTGTTGGTGTGTTGCACCCATTAACTCGTCATTTACATTAGGTATATCTCCTAATGCTATCCCTCCCCCCCTCTCCTCACCCCACGACAGGCCCTGGTGTGTGATGTTCCCCTTCCTGTGTCCAAGTGTGGAGACCACTCTGTTATGTTAGATCCAAGAGTCGTCCTGAAGTAATCAGGGCTGGAAAGGAGGCAGCCTAAACAAAGATAGCTGTGTGTTCTGTGTGTCTTTTCTGCCTCTCTGTCTGTGACTGTCACACTGTGCCGTGACTGGACCATGAGGCTGCTGGCTTTCACGCAGGCTGCACATGGAGACAGCAGAAAGCACAGGCTGCCTCCCTCCCTGCCCCTCAACAGGGGGACCACCTTTGCCCTGGCAGGGACTGGAATCAGGCAGAAACCCGGACATGCAGAGGTGACTGGCCTCAGATCAGAGGGGGACCACAGCCCAAAGGCTACACAGAGGGGCAGGCTGTGAGCTGTGGGAACCGTCAGGCACCCGGGGTTCCCAGGCGGAGGACCATGTCCTTATGCTCATGAAGTGACCGACTGGAGGAGAATGCTTGGAAAAATATCCGCCCGACCATGGAGGGTTCAGGCTCTGGTGTTCCTCTGCATGGGTGTGAGTCCCAGCTCCACCACTCACCAGCTGCAGGGCTCAGGTGAGGGATCTCAAGTTCGCTGAGCCTCAGTTTCCTGAGACAGAGTAATGCCCAGCAGAGGGTAAGTGCTACCTAGGGTCTCATGTTGTCACTATTAGATGAGTCCTAGCGTCACCATTGTGATGCAGCCCATGGAATGAACATGAGGGATGAAAAAGGAGCATAGCGTCCCTTCAACTCCTTTATTTAAAAAATACACTTCTCGGATCACTTGAGGTCAGGAGTTCGAGACCAGCCTGGCCAACATGACAAAACCCCATCTCTACTAAAAATACAAAAATTAACCAGGTGTGGTGGCGGGCGCCTGTAATCCCAGCTACTCTGGAGGCTGAGGGAGGAGAATTGCTTGAACCCGGGAGGTGGAGCTTGCAGTGAGCCGAGAGGTGCAACTGCACTCCAGCCTGGGCAACAGAGCGAGACTCCATCTCAAAAAAATAAAAATAAAAATACATAAAAAATACACTTCTCTGCACGGAGCCGCAGTGGAGGGCACTTACTCAGAGGCCTGCAGGGGTGTGGTGGGTGAGTGAGGCCAGCTGTAGGGGCTAAACCTGGACCTGAGCCCACCCCTCCCACCAATGGCAGCCTGTGGGAATGCCAAATCATCAAGTTTTTCCTGGCAGGATAAAAAACTGGTTTTCTGCTATGTGAAATCCTCAAATGTTTAATTCAAAATCTGCAGGGGCTACCTGAGAGTGGCCCAGGGGAAGCCTGTGCCTGCCTGGCCTCTGAAGGTCAACCTGGAATGGCCTGGGGCAGGTAAAGTGTTCTTGAAGCTTTCTGCTGGGCACACCCTCTGAGTGTGCCCAGGCGCAGGCATGGTGAACAGTGCAGTGTTAGAGGCACAGGCAGGAGGCCCTCCAGAGAGGCACAGGCCAGGCTCTGGCGGCAGACAGCCTCCCATCCGCCCTCGCTGGCTGCAGGGAGGGGTGGAGGCTGTTGGGGCACAGAACGCTTTCTGCAGCCCCTCTCTCCTTATTTTACCCCAGGGACCTGCTCTTTGCCATCTTCCCCAGCAAAGCACACCTCCAGGAAACTCCCTGAGCCCAGCCCAATGAGATAAGTCCCCATCCCAGGGAGAGTTGTCCCTTAGCGGGAGCAAAAGGCTGTGGAGCCCAAGCACGAAGATTTTGTCATCATATCTCAAGCGTGGGCTGGCAGTTGGGTGTCAGGGGGTATGTGAGGTGACAGTCTCCCCCTAGTCCATGGATTTGAGTGTCATCATCGTCACCATCACCACCACCCTACCACAATAACGGCCCTCTGGCCCTGCAAAGCGCTGAGCTTCTGGTGGAAGGAGGGCATTCCTCCTTCTGCTGTCTCTATGGTCTTCTCTGGCCCTGGAGAATGTTCATGGACTCCAATGGCCTCTGAGGGCCTCTGCAGGGCCCACCTGCTCAGAGGCTCAGAGAGAGACCCCAGAGAGAGGCTGAGCCTATCCACACCAGCCCTGAGTTGACAGCATGGCATCTGCTGTGTGCCAGGCCTGGGCCAGGCTCTGCCCTTCCTCCCCCAGCCCCCAATTCCCATGCTGGGCTGGCCCTGCCTCCTGGAGGACTCGGTCCCCTGACTCTGCCTTGCTCTGCTTCTCCTCCCGCCTCTCAGGTTCCCTCTCCGCTGCTGATTTAGTCAGCCCAAAGCATTGTCATTAGACAAGTGGGTGTCCGTGGGACATGTGCAGCCACTGGGCTCCCAGTCTTCCTCTGTCAGCCCATTGGTGCCACCATTGGTCCCCTTGGCTATGGAAAGGCCCAAGGGGACATCTGACACAGACAAGGCAACTCCATGAAGGCTGCTATTCAGAGCAGACCCCGGCACAAGGCCCCATCCAGTTCAACTGGACCTGGGAAGGCTGTGTTCTCAAACTCAGAATGGCTTGTTTCAACTGTTAAATGCAGCTATGTGTTTAAAATTTGTATTTATCATTCACAAAGATCTAGATGAGCCGACCTCTTTTTTTAGTAGAGACAAGGTTTCGCCATGTTGGCCAGGCTGGTCTCAAACTCCTGACCTCAGGTGATCTGACCACCTCAGCCTCCCAAACTGCTGGAATTACAGGCATGAGCCACCGCACCCAGCCAACCTCATAGTTTCTTTCTCAGTGAAGTGGGGAGGGAAACCGAGGCTCTGGAGGGAGTCCAGGGGCCTGTGTTCACATTCTTATTTTCTCCATGCTTCACAGAAAGCAGCTCTGGGGTTCTCCAAAGTGCAGGGTTCTCAGCTGTAAAATGAGGGGATTTCACGGAAAGCATCTAACATTCCTCCAAGATCCAGGACTGCGCCACCATCCTGCCGACACTTTCCCTACAAAGCCTGGTTCATGACCTCTTGAGCGCTCAGCAGCACAGAGGTGCCTTCGCTGAACTGCAGGGGACGCAGCCCCCAACATGAGCAGGTGCCTTCAGAGGCCATCCCGAGATGAGGGAGCAAAAGGCAAGTGGTCGTGGAAGCCCTCATCAGTGATCCCTGGCCAGTCAGGGTATTGCGGCATCTGTGTGACAAGCACTGATCTGTCACGTGAAACATCACACACATCGATGAGAACACAGAGGGTAGATACGAAGGCAGCATTTGCTTCACTGGTGAAGGAAACGATGTTCAGAACAATTAAAGGACCACAGGCAGTCGGCGCTGTAGTGGGACCCTGACTCAGTTTCCAGGTTTCGGTGATACAAGCAGTCCCCCAAGGGCTTGGAGGGAACCGGCGACTGGAAGACAGTCTTTCCCTCCTTAGTCTGACCTAGCTCTTGTCCAAAAACCATGTTCTCTACCTTGCTCCCTCACTCTTCCCAAAGCGTATCATTCAGGAAGGGAGAGCACGTCAGGAACTATAAGCCCCTCACACTCTACTGAGAATAAACTCTCCACGCTGCGTTCAGCTGTGACTAGGCAGTGAGGTTGTACGGAAAGGAGAAGGATGCTGCTGAAGCAGGAATCGTCATCCAACAAGGGCCCGTGAGCAGTGCGCTGCAGTCCACAGATGGGCAGAGCCAGGAGGAGACACAGGACCAACTGCCCATCAATGTTCCTTGTCAGGGTGCAAGTAAATTTCATGCTGTTAGGGGCCAAACTGCATTCCCTCCAAATTCATATGCTGAAGTCATAACCCCTAGTATCTCAGAATTTGAATGTATTTGGAGATGGGGCCTTTGAAGAGGTAGTTAAGTTAAAATGAGATTATTAGAGTGGGGTCTTAATTCCATCTGAGTGGTATCTGTAGAAGAAAAAGAGGTTAGGACGCACAGAGAAACACCATGTGCAGACACAGGCAGAAGATGACCATCTGCAAGCCAAGGAGAGAGACCTCACTAGAAACCACTAGAAACCTGCCAGCATCTTGTTCACAGACTCCAGCCTCCAGAACTGTGAGAAAATACCTTTCTGTTGTTTAAGCTCCCCCTAGTCTGTGGTTTTTTTTATGGAAGCTCTAGTAAACTAATACATGCACCAGCAAAGTTTGTCACCTGATTATGCCAGCTACATAAGTCACTGGGTTTCCATTGTTGCCAGGGATGCCAGAGAGCTCAGAGCAAAATGATCAGTTAGGGTGACCCTATTGTCTGGAGCAAGTCCGTATGTTTTGGGGACATGATCCCTCCCCAGCACAACCAGCTGAGCAGCACCCAGCAATGAGGGGGCATGAAGAGGCTGCTGTGGGCTGGGCTCCTCTTCTCAATTGAGCACGGACTCTACAGTAACTCAGCACCCTTTTGGGTTATTTTATTGAGGCTGTGCTTCATTTTACTGACCTGAAGAGACATGTCTATCGACCCAGTACAGAGCTCTGGTCCCAGGCCACTTCCCACATGCCAATGCCTGGCTGACTTCATCTGTCACCCAAAGCAAAGAGGTTGAATCTGGAAGCCCCACATGGCACATTCTTGTACCCCCTGCTGCAGGAAGTCCCTGGGGATGGCCTGTATCTGCTCCACATTCCAAGCCAACACCATGGCCATCGGGCAGGACCAACCTCAAGCTCAAACATGGTGAGAAGCCACTGCCCCCAACCCATGTGGTGATTCCAAGGAGGCTGAGAAGGTTTTGGCATCTTTCCTCATCCTTCTGTACCCCATGGCACCATTCCCACATTCCAGCAGGTCTTCAGTCCTGTAGATGAAGTCTGGAATGCTCTCACTGAATAGAAAAGTCCTCAGGAAAATCCCACATTGCAGAGACGCATGTGGTCTGATGGCAAAGCTGAAGGAATAGCCTAGCACCCCCACCCATGTGCCTCTCACCGAGTGACAGGTAAAAGATACAAAGAAAACTTTTCAACTTGACCAAGACTCTCATCTCTTTCTGCATTGGAAGGGAACTTGCCATGGTGGGAATTGGGTGGGAGGTGACTTCTGAAGCCCAAGTACCAAAAGCATCGTCTTCACCTGCCCACCCACCCCAGCAGGGCATGGGCCAGTGACCTGGGCTTAGGCTCAGGCTCCAGGATGCTCCTGCATGGGGCTTAGACTCATTATGAGAGATGCGGTCAGGAAGAGATGGTTAGAATCTGTACACAGAAAGGGGAGTGTGTTGCCTCAGAAATTAACAGCAACAGCATCCTACCTGGCCCCTTCCAGTGACGTGGCCTCGAACATGGTGTCTGCTCCAAAGTTCCCTGGGTTCCTGGTCCTGATCCCAGCTTGGTTCTGCAGCCTGGCTGCCCAATACCCTCCTAAGAAAGGTCCTTTCTGCTGAGCCAGCCCAGTTGGTTTGTGCTGCCTGCCTCCAGCTCTAGCTATTGGTCTGGTGCTCAGGAGGGGAGCTGGGGCTAGTCCCAGAGGGAGCCAGCATGGTCTTAAAAGGCTACCTTTGAGGCCTTTGCATTGTCTTCAAATAGTGAATAAGACTTGATCTTCCAGCAAGTGAGACAAAACCCTAGGGAGCCCCAGAGAGTTGCAAGGGAACCTGGGGGCTCAAGGTTCTCAAATCCACAGATCACCATCCCAAGTGTCAGGGTCCTAGCTGGCCCCTGGCTTGTGCTGGGCCTGCCCAGGAAGGAGAGGGATACGCACAGAAAGAGCTACAGGATCTGGCTAATGCTCACCAGCACAGACTTGGTGCTGAAGGGGCTGGGTCAAGGGCAACAGAAGAGTGAGCCAGAGAAGAGAGCTTTGTTGATAGGAGGGCATTCGACCATAGCACAAAATTTAACATCTAGGGAAGGGCCCTAGAATGATTCCAGTATGCTTTTGGAATGACTCTGGAAGCTTGGGCAAAAGCAATGGCCCACTTTCTAAAGAGAAAAGCAACAGAGAAGTCACGCTTGAACTTTCAAGGCTGACTGTGGAGGAAGGGATCAGGGACCAAAAGGCTCAGAGATGCAGCTGGAAGAATCGGTCTGCTCTAGGAGACTGGAAACCCCACCATCTGCCAGTGTTCCTTGGAAGGGCTGGAGGACACTTACCATGGTGACAAGGAGCTTGCTGGTGAGGGTAGCACCAGTATTGCTAAAAAGCTCAGTGGTAGCCATCCTCAACAAGCCAGGTCTGGTGGTCGGAGATGCTACCACGGAGCAGGGCTCTCCAGGAGCAGGAGGGATGCTAGAATCTTGACTAGCAAGGACCAGGCAGCAGCACTTCACTGCAGCACTTGCTTCTTCAAGGTGGGTATAATTACTGTAATAGAATGAGCCACAAGGTCAGAACAAAGAGAAAGGGGGTAAGTGTTCTAATTTTCAGAGATACATGGACTGAAGATGGCCAATAGGACAGGATGTCCCTAGAGGCAGAGTAGATGGGCAACTATCCAGAGTACTGCTCAATATACATAAATAAAAGGGTTAAGAATGGATTCATACTCAAATGTCCAACCGTGGATGAATGGGCAAACAAAATGTCCCATATTCATACCATGGAATATCAATCAGCCATAAATGGGAAGTTGCCTGACACATGCTACAACCCAGATGAAGCTGTTCTCAACATCATGCCAAGTGAAAGAAGCCAGGCACAGAAGGACACACATCGTAGGATTCCATTTGTATGAAATGTCCAGTATCTGGCAAATCCATACAAAGAGAAGTAGACTAAACACCACTGAATTACACACTCTAAAATGATGAATTTTATGTTATAAAAAGAAAAAACCAAGAGGAGTTCACAGAAAGTCGTGGTCCTTTGCCCATTTTCCAGTCTTGAACCTGTTTTTGGACCAAGAACCCATTGACATTGACTAAAGCAGGGCCTGGTTTCTGTTAGAAAGAACCCCGTAACACTATGGTGAGTATATACAGTAGCGAGGCCTCCAGTCTTTCTCCATAAAGACCCATGGCATTCTACTTGAGTAACCACCACACTCTGGAAAAAGTAACCAGGTTTTTGAGGGCAGTTGGCTATGGTCTGAGCCAATACTCATATCTGAAGTGCCATCATGCCTCTCCTGTTAGGACGGGGACTGTGGGAATCAGGTAACAAATGACCCAATCCGTCTCACAGTGTGTCCACTGGGCCCATGAAACCACCAGTGGTTATGTCCTGAATTAGTTTAATTAGTATGGACTTACTTGGCAGTTGGCAGAACCCACAAATTGCTTCTTTGACCTGTGGAGCCTATTGGAGAAGGCCAAGTGGAAGCCCCTGAATTTCCCCCGTCAGCCAAGACAGAGAGTAAATCAAAAATGATGGGGCCAGGCGCAGTGGCTCCCACCTGTAATCCCAGCACTTTGGGAGGTGGAAGCAGGAGGATTGCTTGAGGCCAGCAGTTCAAGACCAGCCTGGGCAACACAGACTCTATCTTTCAGGCCAGGCATGGTAGCTCACACCTGTAATCCCAGAACTTTGAGAGGCCAAGGTGGGCAGATCACTTGAGCTCAGGAGTTTGAGACCAGCCTAGGCAACATGGTAAGACTCTGTCTCTCCAAAAAGTACAAAAATTGCTGGGCACAGTGGCTCATGCCTATAATCCCAGCACTTTGGGAGGCCGAGACGGGCAGATCACCTTAGGTCGGGAATTCGACACCAGCGTGACCAAAATGGAGAAACCCCATCTCTACTAAAAATACAAAATTAGTCAGGCGTGGTGGCACATGCCCATAATCTCAGCTACTTGGGAGGCTGAGGCAGGAGAATCGCTTGAACCTGGGAGGCAGAGGTTGCAGTGAGCCAAGATCACACCATTGTATTCCAGCCTGGGCAACAAGAGCAAAACTCCGTCTCAAAAAAAGAAAGGAAAAAAAGTACAAAAATTATCTAGGTGTGATAGCACATACCTATAGTCCCAGCTAACTGGGAGTGCTGAGGCAGGAGAATCCCTTGAGCCTGGGAGGCCGAGGCTGCAGTGAGCCAAGATTGCACCACTGCACTCTGGCCTGGGTGACAAAGTAAGACCCTATCTCAAAAAAAAAAAAAAAATCAACAAAAAACAAAACAACAAAAAAAGAAAGACTCCATCTCTACAAAAATAAAGTAAAAAACTTTAAAAATTATATTATGCCCAGGGAAGGTGTAATGGAGGACTATCAGCTAGTTGGACCACCATCAAAGATTTTAAGAGTGCCAAGGTAGTGGTCCCCATCCTATCCCCATTTAATTCACTAGAATTTGAATCATTAGTATCTTCCCTGCAGAGACCGCATGGATTATGGTGGATGAGAGTGGACTACCATAAACTTTCCCATGCAGCAGCTCAGTTGCAGCTGCTGCGCCACATGGAGCTTCTTCATCGGAGCAGATGAACACAGACTTTGGTATGGGTATGTAGCTGTTGATCTGGTGAACGCCATCTGTTCCATACCCATCAGAAGGAGGGTCAGAAGCAGCTTGTATTCACGTGTGGTAGACAAAGCAAACATTCAGAGCTTTGCCCATGGGGTAGGTTGATTCTCCTGTCCTCTGATATAATATGGTCTTCAGGAAGGGAATGGGGCTCTATGAACTTTCCGCAGAGCAGCTCACTGGTCCATTGTGTTGGTGATACCATGGTAACTAGACCTGAAGGGCAGGAAGTGACAAGTTCTCTTGATACCACGGAAGATACGATCTCTTGAGGGTAGGAGATAAACCTAGAAGGATTCAGGGGCCTGTCCCATTTGTAGTGTTTCTAGGAGCCCAGGAGTCTAGGGAATGATGTATTACACTTGCAAATAAAGGGTGAGTTGTTCCACCTTGGACTTCTAGGTCTGAGAAGAAAAAAAGCAATGAGTAGTGGGGTTTTTCGGTTTTGGAGGCATAATACTCTGCATGTGGCAACTGGTCTACCCATTTTCCAGTTGACACAGAATGTTGCTAGTTTGGGCTAGTTTTGAGTGGCTCCCAGATCCAGAAGGGGTTCTGCAGGAGCCAGACTACAGAACAGGCAGCTTTGATTCTTGGGCTAGATGAACCACAGGCAGACTCCAGATCTCATCATCCAACTCTGGGCATTGCCATCTCTTCCTTCACCTCTAACTTCATGCCTCACACCTCATGGGCCTTTCCATGATCAGGTAACAGTGGAGGAAAAAGCCCGAGCTCAGTTCATGGATGGATCAACCCAGTATGTCAGGGCAAGACAAAGACAGACAGTACCTGCACCACAGCACCACGCAGGGTTGCTGCAGTAGTCACCATCTGCCGACGATGAACATCTTCCTAATGGGCAGAGCATTCTGTGGTGCACCTGGTCATTCACTTCATGTTTCCAAGGCCCAAGGTAAAAACATCCGTGGATTTATGGGCAGTGGGGAGTGGCTGGGCTTATGGTCAGGAGCCTGGGAGGAGACCAGAAGTTCAGGGACAGAAAGGCCCCAGGGAAGAGGTAGTGGATAGACGTATGAGGGTGCGCACGGGGTGTAAGGATGTTTGAATCCACCCGGGAGAGGCACTAAGTAATCAAATGGACAAGGTTACTTGGCCAGTAGATGCCAGTCCTCCTCTGCGTTTGCCACCCAAGTGTTAGTGCGATGGAGGACAGAGCCATGGCAGGGGCTGTGCATGTCTGAGCCTCGTTTTTTTTTTTTTTTTTTTTTTTAGACGGAGTCTCGCTGTGTCGCCCAGGCCGGAGTGCAGTGGTCTGATCTCGGCTCACTGCAAACTCCGCCTCTCAGGTTCACGCCATTCTCCTGCCTCAGCCTCCTGAGTGGCTGGGACTACAGATGCCCACCACCATGCCCGGCTAATTTTTTGCATTTTTAGTAGAGACGGGGTTTCACCCTGTTAGCCAGGATGGTCTCAATCTCCTGACCTTGTGATCCGCTCACCTCAGCCTCCCAAAGTACTGGGATTACAGGTGTGAGCCACCGCGCCTGGCTAAGCCTCGATTTTAACAGGGTCTTTTATTGTTATTACTTGATGCTCTTTGCCTCTAATAAAATGCTTATGCCAAAATAGTCTTTTGTCTGATATTAATGTAATGACATCCCCTTTCTTTGAACCCCTATGTTTTTTCCAACCTTTCACTTTCAACAGTCCTGTAACCTTGTGTTTTACAAGTCTCTCATAGCTGGCCAGGCGAGGTGGCTCATGCCTGTAATCCCAGCACTTTGGGAGGCCAAGGCAGGAGGATCATTTGAGGTCAAGAGTTCGAGACCAGCCTGGCCAACATGGTGAAACCCCATCTCTACTAAAAATACAAAAATTAGCCAGACGTGATTGGGAGCGCCTGTAATCCCAGCTGTGTGGGAGGCTGAGGTGGGAGAATCACTTGAACCCAGTAGGTAGAGGTTGCAGTGAGCCGAGATCACACCACTGCATTCCGGCCTGGGCTACAGAGTGACTCTGTCTAAAAAAAAAAAAAAGAAAAAAAAACTGTATAGCTGTAATTTTTAAAATCTAGTTTGAGCAACTTAGTCTTTTAGCTGGAATATTCAGTCCATATATATAAAGTAATTGTTTATATATTTGGATTTTAATCTAACCTGTAATTGTATACTTGCTTTGTTTCCTTATCTTTTCTCCCTTCTTTAAGTATACTTATTTTTTTCTTCTCCATACCCTTGCTCCAATCTTTTAATGAATACCCTAGAATTCCAAATATAAAATTAAGAATTAGAATAATGTATTAACATATACTATGAATTCTTAATATATAAGACTCTGAACTCAATACCTTTTTGCCCTCCACTCAGATAATAGAAGGGCCTTGGAACCCATGAGCTCCATGTAACTTGTGCTTGGAATATAAGTTTTCTTATCTAGATCTTTAATTCTGTTTTGGTTTTCTTAATTCCACTAGACATTATTAATACTGCTTGCTATAGTTTGAATACTTGTCCCCTCCAAAATTCATGTTAGAATTTAACCCCCAGTGTGGCAATATTGAGAGGTAGGGCCTTTAAGAGGTGCCTGGGTCATGCAGGTTCTGCTCTGATAAAAGAATTAGTCTATTCATGAATTAATGGGTTATCATGGGAGTGGGACTGGTGGCTTTATAAGAGGAAGAGAGACCTGAGCTAGTGCACTTAGTCCCCTCCCCTTGTGATGCCCTGAGCTGCTTTGGGACTCTGCCACGGGTCCCCACCAGCAAGAAGGTCCTCGCCAGATGCGGCCCCCAACCTTGGACTTTTCAGCCTCCATAGCTGAAAAAAATAAATTACTTTTCTATATAAATTACCTAGTTTCAAGTATTCTGTTCTAAGCAATAGAAAACAGATTAAGACATTGCTTTATGAAATCAATGGTTGTTTTTATTCACCCTCTCAGTACTTCCTGTTCTTCACTCCTTCTTCCTCCTCAAACCTTCCTCTGAGACCACTTTCCTTCTCACTGAAATGCATCTTTCAGAAATCCCTTCAGGAAGAGTCAGCTGGTGATGAACTCCCTCAGTCTTTATACTGCCCCTATTCTTGAAAAAACTTTTCCCTGGGTAGAAAATTCAGCCCTATGAAACCTGCCTCCCACTTCCCTGTCTTCAGTCACCTTTGATTGAAGTACCTGGTGCAGGTGCCCCGACTGCTGCCTGAGGTGGCTGCCTGCTGCTTCACCCTTACCCCAAAGGTGTTGGCCTTCAGTGTGGGAAGGGCCTCCACCCTGACTCCCCACCTTGGGTGGCCCCTGAGCCTCAACTCTGTCCCTTAAGGCCAAAGAGCCTTCAAAGGCCCCAGTATTCTTATCCCTCTTAATGCATGCTTTCCCCAGAAGCTGGCCTGGCAGTTCTTCATTATCTTGCTGGTTCTTTGGCACTTTTAAGATAGTATATTTATAGCAAACGCTGGTGAGGCTATGGAGAAAAGGAAACTCTTATACACTATTCGTGGGAATGTAAACTAGTACAGCCACTATAGAGAACAGTACAGAGGTTCCTCAGAAACTACAAACAGCATTACCATATATCCAGCAATTCCACTACTGAGCATTTACCCAAAGGAAAGGAAATCAGAATATTGAAGGTACATCTGCACCCCCATATTTATTGCGGCACTATTCACGACAGCCAAGGTATCAAATCAACCTATCTGTCCAACAACAGATGAATGGATGAGGAAAATGTGATATATACACACAATGGAATACTATTCAGCCATAAAAAAGAAGCAAATCCTGTCATTCATGGCAACATGGATGGAACTGGAGGACATGATGTTAAGTAAAATAAGCCAGGCACAGGAAGTTAAACACCACATGCTCTCACTCATATGTGGAAGCTTAAAAAAGTTGATCTCATAGAAGTAAAAAGTGGAACAGAGCACACTGGAGGCTGGGAAGGGTAGGGGAAGGAGGGGCTAGGAAGAGATTTGTTAAAGGATTAAAAACTACATCTGGGCTGGGCTCAGTGGCTCACGCCTGTAATCCCAGCACTTTGGGAGGCCAAGGTGGGCAGATCACTCGAGGTCAGGAGTTTGAGACCAGCCTGGCCAATATAGTAAAACCTCCTCTCTACTTAAAATACAAAAATTAGCCAGCATGGTGGCATGCACCTGTAGTCCCAGCTACATGGGAGGCTGAGACAGGAGAATTGCTTGAACCTGGGCGGCAGAGATTGCTGTGAGCTGAGATTATGCCACTGCACACCAGCCTGGGCGGCGACAGAGTGAGACTCAGTCTCAAAAAAAAAAAAAAAAAAAAAAGCTACATCTGGATAGGAGGAATAAATTATAAATTCTAATGGCCTCTAGCACTGTAAGATGACCATCGTTAACAATAATATAATATATAGTTTCAAGTAGTTAGAAGGAAGATATTGAATGTTCCCAAGACAAAGAAATGATAAATGTTTGAGATGATGGGTATGCTAATTACCCTGATTTGATCACCATACATGTATTAAAACATCACTATGTATCCCCAAAATATTTAAAATTATTATACATCAATTAAAAGATAAATAAAATACAAAATTTTTAAAGAATATTTTAAATATGTTCTAACATTTCCAGTTGTTTCCAGCAGGCAGGTTTGTCTGAATTACCCAGCTCCTTTTCCCAGACTGGGGTCCAGATGATGTCACCTTGTATTTCCTGTTACTTTTCTCTGGACACATCTGGACACATGATTTAGTCCCTATCTCATGATGAACATTTTTGGATGCGGCCCTTTAAGGGCGGTTTTTCTGTTGCATCTTTTCTTCCAAAGTAACTCTTACTTAGCAGTCCAACAAGTAAGGCAGAAAGAAAAAATGAGCTCTCCCGGGTGAAGCAGGGGTGAGGGTCCAGAACTCTCTTTGCTCAGCCTACCTCTCCTACCCCTATCAGCCTTGAGCTCCTCCTGGAAACATTCCTGGGACTCGAAAATCATTACCCTAAGAACTTAGTAATTAGTTGATTAGTTGATTAGTAAATCAACATGAATTCACTATTGCCCATACCCTGAGGAAATCCGAAGGGCAGTGTTGAATGCGTCCATCCTGCTCTGCTCAGGGAAAAGAGTTGCTGAGTCTGAGGCAGGGGCTCTTCTTGCTTGGGGAAGAGGCCCTTGGTGCTGTGGGGCATACAGGAGTTCTCATGACTATGGCAACCACAGGGCGCCATGAACAGCTGTACAGGTTGCACACTACTCAAAGACTCCTTTGAGTCAGGGGGCAAGCAGGTTCTGAAATCTAGTGCATGCCCTGCACTAGATTAGGTTAGGTCTCTTTTTTTTTTTTTTTCGCATGAATATTCCATAGAGGCAACAGTGGCCCTATGACCAGGATGAAATGTCATCATCACTCCACCCGCCTTTTTGAGCTCAGTCCCTATGCTTACTGCGCCTCTTTGTGACCCTGCAGACTCCACGGCAATTCTGACTTCAGGAAGGGGGGCTCTGGATTGGGGACCTAAGTATTCTAATCTGGAAGGAAACCTCTGCATGGAGCACAAGGGAACTCGTATCTGGCTTCTGTATTTTCATCCCTTATGCTGGGGGTTGGGGGTATGACTCATTCCCTCTGGACCAAGCGGGATTCCAGGAACTGATGATCTGGCCATGGGCCCTGAAACCACCAGGAGGCTCTTGGGAAATGCACCCAGCCTTCTTCAATCAAGCTGGTGTCTGCGTGGCCCTCCCGAGCTGGCTGGAATCCAGCCTTAACTTTCCCTCCACCCATCTCCCACTGCTCCAGTGACAATGCTCACAATGAAAGCCAGCCAACAGGGGACAAGGTTGCCAGCGGGGCTGAACAGCCCCCTCGGCCCCCTGGCCCGGCCCGTGGGGAGCTGGCAGCCGCGGTGACGGGAAAACACACATTGTTTGGGGGCGTTGCGGATACAGTACAGATTATTTTTAGCAAATTGTTCTGACTTAGTGAAAAACCTGAAAGATAGTGTTGATAATCATTCTTATTTTAGTGCCGCAGATGGCACTGCTATAATTACACCCTTGTTTCTGGGTGACTCTGCTGTTCCCATAAGAAGACACCTTGCCTGATGCAGAAATACATCATTGAAGGTTGTCTTCATTTTTTAATTTCGGGCTCAATCTTTTCCTTTTTACCCTTAAGTATTAACCACATTTGTTGAGAAAGAGTAAATTATTCACATGTCTCTCATGCTAATATTAGCCTGAAGATAACTGAAAGGTTTGGGGCCTCTTTGTTCTCTGATCCGAGTGTCAGGCGGGAATGACCCGCGGCTCTAGGCCTCCTCCTCAGAGGTGCTTCCCGGGCCCTGAGCCAAGTCAGGCTCTGTGCAATCTCATTTCATCCTGCACTTGCTTTCAAATCGGTGTTTTCCATTTGTAATTATGTACTTATCTGTGAAATACTTGGACCAACGCCTGTCCCGCTCCTGGGCCATAAGCTCCACAGAGAAGGGGCTGGAGTATTTTTTGTTCATGACATGTCCCCAGTGCCTAGAACAGAGACATCTGTGAAACGTAAGAAGGAATGGGAAAGCCACCACTGCAGGTGGGCGTCTAAGGAACCTGCAGCCTCTAGCTCTCTTCCCGGTCCTCCCATCCTTGGGCTCATCACCACTGAAAGCCTTTGGCCGATACTTGGCCTATCTCTGTAACTTCAGTTTTCCCATCTGACGAACAGAATTAATAAAATATGCCCAACTTACAGCAAAGAGATAGCACGAGACTAATAAGGAACATGTAAGTGTGATAAGACTGAAAAGGGGAAGCAGATAGGAGCCAACTATTCTATTCTTAAAATTAGAATTGAAGGCCATGTGCGGTGGCTCACACATATAATCTCATCCCACTTAGAGAGGCCGAAGTGGGCCGATTGCTTGATCTTGGGAGTTCGAGACCGGCCTGGGCAACATGGTGAAACCCCATCTTTACCAAAAATACAAAAATTAGCCATAAGTGATGGCACGTGCCTGTAGTCCCAGCTATTTAGGAGGCTAAGGTGGGAGGATCACTTGAGCCCAGGAGGTCAAGGGTGCAATGAGCTGTGATGGCACCACCGCACTCCAGCCCGGGTGACAGAGTGAGACCCTGTCTCAAAAATAAAATAAATAGATAACAATTTTAAAAAGTAATATATAGATATAGATATAGATAGATATAGATTGATTGGAGTGAGGGATACAGACAGAAGAACTGGAATTCCACTGAGAGCCTAAGTCCCTTGGGAGCAGGTGTTTCTTCAAGACCTTATCACAGCCGCAGCCTGAAGCTCAGAGTCTCTCACACAGTAGGTGCCCAGTTGATGAGCTGCGCTCAGTCAGCCTTCAAGATGACCCCCAGCATGACCCCCAGTGATCTCGCTTCCCAGCCTTCACAGCCTCATGTGGAATCCTCCCACACTGCATCTAGGACCCAGAGAATACAGCAGAAGTGATGACATGCCGCTTTCAAGGCTGGGTTCTGAAAGGCACCATGGCTTCTCTCTTGGTTATGTTCTCTGTCTGTGTTTCTCTGTCTCTCTGTTTCTATCTCTGTATGATCACTTGCTCCAGGAAAAGCCACCTCCTGAGCAGCCATTTGGAGATGCCCATGTGGAGAGGAACAGAGGCCTCCAGCCCACAGTCACATAAGTATGCATAAAAGCAGTTCCTCCACCCCAGTCCAGTCTTCAGAGACCACTGCCCCAGTCAACAGCTCAACTATAATCTCACACGTGTCCTCGACACTCAGAATAATGAGCTAAGCCGCTCCCAAATCTCTGACCTTCAGAAACTATGTGATATATACATGTGTGTTGTTTTAAGCTGTTAAGTTCTGGGGCCATTTGTTATGCAGCAATAGAAAACTAATACACCACCCACCCACATCTCTGCCTCCTGGCTCTGCTGAATTGGGGCTGGGGCTCAGCCTCCCCCTAAGCTGCCTCCAGCAGTCAAGCCCCTTCTCTGCCTCCCACCTCTCTGGTTCCCACTTCCTCCCTCCCTTGCAGACCACCCTTCTGCCCCTTCCTCAGCAAGGGCCACTGACAGGGGCCAGCACAGACCCCAGCGGAGGAAAGGGAAGGGCCACGAGAACCAGGATCTCACCTGGTCCTTGAACTCGGGGGACTCATGGCTCTGTCTCCTGGCATGAGATGGAACCTCGACCTTGCTCCCACCACATTGACTCAGCCTTGTTTCCTGAGAGGCAGAGGCCCTCACCCAACCTCCTTTCCCCTCCATCCTTCCAATCCCACCACAAAGGAGCCATGCTATCCCTTGCTTTCTCCAAGCTGCCTAGAGACCATCACTCTCCTAGTCCCACCACAGTCTCTCCCATGCACCTCAGCACTGGGGGCTGGATTCTTCTGCGGGCCATTTCCCACCAACAAATGCAACTGCCACAGCTTGGCAGGAGTTCCTGCAGAAGAGAGAAAAGCCCCGCTGGCTTCTCACACCCAGGATGTCTGCCTCTAGTTGCCCACTGGATGGAAACGTCTTCCATTTCTTAAAGACTCAAACTCCCCAGAGTCTCCTGGTCCCCCTGATGCTGACTGCCCTCACTCCTGCACCCGCATCCCATTCTCCAAAGAGCTCACAATGGCAGCCAGCAACTGGCAGGGCTGCCTCTTCCTTTCCTCATTAATTTTGTATTTTTAGAAAAGTGATGCACACATGTAGTATACAGTCCAAACAATTATGCAGCATTCTCTCCCTGGCGCTCTCATTCCAGAGTCCAGAGGCCACCACTTTCCTTCTTTAAATCTGCTTCTGAAAACATAAGGAAATATGGCTATTTTTATTTATTATATCTTGACATTATTTGCTGACTTTCTACCACAATAGTGGTGATTCGACACTTGCTTTCCACTGTATTCCCACTTTCCTCCCCCACCCATCATCCCAATATATCTTTAGATCATAATTTTGGGTTAATAATCAGTGTTTACATTACTAGGACTATCAAATTGTGTTAATTGCAGAGCCCAATAGTGTGCAATGAACTTGTTCCTTTCTCATTATCCACTCCTGCTGCCTGCCCCAGAGGAAAATGCTTCCTTCTATCATTCACTTAGTTGTCAATGTCCTTAAGGCTAACTCTCCCCCAAATACTTCCATATTTCTGCCAAACACCTATCAACAACTGCTTCAAACTCTAACACATCCCATAGGCTGGCAGTTCCGCCTTCCCTGGAGGCCTTCTTCCCAGGGCCCTCTGACTTCCTGTTCTGTTGCTACAAACTGCCACCTTGGGGTCTCTCTTGGTCTCCCCGTTGGGCTAGGTCCTGCTTCCTGCACCCCAGGTCCTCCTGTCTCTTGGTTTACTTGATTGTTTGGGTGGGACGCATCCTCCACTATCTCCTGAGGAAGGATACACAGAAGGCAAAGGTTTTAAAGATGTTGTATGCCTAGAAATGCAGTTATACTATTTTATACTTGAAAAATAATTTGGAAAGATATAGAAATTTAGGTGGAAAATGATTTTCCATCAAAGTTTCAAAGGCATTATTCTATTGTCACCTGTCTTCCAGTGCTGCCATCGTGAAGTCTAATGACATTTCATCCTTAAATCTTTGTGTGTATTGTTCTTCTCCCCTGCAACCTCCAGCTTGCGAGGCTTTCTCTTCATCCTGAATGCTTTCAGATTGTATGGTGACATGCCTTGGTGTAGAATTCTAAAATGGTGGTCCTTAACAGGCTCTTTCCGTTCAGAGGCTCCCATCCTTCACTTGGTAATTTTCTTGTATTATTTATTTGAAAATGTCTCCCCCTTGTATCTGGTCTCACCTTTTGTAACTCTAATTAGTGGAACCCCAAATCATCTGATTGACATGCTAGTTGTCTTTGGTGTCTTATTGTCAATCTTTTTGTCTTTTTTCTAGCAATTTTCTTGACTCCACCTTCTATCTTATTTATTAAATGTCCTCTTTCTTGTGCTTTGATGATCCCTTTCTCCTAGAATGCCAATCTTTTTTTTGTGTGTGTGTGTCTGTGGTCTTGCTCTGTTGCCCAGTTTGGAGTGCAGTGGCGTGATCTCAGCTCACTGCAACCTCCACCTCCTGGGTTCAAGTGATTCTCCTGTCTCAGCCTCCCGAGTAGCTGGACTACAGGCATGCGCCACCATGCCCAGCTAATTTTTGTATTTTAAGTAGAGACAGGGTTTCACCATGTTGGCCAGGCTGGTCTCGAACTCCTGACCTCTGGTGATCTGCCCGCCTCAGCCTCCCAAAGTGTTGGGATTACAGGTGTGAGCCACCACACCCAGCCTAGAATGCCATTCTTGTTTCCTGGATGCAATCTCCTCTATCAGCTCCCAAGAATGTGACTGACAGGGGCTTCATGTTGAGCTTTGCTCTGCCCCTTCCCTCTGCTTCCTCTGAGTGCCTCTTCCCTATGTGTTGCTGGTTGTGCTCCATGTTGGCTGCTTCACTCCTGTGTTCAGTGACCGTGGGCAGTTGGTTCATCTCCAAGGGCACAGCCCTGAAGAGCTCACTGAAGACTTCTTGCTGGCAGGGGATGGTTATAGACTGGTGGCTATAGCAGATTCTTTGTTGGGCAACCCTTACCTGCAAACATGTTTAGGTCTCCTCTCTAGGAACATATGTCCTGCCTGGTACTTGTAGGTCATGCTGCCAACTTCCTGGGAGTAGAGTCGGGAGGGGGTCTTGGGGATCTCCTCAGTGTAGGTGAAGTCTTTCTTCTTATACCTCGACCCCTTTTTAGTCCAGAACCCCACCCCTGCCTTCTGCTGTCCTTCAGCCCCTGAGCCTAGAGCCACCTTTCTACAATTTCCCCAAAGAACAAACTTCCAGGCTTGTCTGAGGCATGCTGTGGAAGGAACCTGGGATCTCAATGGCTTCCCAGACAGAGTGCTGATCAAGCCCCCTGGTTTGGCCTCCACTGCCCCTGCCCCATGGCCTCTGTAGTGCCAGCTGTCTCCACTTGCCCAGGCTTCTGGGTGGGACCAAATGAATGGCCTTGATTATTAGCAGCATCGTCCCTCCTTGCCTTCACCTGTCCTTGGGTCCTAGCTTTGTCCCATCTGTTCCCCTCACTCACATCTCAGTCTACCTATCAAGAAAATGGGGATAACAGTGGTTCCCATCTCCTGGGATTGCTGTGAAGAAGAAATGAGCTCAGGGTGGTGTCATCATCACCAAGATGGAAATAACCTGGGCAGCCCCTCGGGCAAGCTCTGTCCCCAGTGTGTGTTCTGTTCTGCTCACACAGACCCAGAAAGAGGAGCCAGCCAGGTGACAGTATGAAACACACATGTTGAGTGTGCAGAGCCGGGAACTCTGTTCCTTGCACGTGCTCCAGGCCCTGCCAATGGTGCATGACCAGTCACCAGCCAAGCATGGCGCTGAGAACGTATGTGGCCTCCCTGAGGCTTTGCTCAGTCCCCTCCCTCCACACCCACAGAAAGAGGTGTGCACACATGCAAAATAGCAATAATAATAGTATGAGATGGCAGCTGAGACCTGTGCAGCTGATGACAGTTTGAAAGAAGGATGAGCAGGCTCTCTGCCATCTGCCCACCAACTTTTCAAGTTACTTTTACCCACCTTCAAAATTACATCTGCTTTTAGCAAGAATTACTGATGTGATAAAGATGGGAGTGTTCACCATGCAAGGGCAGGTAAGTTGCTCTGTGCCACTGGGGGTTTAACCCTTAAAAGGAGAGGGGTCTCCCTTCAGCTGCTGCAGGATCCTGGTAGAAGGGGGCACAGATGACATGAAAACCCAGGGAGCCATGCCTGCTGCTGGGATCCGGGCTCACCCACCTCGTGCCCCTACCCAAAACTGTCGGGACACGAAGCCTTGCCGGGAGCCTCGAATGCCCAGGGGCTTGGCCAGGCCACAGACTGTGCGGGGAATGTGTGCACACTGCCCACTTTATCCCATGGCTGTGCCCGCCATAGGTTATGCAGCAGCAGTGGGCACGCGCAATTCAGTTGAATTCAGGGAAGCCAGCAAGTGCTAGGGAATTTCGATGGATGACCTAAGCATGGTCAGGTGTCTATTTAGAAAAATATACACGGCCAGGCGCGGTGGCTCATGCCTGTAATCCCAGCACTTTGGGAGGCCGAGGTGGGTGGATCACAAGGTCAAGAGATCTAGACCATCCTGGGCAACATGGTGAAACCCCGTCTCTACTAAAAATACAAAAATTAGCTGGGTTTGGTGGCGCACGTGTGTAATCCCAGCTACTCATGAGGCTGAGAAAGGAGAATCGCTTGAACCCGGGAGGCAGAGGTTGCAGTGAGCTGAGATGGCACCACTGCACTCCAGCCTAGTGACAGAGCGAGACTCCGTCTCAAAAAAAAAAAAAAGAAAAGAAAAATATACACTTAGGAGGGCGAGGCAGGCAGATCACTTGAGGTCAGGAGTTCGAGACCAGCCTGGCCAACATGGTGAAACCCTGCCTGTCTCTACTAAATATACAAAAATTAGCTGGGTGTGGTGGCGCACACCTGTAGTTCCAGCTACTCAGGAGGCTGAGGCAGGAGAATCGCTTGAACCCGGGAGACGGAGGGTCCAGTGAGCAAAGATTGCAGCGCTGCACTCCAGCCTGGGCAACAGAGCAAGACTCTGTATCCAAAAAAACAAAAACAAAAACAAAACAAAAAAACAAAAAAGCAAAACAACAAAAAAAAAACCACTTAATGTACATGATGTGGTAGAAGAAAAGCACTTATTAGTGAGAATTGCCGCCTCCTCCTAAGAAGAGTGTCCCCTACTGCAGGGTGCTTTGCTTCTTAATCAGGCTCAGGAGGGAGGGTCTGAGGCCATTGAGACCATGCCTGGAACAAGGAGGCAGACAGCCAGGCTGGTGACTACAGAGTGCCACGCACACACAGGGGGTGGAGCCAGCACCTCTGTGCTCCACCTATGAAGTGGCCGGCAGTCCTTCCCAGGAGGGTGTGAGCTGAGGTCTCCTGGGTACACCAGCCAGCCCACGGCACAGAGCCTGCCTGTTGGTCTCTACCCACAGGGGATCCCCTGCTGCTCCACCATCAGATTTGGGACACCACCCCCCCCGGCCCCACCAGAGGGCATCAGCTATGCCTAGGTAAGTGCTCATCTTAGGGACAAGTAAGAACATAATCAACTGCAGAAATGTCTGCAGGTCTGGCAGGCTCTGCCTCTGCTGCCCCATGCAGACTTCAGCCCAGGGCACCCTTCCTGGTGCTGCACTGGCTGTGTTGTGGATCTGCCTTTCCAGGGCTGGCCTTGTAGACCCTGACCCAAGGAGCAGCTGGGCTGGTCCCACTTCCAACCAGCAGCAGGCAAGGGTGGGACAGAGCCAGACTGCAGCCTCCCCAAGGCATGGCTTTGAGTGTTTTAAAAAACTTAAAATGGCCGGGCATGGTGGCTCACGCCTGTAATCCCAGCACTTTGTGACGCCAAGGTGGGTGGATCACCTGAGGTCAGGAGTTCAAAACCAGCCTGGCCAACTTGGTGAAACCCCATCTCTACAAAAAATTCAAAAATTAGCTGAGCATGGTGGCAGGCGCCTGTAATCCTGGCTACTCGGGAGGCTGAGGCAGGAAAATTGCTTGAACCCAGGAGGCAGAGGTTGCAGTGGAGATTGTACCATTGCACCCTAGCGTGGGTGACAGAGTGAGACTCCCTCTCAAAAAAAAACCCAAAAAAACAAAAGAACTAAAAATGTCCTTTATGCTTGGAGTCAAACATTCCAACAGAATAAAGGAGACAATAGGAATGCTACCACCCCAGACCCCAGGCCACTTACCTGACGGTCTCAGTCAGCTCAGGCTGCTATGACAAAGGACTATAGACTGGGTGGCTTATAAATAGCAGGCATTTATTTCTCATAGTTCAGGAGGCTGGAAGTCCCATATCAAGGTGCCAGTATGGTCAGGTCATGGGGAGGGCTCTCTTCAGGTTGCAGATGGCCACGTGGCAGGGAAAGAGGAAGAGAGCTTGGGGTCTCCATCCTCTTGACCTAAACTCCCAAGGGTTCCACCTCCTAATGCCATCGCACTGGGGCCGAAAATTTCTACATATGAATTTGGGGGGAGGAGTACACAAACATTCAGTTCATAGCACCAGAGAAAACACACTAACGTCCATATTTTATGCATCCTACCAGGAGTTTCTGTGTGCACACACACATACACTCATTCGAACAAATGAGATAAATCTATACACATACCCTCTAGCTTCCTCTTTTTCATGAAACAATATACTCTGAAGATTGCTGTGTTTCATAGACCTAAATATACCTCCTTCTTTTTTTTTTTTTTTTTTTTAGACGGAGTTTCACTCTGAAGTTTCACTCGGAGTTATCCAGGCTGGAGTGCAGGGGCGTGATGTTGGCTCACTATAAACTCCGCCTTCCGGGTTCAAGTGATTCTCCTGCCTCAGCCTCCCAAGTAGCCAGGATTACAGGTGCCCGCCACCACACCTGGCTAGTTTTTGTATTTTTAGCACAGATGGGGTTTCACCATGTTGGTCAGGCTGGTCTCGAACTCCTGACTTCAAGTGATCCATCTGCCTCAGCCTCCCAAAGTGCTGGGATTACACCTTGAGAGCCACCACACATGGCCACCTCCCTCTTTTTTAATGACTGCATGGTAATGCAGACCTAGGGATGTGATGTAATTAATCTTGATAGTGCTTAAGTTGTTCCTATCCTTTTCCAATCACTACAATGCTTTGATGAGCCTCTGTATTACATGTCTTGACAAGACTCTGAAGTGGGCTTGCTGGGCCAGAGCACATATGTGTGTAGTTCTGGTAAATGTGACTACATTCCCCCATGGAGCATGTCCCTTCAGCTCACTTGAAAGGCGATTGTCAAAGTTTGGAACTTGCTGATCTGATAGCAGAAAGTAGGATTTCATTGATATTTCAGTTTGCGTTTCTGTTATTGTGATGACAGTCAGCATATTTTTGAATGTTTAGAGGCATTTTTCTTTTCTGGGAAGGATTTCTTCCCATTGCCCATTTTCCAATTCAGTTGTTGGATTTCTTTCTCTTTGATTTTTAGTGGCCCTTTGCCTGTGACATAAGTTGCATATATTATTATGCATATGATTCTGTTTTCACATAGACATAAGCATACCTTATTCTTTTTCATGACTGCAGGGTAAATTCCATCTTACAAATGTGCCATAATTTTTTTCTGTTTATCTTTTTTTTTTTTTTAACTTTAAGCAGGATGTTTTCTGCCATGCAGATATATTTTTTTTCTTATCGGGTAGAATAAATCAATTATGTTGTTTATGGCCACAGGGTTTTGCAAGATCATTAAAGAGTTCACCCCTTTGCAAGATTACAGGGGTGTGTGTGTGTGTGTGTGTGTGTGTGTGTGTGTGTGTGTTTGAGACAGAGTCTTGTTCTGTCACCCAGGCTGGACTGCAGTGGCACAATCTTGGCTCACTGCAGCCTCCACCTTCTGGGTTCAAGTGATCCTCCTGCCTCAGCCTCCTGAGTAGCTGGGACTACAAGCACGCCACCATGCCCAGCTGACTTTTGTATTTTTAGTAGAGTCAGAATTTCATCATGTTTGTTGGGGTGATCTCAAACTTCTGACCTCAAATGATCTGACTGCCTTGGCCTCCCAAAGTGCTGGGATTACAGGCTTAAGCCACCGCAACTGGCCAACAGTTTTGTTTTGTTCGTTTTTTGTTTTTAATCATTTTCTTCCGGTATTTTTTTGGTTTCCATCTTTGATCCATCAGGCTCCTTCTGGAGGGAGTGGGCCAGCATAGCTCCATAAAGCCACATCCCCAGTATAGTAAAAGTCACCACCTGGAAGGCTGTCTGGCCGCCAGCTTTGCACCCCATGATCAGGCCACTATGCCTGAGTGGAATTGTCCCCTAAACACAGCCCCACTGAAAGGTGAAGCCAGCGGGACTTCCTGGGTCCACTGGGAAGTTGGAGAACTTTTCTGTCTTACAAGAGGATTGTAAAACGAACCAATCAGCACTCCGTAGCTAGGATTGTAAAACGCACCAATCAGTGCTCTGTAGCTAGCAAGGGATTGTAAAATGCACCAATCAGTGCTGTGTAAAAACTCACCGATCAGTGCTCTGTAGCTAGCAAGAGATTTGTAAAACACACCAATCAGCGCTCTGTGAAATGGACCAATCAGCAGGATTCTAAAAGTAACCAATCGCAGGGAGGATTGAGAAAAGGGCATTCTGATAGGACAGGAACAGGACATGGGCGGGGACAAATAAGAGAATAAAAGCTGCCTCCCCCCCAACCCTTCTCCACACGGAGCCAGCAGAGGCAACCTGCTGGGGTCCTCTTCCGTGGTGGGGAAGCTTTGTTCTTTTGCTCTTCACAATAGCTCTTGCTGCTGCTCACCCTTTGGGTCCTTGTCTTCTTTGAGAGCTGTAACACCAGGAAGGTCTGGGGCTCCATTCTCAAAATCAGCAAGACCACAATCCCACTGGAAGGAACCAACTCCGGACCCACCACTCCCTCCTATTACAGGCCCACTGCAGGTGCCTTGCTGAGTCTAGTAGAGAATCCTGCCTGAGCCCCGGCCAAGAGTGGGAGCCAGCCAGGAGCGGGGGAGGGAAGGCAAGTGCGAGGGGGAATGGCCCGTGCAAAAAGATCCCCAGCAGGGCACAGCAGGCAACTGAGGACCAAGTCCAGCTGTGCCTACCGAGATCCACTGTGGAGACCATGATGCAGCACACAGAGCACATGGTCCCAGGCAAAACCGAGCAAAATAGAGGACTCCCTGTGCATACCCACCGGCGAGCTACACCTCACACCGGAAGAGGGAGAGCTTGGCGACCTTTTGCGGCGTGCCAGCCCCTCAGGGAAGGCCGGGTTGTGTCACCTGTCGGGCTCAGGCTCCAGTTCTGACTTAAAAACTCTGATGCTCACGCCTGTAATCCCAGCAGTTTGGGAGGCAGAGGCCCACGGATCACGAGGTCAGGAGTTTGAGAGGCACCTAGCCAACAGGGTAAAACCCCGTCTCTACCAAAAATACAAAAATTAGCCGGGCATGGCGGGCACCTGTAATCCCAGCTACTCCGGGAGGCTGAGGCAGGAGAATCGCTTGAAACCAGAAAGCGGAGGTTACAGTGAACCAAGATCACGCCACTGCACTCCAGCCTGGGGGAAAGAGTGAGACTCCATCTCAAACAACAACAACAAAAAACTCTGAGGCTGTTTTCTCATCTGTAGAATGGGGTGACACTACGGCAGCCCCTGACACTGTGAACCCTAACATCAGCAAGCACTTCTCAGTGGGTGTGTTAGAGGAAAGTGGTCCCGATCCAGACCCCAAGAGATGGTTCTTGGATTTTAGGCAAGAAAGAATTCAGGGCGAGTCCACAGAATAAAGTGAAAGTAAGTTTATTAGGAAAGTAAAGGGGTAAAAGAACGGCTACTCCATAGACAGAGCAGCCCCAAGGGCTGTGGGTTGCCCATTTTTATGGTTATTTCTTGATGATATGCTAAACAGGAGGTGGATTATTCATGCTTCCTCTTTTCAGACCATATAGGGTAACTTCCTGATGTTGCCATGGCATTTGTAAACTGTCATGGTGCTGGTGGGAGTGTAGCAGTGAGGACCACCAGAGGACACATCTTGTTGCCATTTTGGGTTTTAGCCAGCTTATTTACTGCAGGCTGTTTCATCAGCAAGGTCTTTATGACCTGTATCTTGTGCCGACCTCGTATCTCATCCTGTGACTTAGAATGCCTTAACCATCTGGGAATGCAGCCCAGTAGGTCTTAGCCTTATTTTACCGGCCCCTATTCGAAATGGAGTTGCTCTGGTTCAAATGCCTCGGACAGGTGCGGAGGGAGGGTGGTGAGTGGAGCCCACCCACCACAAAGTCACACGCACCCACATTCCTTCTGAATCGTATTTTCTAGGCATCTTACTAATATAATCCCCACAACAACGAGCTGCAGAAGGTTGTTTCTCTCACAGATTTCTGCATATTCTCTGTACTTGTAGAATTTGGGGGAACAAGTCAAGTTACACAAGCTAATCCCTGAAACGTGAGCCCCACGGCTCCTCAGCCCTCTCCCAGAGCCGGTGGCCTGCGTGCCAGGTCCCCGACAAATGCTGGCTCCATGGCAGCTGCGATGACTTCCCTCGAGAAGTGCCAGTCCGCAGGGCAATCTCGAGGTCCTCGTGCGGGTGACCAGCTGCGGCACGGCCAGCACGGCACAGGGAGGGAGGGGCTGTGCTGACCCTCAGGTGTCTCGCGGGGGCCCTTGGCGGTCCCAGCAGAGGGTTTGCCCGTGAGAAGGTCTGGAAGTGCTGCTTCTTACAGGGCTGCCTTCAATTATTTCAGCTGCTCCGAGGTATTTCAAAGTCAGACCAAATAAACATTTGTATCTAAAAAAGGCGAAACAGGGTCATTTGAAATGGAGAAGAAAGCCTTTCCCGTATCCGGAGGGTGTGGCCCGACATTCCGGAGCAGCGGCAAGGGTTCTCTCTGGTTCTGTGCCTGTGCCAGGGCACCTACCCCAGCCCCTGCTTCAGGAGGGAAGTTATTTTCTTTTAAATCAAATGTGTGGCGACCTAGGTTTCCTTTCCCTGATTTGCTCCGTGGTCACCCTGGGCCCCCTGCTGCTGTCAGGTCAACATCTTTAAAGGGCTCTCTGTGCTTTTCCTAAGAAGGGGACCACAACAGACTCGACAGGATCCACCGGTTGGGCCCAAGGCAGGAGGAAGGGCGGCGCCCCCAAACTCCCAGGACGCCTGCAGCACCCCCCACGCGCCGCTCTCCGCCTCTGGGGAGCATCCTGCCACCCCCCGACACACACACCCCGGCTACATCCCGCCTTCTCACGCTTGGTCAGGCGCTCTGGAGATGTCGGAGATCCAGGCTTTTCCTAAAGAGTCAGGATTGGAAGGCGGTGAGGGCATCAGGTTTTTTTTCTTCTCTTTTCTTCTAGCAATTACGCCCCCGTGGCTAAATTAAACTCCCATTGGCTAAATTAGGCTCGAAGAGAGGGGCACCTGCTGCTAAGCTGTGTATGTTGTCCCCTAGGACTCCCACCGTTTGCTGAGCTCCACATGACAACAGCAGACGACAGGCCGCACTGATCCCACCTGGCTTACAGGTGCTGTCACACAGGTACGCCTTCTTGTGAATCATCAGTCACCATTTGCCCCTCGCAGCAACCCTGTCTTGGAGGAAGGTCCTTGCCGACACCCGCCTCTCCCCACCCTTAGGCTCCCTTGCTCCTTCATTCAACCATTGTTTACATGTCGTTCAGGACTGCTGACTAAACACTTTCAAGCACAGTGGACCCTTGAACAACGCAGGTTCAAACTGTGCAGGTCCACCCACAGGGATGTTTTTCAATCAGAGTTATACCAAGTGTCCCTGCCTCTCCTGCCTCCCTTCCCACTTCCTCCATGTCTTCCTCTCTGCCACCCTGAGGCAGCAAGACCAGCCCCTCCTCCTCAGCCACTCAACATGAAGACAACGAGGATGAAGACTTCTATGATAATCCACTTCCACTTAGTAAATGCTTTCTCTTATGATATTCTTAATGACATTTTATTTTCCCAAGCTTAGTTTATTGTAAGAATACAGTATAAATACACATACAAAGTACGTGTTAACTGATTTTTTAATGTTACCAGTAAGGCTTCCAGTTAACAGTAGGCTATTTATTAGTTAAGTTTGGAGGGAGCCTGAAGTTATACAAGCTCTGACTGCGTGAGGGGTTGGCTCTCCAACCCTCACATTGTTCAAGGCTCAACTGCACCTCTCCTACCTATCTCCCCCACCCTCTGATGTAGTAGGATAAATATAAAAACACTTAGAAATCCTTGAAAACCAGGAAAAATGCCACCAACAGACTAGAACATTGGAGAATTTCTGGAAGATATAAAGCGGAGGAGATCAGATTCGTGGTGAAACGCAATAGAGCCAATGGCCTGCAGGTGGGAGACCATTTCAAGTCTGGAAATGGGGTAGGGTGGGGGCAGTGGAGAAGGAATGAGTCATGGAGCTTGGATACGGTAATCACACAAACGGCTACCCAGGTGGCTGAGGCAGTGTCCTGCCTGTCCCCAGGGTAAAGTCTGAGTGCAGCATTCAGACTGAAGACAAAGATGCACCAGGAGCCTCCAGAGCCAACACTGGCCCAAAGAGAGAAGCAGGGGCCCGCCCAGGTGACTGCCAGGCACTGTCAGCCACAATGACAGGGAGAGCGGCCCAGATGAGAGGCCCAGGAAGGCACTCTGCCTTTGCAACGTCCTGGCCTGTCTCCATGACCACAGGTGCCCAGTGGTGCCAGGGTTGCCAGACAGTGGTGGTTTAGTTGTGTGCAAGAACTACTCTGCACAGCAAGAATGATTGGTTGAGACTGACAGATCGCAAACACACTGCATTCAGGAACCCTTCACCCTCTCTTAGAAATGGCTGAGGGTCTCAGCGGGCTTTCATTCATATGAGTTTATCTATCAATATTTACGGTAGTAGAAGTTCAAGTGAAAAATAAATAAATATTCATTTATCTTAAAATAATAATGGCATGTTAACATAAATAACACTTATACATGCTGGGTGTGGTGGCTCACGCCTGTAATCCCAGCACTTTGGGAGGCCGAGGCGGGCAAGTCACCTGAGGTCGGGAGTTTGAGACCAGCCTGACCAACATGGTGAAACCCCATCTTTACCAAAAATACAAAAAATTAGCCAGGTGTGGTGGTGCGTGGCTGTAATCCCAGCTACTCAGGAGGCTGAGACAGGAGAACCGCTTGAACCCGGGAGGCAGAGGTTGCAGTGAGTTGAGATGGTGCCACTGCATTGCAGCCCGGGCAACAAGAGTGAAACTCTGTCTCAAAACAAAACAAACAAAACAAAAAAACTCCCCAATGTCTGGCTTAATAGCTGGATTTTCTTTTTTGTTGTTGTATTTTTTTATTTTTATGTATTTATGCATTTAATTTTTATGTATTCATATGTATTTAATTTTTAAAATTTATTTATTGAGACAGAGTCTCACTCTGACACCCAGGCTGCAATGCAGTGGCACAATCTTGGCTCACTGCAACCTCTGCCTCCCAGTTCAAGCAATCCTCCTGCCTCGGCCTCCCAAGTAGCTGGGATTACAGGAATGCACCACCACGCCTAGCTTTTTTTTTTTTTTTTTTTTTGTATTTTTAGTAGAGATGGCGTTTCACCATGTTGGCCAGGCTGGTCTCAAACTCCTGACCTCAAGTGGTCTGTCTGCCTCAGCCTCCCAAAGTGTTGAGATTACAGGCAGGAGCCGCCATGCCCAGCCAACAGCTGGATTTTCATACCTCCTTCTTTCAAGCTGTAGTGATAACACACATCATGTAGACTCTGGAAAACTCCACTGAACACCCATTTGTATATGTGCTGCTGAAGTGAGCACCTGAACACCCATTAGGAAAAACAAGTCTTTTTTATTCCTATTAAATAGTTTTGGCTTTGCAGACACCCAGAAAGAGTCTTAAGAACCCTTAGGGGTCCATGGATCTCACTTTGAAAACCACTCTCTGGACGTTCATTTACAAATGGGATCAGACAATCAAAAATCCCCAGACATTTGAAGGAAACCAACAGCCTGCAGAAGAAGTAGACAGAACGCTGGAGAAAACAGGATAATAATGCAGGAATCAGAAGAAGACATTAAAATCAGCATAATTCATATCCTTTGAAAGGTTCAATAAAATATAACAACCAGTTAGATGGCAAGTGGGCACAGAGCAAATACACAAAAATCAATACTTTCCATAGATACCATTAAATAATCAATAGGAGAGGACATTTGCAATACCAACAACAATCATAAATAATCTAGGCATAGGCATAACCAAAATTCTGGAGAACCTACATGAAGAAAAATGTTTAATCGTATTAAAGGACATAAATTGAGAGATGTATTATGTTTCCCGTAGGAAGCTTCAATATTGTAAAAGTGGCAATTATTTGAGTTGCTCCGTGAACTGTCCTCTGCATTATACTAGGTTGAGTGGGATTTCTGTCAAGAGTATGCACCAAGAGTCATAACTAATATATCTTGTAGGTCAGCAGTCCCCAGCCTTTTTGGCACCAGGGACCAGTTTCATGGAAGACAATTTTTCCACAGACACAGGCTGAGCGGGGGATGGTTTCAGGGTGAACCTGTTCCACCTCAGATCATCAGGCATTAAGAGTCTTTTAAGGAATGTGCAACCTAGATCCCTCATACGCACAGTTCACAGTAGGGTTTGTGCTCCTATGAGAATCTAATGTCGCTGCTGGTCTGACAGGAGGCGGAGCTCAGGTGGTCATGCTCCCGCGCCTGCTACTCATCTTCTGCTATGTAGCCTGGTTCTTAACAAACCACAGACAGGGAATAGTCTGCAGCCCCGGGTTTGGGGACCACTGCTCTAGGTTGAAAGCCGCTCCAAATAAAATAAAGAGACAAGTGACTGATTACAAGATGTTTGCAAGATATATAATAGTCAAAAGGTTAATATACTTAATATATAACATTCCTGGAGTCATAACATTTTAAGACAAAGAACCTTAAAATACAGGCAGATAATAGAAGCTAAATGACAAGTATCTACATGCATGAAAACGAATCAACCTCTGAATTAGTTAGGGTAAAGCTCACCTGCTCTAACAAAGAGGCCTGATGATACAGAGGCTAGAAGAATAAACAGATTTGTTTCTGTATTAGGTTCTCCAGAGAACAGAACCAATAGGAGAAACACACACACACACACACACACATATATATATGATAAGTATGTGTATATTTATCTAATATATATTATAGATCTATATTAGACATTACATAGGCTATATATATACACAGACACACATGCACACACATTTATTTTAAGGAATTTTGAAGAATTTATTTTAGGGAACTGTTGTAAGGGATTTATTTTAAGGAATTGGCTTCTGCGGTTGTGGAGGCTTGGCAAATCCAAAATCTGCAGAGTAAGCCGGTAGGCTGGAGACTGATATTACAAGTTGGAGTTCACAAGCAGTTGGCCAGCAGAATTCCTCCTTGCTCAGAGCAGGTCAGTCTCTTTTCTCTTAAGGTCTTCAACTGATGGGATGAGATCTGCCCACATTGTGGAGAATAATCTGCTTTACTCAAAATCTTCTGATTTAAATGCTAATCTTATCTTAAAAAGTACTTTCACCGGTTGTGGTAGCTCAGGCCTGTAATCCCAGCACTTTGGGAAGCCAAGGTGGGCAGATCACTTCAGGTCAGGAGACCAGCCTGGCCAACATGGTGAAACCCCATCTCTACTAAAAATACAAAAATTAGCCAGGCATGGTGGCACATGCCTGTAATGCCAGCTACTTGGGAGGCTGAGGCACGAGAATCACTTGAACCTGGGAGGTGGAGGTTGCAGTGAGCCAAGATTGTGCCACCGCACTCCAGCCTGGGCAACAGAGTGAGACTGTCTCAATCAATCAATCAATTAATCAATACCTTCATAAAAACATCTAGAATAGTGTCTAATCAAATATCTGAGCGATGTAGCCAGATATTTAAGTTAACACATAAAATGTGCCATCCCTCTTTCTTTCTCAGGTTATGGATCTGAGCTGAGCAGCAGCTCTGCTCCTCCTGGTCCCCCCAAACCCCAGGACCCTTCTCTCCTGCTGCTCGCCTCCCCTTGGGCACTGCCACAGCCAGATTCTAGGCATCTTGGAGGCCGAGGTACAGAAGAGGCTCCTATCACAGGCCTGCTCTTACTCTGTCACTGAGAACTTGGTCCTGTGGACAAGCCTAACTGTAAAGCAGGCTGGAATTGTAGTTGAGCTCAGCAGCTGCTGCCCAGCCACAGATCTGTTGGGTTGGAAGAAAAGGAACATGGATTGTTTTTTCCCTTTAGTGGAGGTGAGGTCTTGCTATGTTGCCCAGGTTGGCTTGAATTCCTGAGTTCAAGCGATCTTCCTACCTTAGCCTCCCAAAGTGCTAGGATTACAGGCATGAGCAAACCAAGAAGTCTCTACCCAACCTCCCTGTTAAAAAGGAAATGTAAACTAAATCCATGAACTACTTTCTTTTTTTTTGCTTATCAGATTGGCAAAAATTAAAAGTTTGTAATCAGTTGTATGTATCAGACAGGAGGGTTCTTAACCCATAGTAACAACTACAGAAAAAGATCTTATTTTGGAGGGCACTCCGAATCTTGAGGATGCAGGAGGAACAGGCTTGGAAAATGAGCAGGTGTCAAGAGGCCTCCCTAGGTCAATGGCAGAAGCAGGCTTGCTTGGACACTTTGGCCATGGGACATGATGCCACAGCTGGACAGAGTCATGGCCAGGCAATGCCACTAGCACCCCCATTGGACATTCTCTGCCTGTCCCAGGTCTGCAGATGCAGGGCCCTGGGGTTCTCTGCCCAAATGTCACCGTGCCCATTACCAGGGCCATCTGGGCCTGTTGAAGCTTCCCTCTTCCTCACTCTATGACCTGAAGGGGATGGAGGGTCCTTTTCTGGTGGGGTGGGGGTGGGGGTTGGGGAGGTGGAGGTCCAGTATGGAGCTTGAACCGGCAGGCTGGTGTAAGGTCCCCACTCTTTTGGAGGGTTTTACTAATGTCTCTAGGAATCTCAAACACACGGCCAGGCGCGGTGGCTCACGCTTGTAATCCCAGAACTTTGGGAGGCCGAGGCGGGTGGATCACAATGTGAGGAGTTCAAGACCAGCCTGGCCAACACAGTGAAACCCTATCTCTGCTTAAAATACAAAAATCAGCTGGGCATAGTGGCAGGCCTGTAATCCCAGATATTTGGGAGGCTGAGGCAGGAGAACCGCTTGAACCCAGGAGGCGGAGGTTGCAGTGAGCTGAGATCGTGCCACTGCACTCCAGCCTGGGCGACAGAGCTAGACTCCATCTCAGAAAAAAAAAGAAAAAAGAAAAATCTCAATGCCACATAGCCAGTAGTTCCTCTTCTAGGAATCTTCCATTGGTTGCAGAAAAGAACATATTCTTAGTGTAAACAGTAATTCATGGAATAATACGCATATAAAAGTGGGAGGCCTCGTTGTTAACCTTATGAGCTCTGGAGTCAGGCTCAAATTCTGACTTCTGTACTTAGTAGCTGTGTGATCCTGGGCAGGCTACTTAACCTCTCTGTGCCTTAGGCGCCTCATCTGAAAAATGCGAGTAATAGTAATAAACTTTACTGAGGTTCGTGGTGATTAAATTAATATTTGCAAAGTGCTCAGAACTAGATCTTGGCATTTGATGAATACTGATTACCCATTAATTCTTTTTATGATATCCTGACCCCGTTTCTTCCATACAAAGCAGGTTAACATGCATCCGTGCATGTTGGTATGTGCCCAGAACTGTACACACGCACCCATTAACAATGGCTGCCTGGAAGTAGGGGTAAGAAGGAAGTGTGAGTATCCATGTCCCTTTGTGATAGATTTATTTGTGAATTACTGTAACTTCCTACATCAGGCACTGACACTTGTGGACAGGTGGGTAGGTAATAGGTAGTAGCTATACACAGGGGTGAACAAGGACCAAGCAGGCAAAGCCCCTGCCCTGGCACAGGGGACTCTTCCAGGTCTAACTCAGGCAGTGTAAGAACGCCCCAAGGGGCCTGGGGTGCCCAGGAGCAGGGAAAGGGACTGAGGACCGGCGCTTCCCAGTGCCAGGCCACGGCACTCAGCATTAGCCACCCTGCTCCTGGAGGTTCTGGGGCCAGATGTCCCCCCAAGTACGCACGGTCATTCAGTGAACAAGTGCTCTCATCTGGAAGCGCACACGCCTCCGGCGGGCTGAACTGTGGGGAGGGTCCAGGCTCCATAGTGAACCGCCTCCCAGCAACCGGGCTCGCCCATCGGAGGCAGAGGTCTGGCAGGAAGGGCTGGGAAGGGCGGGGTCGGTGCGGCCTGACCCGTACACCCCTTAGGCCTGGAGGCGGATGTGCACTTCGCCCATTTCAACATTTCCTCCCCGGCTGGCCTCGGCCCAGGAAAGAGGCAGGGGTGCGGTTTCCCTCCGCCTCTCCCTCAGCCCTTCTCTCCCGCACCCCTCCTCCTCCTCCCACCGCTCCTTCCTCTCCTCCTTTCCCGCACCCCTCCTTTCTTTCTCGCTCATCTCTCTGCCCTCCTTGCCCCCTTCTTCTGCCCCTCCCCCTCCGCCTCCCCCTCCCCCTCCCCGGGTCCTCTCCCTCCCGTTCCCCCGCCTTGCCCTCCTCCTCCTCCTCGCGGCCCCCGCCCCGGAAACCTGGCTCGCCCCGGGAGGCTGAGGTGGGGCGCGCGGGGTGGTTCAGGGGCCCATCCTCTCCGCCTCCCGCGCGCCCCGCCCGACGGCTCGCACCTGCTTGGCGGCGGCCGCTGGATTCTCGGCCTCGGGCTGAGGAGGCAGGAGGGAAAGTGGGTCAGCGCGGGGCCGCGGCAGGGCTGCTGTTGTGCTTGGAAAGGGGCCCGGGGTGCCGGAGGCCTCTCCCAGGCGCGGCGGCAGGAGCGCCCGCGCGTGACACTCCAGGCACAAAGGGGCCGGGCCGCCGCCTGCACTGGGGCTCGGGCGTGCGGGGAGAGGCTGTCGGGCGCCGCACGCATGGACTGTGTTCCCCTTCCCGGCCACGGCTCGGGGCGGCGGGGGCCCGGGGCTCTCCTGTCCCCGAGCGATGTCCCCAAGGCCTAACACCGCGAGCCGGAGCTAGCAGGCGCCCACCACGCCCGCTCTTCGTTCGCCCCACCCGGGCTAGGTCTGGGCGGCTCCCTCCTCCGGACGCTGTCCCCGCCGCCCCGCCCTGCCCCCTGGTGTCAGCCACAGGCCTCAGCAGCCTGGCGTCCTCCTCCTGGGAGCATTTTTCTGACACCTCTGGGGGACCCGGTCCCCTGACCCCTACGCTCATGCGGTCTGCCCAGGTCTTGGGGGGGCGTTGGCTCTGTTTCCGGGAAACCTCCGAGGCTGATACCTGGCAGCAGCCCTGCGGAGGACTGCCCAGCCACTCACCTCCCGACCACCGTGCACCCCAGCAGCTCTGGGACGCCGGGCTCTGTGGGTGGGCTGGGTCGGGCTGCAGACATGGGTCACTGTCCTAGAGCAAGGACTGGCTGCGAGAGCAAGGAGGGGACCAGGCCTTTGAGATGTCAGTCCCCAAGCTCCCCTCTGCTGTCCCCTGCACAGGAGCAGAAGGGCATGGCCTGAGGGTCAGGGTGCCTCAGCTGGCTTCCTGCACTGCCGCACACCTTGTCCTGTGCCCCCCGCCCCCCGCGTGCTAGGACCTCACCGTCCTAACATGCCCAGAACTCTGGCTACTGCTGGAGCTGGGCCTCCTTCCTGGAGAGCCTATCCCTTGGGTCACCTGATGAATGTTTCACCCTGTTCCAGAAGCTTTCCAAATCTCTCGCCAGAATGCCTCTCCAGCCCTTGGCTCCTGTTGCACAATCTGCATCCTTCTGTGCCCACGCCTGGTGCAGGCCTCTTCTCAGGCTCTGGGAGGCTGGCCTCTGTGAACGCTGGGCTGAGCCAGCTTCTGACCCAGGAGGGGCCCAGGGCTGCAACATTCTCACCCCGCTCCAGGTTTGAGAAGGTATTTCCATGGGAAGCTTGTGTCAAATGCGTACCCTTCCTGTGTGTCCTCACGTGTGTGCAGCAGTAACTGCACAAGGCTATAGTCGGCACTGCTGAGCCTGGGGTAGCCCCTGAGCTTGTCTGAACCCAGCTGAGTGGAGCTCGATTGACAGGCAAGTGTTTGGTGTCCCCCTGGCTTGTAGAAGGGCCGATGTTAGCTCCTGAGACCACCATGTGTCTACTGCGAAAGGACAGCTGGACACCTGCAAGCCTCCTACAGATAGGGGAAGGAGGGAATGGGGAGAAGGGGAAAATCAGTAAAATACGACCTTTTCCAGCACCTGGGAGAGAAGGTGCTCTTGCACCAAGAGCCAGACACTGCTCTCCTGGGGGAGGGGGCCATCTTTCCCGGCTTCATCCCTCTCCCTGGCCTGGGAGGGAGGAGGAGACCCCCACTGGGCCATTCCAGGCAGGTGCTCAGCCAGTGGGCACCCTGGTCAAGCAAGCCTGGGTGCTCCAAGGTGAAAGGAACCTTAAACCCATTGGACTAGGACCCCAACCTTCTTACCACCCTCATCCAGGGACCCTTGTTTTGAAAACTTCTATATATTAAATAAATGGCAATTAAAACAGAAAAATCTGTGACTTTTTTTTTTTTTTTTTTTTTGAGACTGAGTCTCTCTTTGTTGCCCAGGCTGGAGTGCAGTGGCTCGATCTAGGCTTACTGCAAGCCCTGCCCCCCGGGTTCATGCCATTCTCCTGCCTCAGCCTCTGGAGTAGCTGGGACTACAGGTGCCCGCCACCACGCCCAGCTAATTTTTTGTATTTTTAGTAGAGACGGGGTTTCACCATGTTAGCCAGGATGGTCTCCATCTTCTGACCTCATGATCCATCTGCCTCGGCCTCCCAAAATGCTGAGATTACAGGCGTGAGCCACCGCGCTCGGCCCAGAAAAATCTCTTTTGAGTGTGACCCTCAGAAACTCAGCACCCTCAGGGAATTGGGCAGGGGTCGTGGAGGCCCCTCAGAGAAAGGGAGAACTGCTGGGGGTCCCCATCATACACATCCACGTTACACTTTCCTGCAGGACTGGAATTTTTTTTTTTTTTTTAGACAGAGTTTCTCTCTCGTTGCCGAGGCTGGAGTGCAATGGCACGATTTTGGCTCATGGCAACATCCACCTCCCAGGTTCAAGTGATTCTCCTGCCTCAGCCTCCCGAGTAGCTGGGTTTTCAGGCATTCGCCACCACGCCGGCTAATTTTGTATTTTTAGTAGAGACAGGGTTTCTCCATGTTGGTCAGGCTGGTCTTGAACTCCTGACCTCAGGTGATCTGCCCGCTTTGGCCTCCCAAAATGCTGGGATTACAGGCGTGAGCCACCGCGCCTGGCCTAGGACTGGATTTGAGCTAAAGCAAGGAGTGCCAATTCCTGCCCTTGATGACACATGGGCCTCACCAAGCTCTGCCCACTAGCTCTAAGCCTCTAGGATTTCAGACAAATCCTCAAATATAAACACAGAGCCCTATGGATCCTCTCAAAAAAAGCAAGGCGGGGGCCCTGCCAGTTTGGTTATGAGAAAGATTTCATTAGCTTTGTTGTATTTGGCTTTTGTGTCAGGGGCCCAGTTATCACCTTCTGGAATCTCCCTTCCTCCTTGTAAACTCCAGCTGAGTTTTAAGGCTCAGAAGTTTTCAGGCAAAGCAACATTGGATATTAAGACCTGGAAGTTGGTTTTGTTCTTTTTTTGATCAACTAGCCCTTCTTTTATGTCTGTTCGTGGCCAGACGTAGTCTGCGGCTTCACGTAGTAACATCTGATTAAATGATGCACAGCCTATCCTGGGGCCATAGACAGATAATTGCAGGGCTTAATTTTTTCATTTGATGAATAATGAAAGCTTTGCTCATTTTGTATGTGTGGGAAAGAGACAACTTTAATATATTTGAACTTGCAAATGGCTTTTTAGTATTGCTGTCCTGACACACTATAACACAGCCCTGATTGGTTATCTACGAACCTTTCAAAACAGAACAGGCGTTTGGTGCCAAACAGGGCAGGGTGTGGAAAGGAGGGATTCCCTGCCTGTCCTTTTATGTAATGTAATGCACATACATGGCAGAACAAATATTTCTTCCCTAAACACTACATAAACAGTATATCCCACAAATGATCATCATTTGTCATGAACGGTCTCATCATATTCTAATGTCTTAGGGCTGCTACCAGGCTTTTCTCAAGCAACAGAAGAAATTATTCCTACTCGTATTGCTTCTTTTTTCCAACTTCCCTGCCTATGAGCATGGGGGGGAATAGAAAGGGCTTGGCCCAGGAGCCAGCGGGGAAGCTCTAGTTCAGCAATGAACTCTGCTGTGACTTGGCTGTGTTACATCACAGGACTCACTTTCCTTCTTTGGGTTTCGATTGCTTTATCTGTCAGTGGGCAGAAGAGTAATTCCTCTTCCCTTCCTCTCTCCCCTTCTCTCCCTCCCTTCCTTCCTTTCTTTCTCTTTATTTCTTCCTTTCTTTCTCTTCTTTCTTTTTCTCTCTTTCTTTCTTTTCTTTCTTTCCTTCTCCTTCCTTCCTTCCTCCCTCCCTCCCTGTCTTCCCTCCCTCCCTCCCTTTCTCTCTCTTTTTCTCTCTCCTTCTCTCCTTTCTCTCTCTCTTTCTCTCTTTCTTTCTTTCTACAAGATCTTGCTCTGTCACCCAGGCTGGAGTACAGCAGCGTGATCACGGCTCACTGCAGCCTCAACCTCCAGGGCTCAAGCGATCCTCCCACCTCAGCCACTCAAGTAGCTGGTACTACAGGCGTGAACCACCATGCCTGGCTAATTTTTTGTATTTTTAGTAGACACAGGGATTTGCCATGTTGGCCAGGCTGGTGTCGAATTCCTGGCCTCAAGTGATCTGCCTGCCTTGGCCTCCTGAAGTGTTGGGATTACAGGCATGAGCTACCACACCCAGCCTGTTTTATCTTTTCATTATGGAAATTTTCCCTCTCAAACAAAACCAAAGGCAGAGAGAGTTGTAAAATTAGCCCTCACATACTCCTCACCAGCTTCAACAATTATCAGCAAATAATCAATCTTGTTTCGTGTGTGTGTATTTCCACTCACTTTACCCCTGGCTTTATTTTAAGCAAATCCCCAGACATCTGTAGTTTCATTTGTACATATTACAGAATTACATTTCTTATCTAGTGGCTTTGTCTAGTGGCTTGAAATAGCAATCATTTATTGGATCGTAATTCTGTGGGTCAACAATTTGGGCTGGGATCAGCAGGATGGTTCTTCTGTTGGTTTTGTCTGGGCTCTGCCATTTGGATGCAGTCAGCTGGTGACTTGGTTGGAGCTGGACAGTCTTTGATGGCCTCACTCACATGTTTGGGTAGTTAGCTAAGGTGCCTCAGTTCTCCAAGTGGCCTCTCCAGCAGGCTAGCTTCGGCAAGCTTTCATGGTGGCAGCTTTCCGAGAGAGGGCAAGCCCAAATGTGCAAGCACTTTTCAAGTCTCTGCCTGCATCATGTTTGCTAATATCCTATTAGCCAAAACAAGTCACATAACCAAGCCCAGCATTAATGTGGGAAGGAGAATCATAAGGGCATAGAAATGAGGAGTAATCCACTGGGGGCCATTACTGTAGCAATGTATCAAGAGAATATGCTTCTAAAATATAAAAACTCCCTCCCATACACCCTTTTTAAAAACATAACCACAATTCCATTATCACAGCATACTAAATTAACCATAAATCTTTAAATATTGACAATATCCACTTGGTGTTTACATTTCCCTAATTGACACATAAATGTTTCTGTTTTGTTATTTTTTATAGTTGTTTGAATCAGGGTTCAAATAAACCTACACACTGCATTTGGATATGTCCCTTAAGTCTCTTTAAATCTACAGATCCTCTGTTCTCTCTCTCTATTATTTTATTTTATTGTTTTTGAGACAGGGTCTCACTCTGTTGCCCAGGCTGGAGTGCAGTGGTGAGATTTAAGCTCATTGCAACCTCCACCTCCTGGATTCAAGCAGTGCTCTAGCCTCAGCCTCCTGAGTAGCTGGAACTACAGGCATGCACCACTATGTCAGGCTAATTTTTATTTTTTTTATTAGAGACAGGGTTTTGTCATGTTGGCTAGGCTGGTCTTGAACTCCTGACCTCAGGTGATCTGCCTACCTCAGCCTCCCAAAGTGCTGGGATTACAGGCGTGAACCACCTCACCCGGGCCTCTCTCTCTTTTGAATGTTATGGTACTTTATTGAAGAACCTAGGTTGTTTTTCCTGAAGAATGTCTCACATTCTGGATTATGTTGTTTGCACCCCCGTTTCTGTTTAACATGTTCTTCCATCTCTGCATTTCCTGATATATTTAGGGGATTAGATGTGGAGGACCCATCAGATTTCAGTGTAGGTTTTTGGAAATGTTTCATAGATGATGTTAGGCATTTCCACCAGCACACACATAATGTCTGGTTGTATCTCTTTTAGTGATGGTAGGATATACTATAGGGTTCGGGTGTTTTCAGCCTGACCCATCAGCTTTTTTTTTTTTTTTTTTTTTTTTTTTGAGATGGAATCTCACTGTGTCACCCAGGCTGGAATGCAATCGCATGATTTTGGCTCACTGCAACCTCCGCCTCCAGATTCATGTGATTCTCCTGCCTCAGCCTCCCAAGTAGCTGGGATTACAGGCACCTGCCACCATACCCAGCTAATTTTTGTATTTTTAGTAGAGATGGGGTTTCATCATGTTGGTCAGGCTGGTCTTGAACTCCTGACCTCAGGTGATCCACCCGCCTCAGCCTCCCAAAGTGCTGGGATTACAGGCTTGAGCCACCGCGCCCGGCCGACCCATCAGCTTTTTGTTGAGGGGTTTTAGCCCTTGATAATCATGACCTTCATCCGATATTCCAGTGGGGAATTCAATGTGGAATTTTCTAATTCTATCATTCCTCTGCATGGATTAGCTCATCCACAGTTTGGCTCTCCTGGGGTACTGTTTATATACAAAAGGCAAGAAAAGTCCCCATTCTTCCCCGTTATATACCAGTTTTCAGAAAATATTTTGACTTTCCAGCATTCTCCAAAAGTGATCAATTAAGATTGCTTCCTTTTGTTTCGTTTGAGCATTATGATGAAGCCATATTTGGTTTTGGTTTTCTTTTGTTTTCACATTTGAAATGTTTCTGAATACTTCAGGTTTTATTCTTTTTAATGTTCAAACTCTCCCATCTTTGGCCAATGAGGCTCTTCAAGCTGGCTCTTGAGTCCTTTTTACTCACTCTAAGGAGTCTTTCCAAGGCTCACGTTGTCCATTTCTTGCCCTGCACTGGGAGTTAGTTAGGCATTTCTCTGAGAGCATGGCTTCTTTCAGTGGAAAATGCAATTTAGAGACCACAGTCTGGGCACTGGGTGGGGTTGGAGGGTTGAGGAGAGTTATTTGTGACTAAATTAGTCATTGTTTCTATGTCTTGGAGAATTACAGCTTCAGAACTAACAGAATAATAATTTCAGGACAATAATATGAAAATTAGTACCAACAATGTGATTACTAAAGACAGTTTAAGATTTTTTGGTCTTTGCAGTTCTTTTTGCCCTTAGGATACATCTCACTAGGGATGAAGCACCCAATTACACAAAGCCTTGTGTTAAAGGGCCCTGGAAACCATTTTTCTCCGTGGGTTAAGCTACCAAGTAGATTCATACCTTTATGTCTGTCATGTTACTTTTGACCTTGAAATTGCTTTCTTTTTCCTTTTGGCTTAATTTTGTTTTATAGTTATGTAAAACATTTACATGATTTCAAAGTCCAATCTATAAGACAAAGTGTGATCAGAGGAACCTGGCTTCTATCCCAGGCCCCCACGCTTCCCTACTCCCCTTTTCTGTACCCTCCTTTTCTCACTTGAAACTGCATTGCAAGAGCACTTCCTTAGGCATCAGGAGCACTTCTTTCTTACGGACATCCAGTGGTCTGTTGTGGGGATCACCAGGGTGGGAAGAGGAGTGTCCACATTGTGCGTTGCTACCCACCATGGGTTTGAAATTGTTTTAATGGTGCTTAAAGTGTAAATGAAATAGAATAAAAGAGTAAGTATTGTTTGTGTGTAACCATTGTTTAGTTTTATATACCTGTGTATGTACTTTTTTTTTTTTTTTTAACAGAGTTTTGCTCTGTCGCCCAGGCTGGAGTGCAGTGGCGTGATCTTGGCTCACTGCAACCTCTGCCTCCCGGGTTCAAGCGATTCTCCTGCCTCAGCCTCCTGAGTAGCTGGGATTACAGGCATGAGCCACCAGGCCCAGCTAATTTTGTATTTTTAGTAGAGATGGGGTTTCACCATGTTGGTCAGGCTGGTCTCAAACTCCTGACCTTAGATGATCCACCTGCCTCGGCCTCCCAAAGTGCTGGGATTATAGGCGTGAGCCACCATGCCCGGTGTATGTACTCTTTTACAGTGCATCTTGATGTGTTTTGTGCTGCTATAACATAATAATATCACAGGTGGGGTTACTTATTTATTTATTCATTGAGACAGAGTCTCGCTCTGTTGCCCAGGTTGGAATGCAATGGTGCAATCTCAGTTAACTGCAACCTCCGCCTCCTGGAGGTTCAAGCACTTCTCCTGCCTCAGCCTCCTGAGTAGCTGGGACAACAGGCATCTGCCACCAGGCCCAGCTAATTTTGTATTTTTAGTAGAGACAGGGTTTCACCATGTTGGTCAGGCTGGTCTCAAACTCCTGACCTCAGGTAATCTGCCTGCCTCAGCCTCCAGAAGTGCTGGGATTACAGGCATGAGCCACTGCACCCAGCCTGGTGGGGTAATTTGTAATGAACAAAAATTTATTGGCTCATGATTCTGGAGGCTGGGAAGTCCAAGATCAAAGGACTGACATCTGGTGAGGGCCTTCTTGCTGCATCACCCCCTAGAGGAAGGGCAAAGAAAGAGCCAGAATGAGAGCAAGGACTGAACTCCTCCTTTCTGTGGCATTTAATCCATTTATAAGAGCAAAGTCCTCATGACCTAATCACCCCTCAATGGTCCCACTTCTTAATACTGTTACAATGGCAATGAAATTTCAACATGAGTTTTGGAGGAGACATTCGAACCATAGCATAGTGCAATCTATTTGTTCGTCATCAAAAAAACTTGACAAACCCTGGATTAGTTAATTCTGAAGGTTCCTTTGGCACCAAGATTCTGTAATTCTGCCTGCTGTTTAGAGAATCATGCCCTAGGCTTCCTGGGACAAGCCCACCTTTTCCTTTGATAGATTTCTCAGGCATCAGCAGCTAACCTCTCCTGGCATTCACCTGTCTCTAAGGCAGGTGACAGTGGAAGTCAGAAGATCTAAACAGTGCCACTCTCTGCTGTGGTAGGTTCTCTGTGGTCTGGGGTTTGATCTTAGCATCTAGGTCTATATGCTTCCGGAAGCTCCCTCATCTTCTGCTGACTTGCAGGTGCTGCTGGAGATACTATCTGAGCATCCCCAAAGAGCCTTGGGAGCCATCCAGGTCCACACTCAGAAACCCACCCAGAGCTGGGGCAGTGACCTCCGTGTCCTATGGACCAGCTTGAGATATTTTCAAGATTCCCCAGGGTTACGCTGACTGGGCCAAATCCTTTGTAGAGGCTTAGTCTTTCCATGGGAATGGTTTGTACCTGGAGCCTACGAAACATGACACTGAGGGTTACCTGTTTCCACACCATTGCCTTTTTCTTTAATGATGTGTGCCCAGGACGCCCGGGGAATCGGGATTGGCTTGGTGTTGGGCTTTCCTGTGACTGGCTCAGGGTGGGCATGTGATGCAGTGAGCAGGAAGGGGAGTGTTACAGTGAGAGCTTTTCCAGGTGGTGAGGAAAAAGCACACTTTCCCTCCTGCTGGGGCCCTGTGCGGTGTGAAGTGCTGGGGGTGGGAGCAGCCCTCCGTGATTTATGAGGGAGAAACCCCAAACCCCAGACATGCTGAATAGGCCCGGCAGCCCGTGGGAGCATTCCTGAGCCTTGGCAAAGGGGCGTCCCTCAGAGTCATTATCACAGATACCACTGATGACCAGACATTCTGTGGCTTGCAGTCAGTGGCATCCTGTCAGAGAGGATCACGCTCTTCCTTTGAGGTCCACGGGAAGGGACCATGCTGGGGGTACCTTATAGGCCCCTCACTGTTTGGAGTTCTGGAGCTCCAAGAATCAAGGAATTTGGTTCTTGCCCTGCACAAATGTGAAGGGAGGATGCCCCCTTGGCATTGCCATGCCCATTGCAACGGGAATGAGAGAGGGCAGGGCAGGCTGCTCATTTTGTAATTGGCAAAGGGAGGGGGCTTTTTATAATAGAAACTAGGGCAGTTTTGACAGTCCCACGGACCCCCTTGCTTTGGTGTGAGCAGCCACACCCTGTTGTGATTTTATTGTCATCATACTGTCACTTGATCAGCTCCTTTAAGGCTTCGCTGACTTTTATTCTCTTAGATACTGTTGTTTGTGCAATAAGACTCTGAAGTCTTTGCAAGCAAGTTAAATTGAGATACACCAATTTCTTGCATGCAGTATAGGAATTATTCTCTAAAATGCAAATGTAGTATATTAGTTCTTAATGGCTAGGTGTGGATCCAAGTTTTGTGAGGTCTGGAGATTATACAGTCATAAGACTCCTTTAAGAATTAAAAATTTGGAAAATAAAAAATTAGGTATAAAAGCAAATATTTAGAATGAGAAAATAATAAACCTTACAAATTTTAAAGAGCTGAAAACCATCACAAACATCATAAAGTACAGAAATATAACATAACATCTTTTTATAGCTAACTGCCTGACATAATTATATAATACGTGTTTTCCTACATTTTTGGCTACAAATTCTTTAGTCATCCTTTATATGGCAGGTTTTTTTGGTCATATTTCCTATACAACACATAAAAGGGTAATTTAATCTTTTATCTGGCACAGGGGGCCAGAAGCTTCTTCTGTAAAGGACCAAAGCAAATATTTCAGGCTTTGGGGACCAAGCCTATGTATTAAGTACCCATATCCGCCATTGTAGCAGGAAAGTGACCATAGACAATTTGTAAATGAATGAGCATGGCTGTGTTCCAACAAAACTGTATTTACAAAAACAAGTGACAGCCTCCAGGACGTAGTTCAATTGATAGTCTAGCATCAAAATAATAAATTTAATTAAAAGTTTAGAAAACTTTCAGCTTCACAATCCATTATTAGTAATATCATGTACATTTTTAAGACTCAAATTTGGGACCTTTTCTTTTCTTTTTTGAGACAGAGTCTCACTCTGTCACCCAGGCTGGAGTGCAGTGGCACTATCTCAGCTCACTGCAAGCTCCACCTTCTGGGTTTACGCCATTCTCCTGCCTCAGCCTCCCAAGTAGCTGGGACTACAGGCGCCTGCCACCACGCCCAGCTAATTTTTTGTATTTTTAGTAGAGACGGGGTTTCACCGTGTTAGCCCGGATGGTCTCAATCTCCTGACCTTGTGATCCGCCCTCCTCGGCCTCCCTAAGTGCTGGGATTACAGGTGTGAGCCACTGCACCTGGCTGGGACCTTTTCTAATATGTTTTTTTCTCTATATGAGCTGTAAGGTTTCCAGGCATTTTCAGGTTTTCTTGTACAGAGATTCATCTTAATTAAACACACTTTGAAGTGATAATGCCTCTTAATCCGTTTGTCACTGTTATCTGCATTTCACTGCTTTGGTGGCAGTTTTGCATGCTTTTAACTGGAGCCATCAGACATCAGGACCAGATGTATCTGAGACACTAAAACATAATGTGATAAGATGAAATGTATGAAGAACACAACTGCACACACAAATGCTTTTGCTGTGGTAGTGCTACAAGTTTATGCCCCACAAACAGAAATTCTGACAAACCCTACTTCTTTTGATTACCAGCAGCAGACCTGGCTTGGAGGGAGGGTGGCTGACAGGAGGCAGAAGTCATGGTGGACACTACCTTGTGTGACTGAGATCCTTGCTTACCTACTCCATCTGGCCCAAGGGCTCATGCAGGAAGGCTCAAGGCATCTGCTCTGAGCCTCACAGCCTTGGCCATCAACCCAGCCCTGAGCTCCCACTTGCCCTGACTGGCTGGGCAGCCCTTCCCCGCTGCCCACCTGGAAGGAGCCACCAGGGACACAATGCCAGCTCCCTGTCCTGCTCCTTCTCGTCCACTCAGAGGGGTGGAAAGAGGATCCTACAGCGGCAAGCCCCCCACAAATCACCAGTCAGGGGTTCAAGTCCCCACTTGTGAATATCACAGGGAGAGTGGCCCAGCAGACCCCTGAGTGGCATCGTCATCAAGGGTTGGAGGATCCCAGGTTAGCAGCAGTGGGAGGGAGACCAGCGAGTGCCAACAACCCAGCGTGAAGAGCACAACTCACTTGCTACACTGGCAAACCCTTGGATGAGCCCACAGTTCCTTCCAACAAGTCCGGTTTTCCCCAAACACCTTTCTGATGCATACTGTAGGATGATTTATCCTCCTTAGTGAACTTGACATAGACGACACCGTGTGATGGTTAACGTCAGGTGTCCATTTGGCTGGATTAAAGAATACCTAGAGAACTGGTTAAGCATTATTTTGGGGCATGCCTGTGAGGGTGTTTGCAGAGGAGATTGGCATGAGTTTGAGTGGACGAGGGGGGGAAGATCTGCCCTCGATGTGTGTGGGTGCCATCCAATTGGATGAAGGCCCGAATAGAACAAACAGAAAAGATAAATTGGTTGCTGTCTCTCCTAGAGCTGGAATACACTGTTCTCCTGCCCTTGGACATAAAAACTCAAGGCTTTCCTGACGTAGGACTCCAGGACTTACACCAGCAGCCCACCAAGGTTCTTAGGTCTTCAGATTTGCACTGAGCCACGCCACTAGCGTCCCAGGGTCTCCAGCATGTCGATGGTCTGTCATGGGACTTCTTAGCCTCCATAATTGTGTGAGCCAATTCCCCTAATACATTCTGTCTCTTTTTTCTACAGATCTACGTCTATATATCTATATTCCATTAGCCCTGTCTCTCTGGAGAACCCTGACTAGTACAGAGAGGATCACGAGTAAGCAAGCAGGGCACTGACCTTGGATGGGCCACTTGACCTCACAGGGGTCTGGTTTTCTGGAGACAAACAGTGAGTGCCCTCTCCGCTGTGTTAGGGTGACGCTGAGACAATAGGCAGGGAAGCCTACATCCCCCTTGGCCTTTGCCTCGGTTTGAATGGCACCATAGGGCCATTTCCATGTCCCTGCTTCCTGAATCTGAGTCCTCTCCATCCCTGCAAGGGATGCTCCATTCCCCAGACTCCAGCGAAAACCCACTGAGGCAGAAAAGCTCATTGCCCAGCAGATCCCTCGAGTCTGCTGATCTTCCATCTGTTTCGTGGGGAACAGGGGTGGAGGTGGGCAATGAAAGAGTATCCTTTCTCTCACCCATGCCCAGCCCATATTTTGGGGTCCCGAGCCAGAGGAAGGTGGGGTTGCATCCCCCTAAGGCCTGCGCCAGCATTCAGAACACAGGGTTCTCAGTGTGCAGCCTCAGTCTATGGCAGCCCCTGACAAATAGCAGGGCTTTCTGTCTGTGCAGCTGTCTGCCTTACAGAGAGCTGTTTTCTGCCACATCAAAGGCTGGGGAGAACCCGGGCATGTCAAAGGTTTGGGAGAACCCAGGCATGGCTGCTTTCTCTCCCTCCTTCTGTCCTGCCTAGCCACACAGTGATGGAGAGAACCTCGTGACAGAGCCTTGCCCAGGTGCACGTGGGGCGGAGTTCATCACAGCGCTGGCTGGTTTGTTGAAAAGGAGGCCCGGCGGCTGTTCACTGTCTTGACAAACAGCCAGAGAGGCAGGGGAACCCTACACTGTATACTTTTCTCAGTAATAAACCAAGCTATTCATGAATAATGTCCAGAGTGTGTCCTCAAAACAGCGTGGCCCTCATGGTGCTCAATGCCCTGTTAGACTCCAAGCAACCCGAGGACAGGGTTTTGTGTCTCTCTTGCTCACCTTTGCTTCTCCAATGCCCAGTGGGCCTTCAGGGCGCATTTGCTGAGTGACTCCACATTATTCCATATTCACGGTAGAATCTGTTGCATAAGGTCAGGATAAGTCCGCACAGTTACTTGCAACGTGGCTCTTTCAACTGTTAGCAGGTTCTGGACTCCAAAGCCTACATAATGTTATGTGAGGTTGAGAGGAAAATCATAAGCATACTTGCAACCTATAGGACTCAGGTAGTAAGCTTATCCTGGGGGTGGAAACCCCCACTGCCAAGAGTCCAGGTGACATCTCCACCCCAGGCCAGGACGTAGACCCTCCAGGCTACTTCCCCTCACCCATCCTAAGGAGAAGTCAGGCAAGGACCTTGCCAGGGGCCCAAGAATAAGGTTTTCCCCAAGCACTTTACAGTATATGGTATATGGGCATATCGTGGGCACTGGATGTGTGGAAGGCTGGAGAACCAAGCAGTCCCCACAGGTGGGCTGCTTATGCCCACATGAACAGGCAGATAGTGCCTGTTCCACCTGGAACAGGTGTCTTTTTCCAGGTTCTTTGAAAGCCACATGGTCATGTGGATGGATGGCCATCCTGAGAGGCAGATAGAAGACAAGACTCAGGCCAGCCAGTTGGGTGGCCCAGTTCTGCTGATCTCTGGATGGATGGGTAACCCTGGCAAGTTAGACAGTTGCACTGAGCCTATGTTTTCTCATCTGTAGAATGGGAATGATAGTGGCATCCATTTTGTAGCATGATTGCATGGATTAATATATGTAAAGTGCTTAAGTAGAGGCCAGCATGCGTTAAGCACATTTCAGTTATTATAATTAATACCTGGAAGGGAAGAGGCAACCCCCAGCCAGAAGTTCTGTGCTTCTCATGGACAGCAGCGGCCCCTGTCATGGCTCTGCTCATGGCTGTGGACCTGGAGCAACTGGGACAGACAGATGCGTGGGAAGAAAACACCTGCTCCCAGAATGACAGGGCCAATACCTGAACCTCAGGGCATCAGCTCTGACCCAAGGGTGAGCCCCAGAGGCAGTCAGCTCTTGGGGGCAGCAGGAGGAACCAAGAAAAGAGGCAGGCGTAGCTCATATCCAGCCTTCCAGAAGGTTCCACCGTGTAGGAGGAGTGGCTGAGGGGCCGTACTGTGGTGTCAGCCGCCGTTATTTCTAACAAATTCATGCTTCAGCAACCAAACAGAAAGTGCTCACAGCTCACTGCTGGGTGGATTTTGTTCTTGGTCGGATATGATAACCTGGCACCTAGGGGTTCCAAGAGCATGGGGGAGACAACCAAACCAGCCGCCAGCCTAGAACCTGTGTGTGTGAGGGAGGATCTGGGGCAGGGTGGAGAGGGTGAGAGGACAGCTAAAAGTAGGGGATAGCAGGGGGTGGAGGCGCGCAAGCTGGAGCAGGGACAGAGCAGGCAGGCAGGGGAAGGGGATTGGGCCCAGGAATGCTGTCCTGCCGCCATCCAGAGTCAGACCCATAGTCAGGACCCCTGCACCTCACCACACCCGGTTCCTGGACCCTCGGAGGCTCAACAGCACTGGTCCCAAAAGAGAAGGGGCCTGGGGCAGTCAGAACGTGAGAGAAGTGGCAGTGCTTGGTGCCCAGAAGAGCAGCCAGGTCTGAGGCCCGGGGTCCCGCTGGGTTCTGAAAAGTCCCAGTAATAGGACCCGGGGCAAGTCATCTAATCCCCGCGGCTCAGGGGTCAGGCGGCACAGCCAGCACCTCCTGTATGTGGAAGCCGAGGCCCAGGACAAGCACCCCGTGGAGCCCGACTCGCCAGGGCTGAGCCAGGGCTTCAGGGCCTTCTCCCGCCCTGCAAGCCTACTACTTCGCTGCCTGAAGTCAGCTCCCAGGCTCCTTCTTCCCCAGCAGGCCCTGGAGGGAAGGCTGTCCTGGAGAGGTACTGGCTCCTTCTTTCAACTTGCCGTGCTGACTTGCTGAGATTTGCCAGAAAGTGGCTGACGGTCCCCACCTGCTGGTGACGGCGTGGGTGGATGGGAGGCCCTCCGTGATTCAGGAGCACCAGCCGGCTCCTTGACAAGCTGGGCCATGGCCACCGCTACCTCCTCCTCTTCCTCCTCCTCTTTCTGAGCTCTGGTGGAGTCACTACTCTCTCCTCTTTGAATCTTTTTGATTCACTGATTACAACACACACACACACACACACACACACATACACACACACTTGCTCTCTCTATCCCTAAAAAAGAAACCAATGGCAATTTCTGCTCAGTGTGCACTGCTGGTCAGTGACCAGCTCCTTACTGGAAAGAAAACTCCAAGAAGCCTGATCCTGTTTTGCTTCTGGGTGTTCCAGGATGAGCTGACACGTGGGAAGAGGTCTCAAGGGCAGGGTGCCCTGGCCCTGAGGACCAGCCACAGCGTGGAGGGGATGAGACTTGCTGCTGCACCCCGTCCTTGGAGTCTCTGCCAGGAAAGTGAGGGGCCATGGGGAGCTAATGATATTCCCTCCACATCGTTTCCCCCCCCAGGACACCCTCCCCACCAGAGGCTCCTTGCAGCCAGTTAGGAAAGTCCATCACAAGTTCAGTAACGTCTCCAGTTCGGGGACTCCTGGGTCCCTGACACAAGGACAAGAAGTTGAAACAAGGGTGTCACAGACACGGGTTTGGAGTCAATGGGTGGGGGATGAGGCTGTGAGAGGTCAAGAAAGGAGGAAGACCAGTGGGAAGACCAAGGTCTCCTGGAAGGCCCTGGCTAGAATTTGAGCTCAGTCCACACTCACAAGGCCACTCCCTCTCCCTCTTCCCTGAGCTCTGCCTCCCTTGCCTGTCTCCATTTTCCACCCCTTGATTTGGCCCCAGGGCTTATTCATGACCTTGACAAAGGGCAGTTTCTAGGGACAGGAGACTTCAGAAGCTCACACAAAGCAGTGGAGAAAAGAAGGACGGGAAGGCAGCAGGGCAGGGCAAGCGAGCAGGAAGGGGTGGAGGAGTGGGCCAACTTGGGAGGATGGCCTGGCTTCCAGAGAGCCTGGGCACCACTGCTGTTTTGTTTGAAACGTTGAAGACTTGGAGCAAGTTTGGAAGTGAGCGGAGGCCAGGCACAGTGGCTCATGCCTGTAATCCCAGCACTCTGGGAGGCCAAGGCAGGTGGATCACCAGAGGTCAGGAGTTCAAGACCAGCCTGTCCAACATAGTGAAACTCCATCTGTACTAAAAATACAAAAAAAAAAAAAAAAAAAAAAAAAATTAGCCAGGCATGGAGGCACATGCCTGTAATCCCAGCTACTCGGGAGTCTGAGGCAGGATAATCGCTTGAACCAGGGAAGCAGAAACTTCAGTGAGCCGAGATCGTGCCACTGCACTTCAGCCTGGGTGACAGAGTGAGACTGTCAAAAAAAGAAAGAAAAAAGAAAGAAAGAAAGAAGAAAGAAAGAGGAAGGAAGGAGAGAAAGAAAGAAAGAAAGAAAGAGGAAGGAAGGAGAGAGAGAAAGAAAGAAAGAAAGAAAGGAAAAGAAAAGAAAAGAAAAGAAAAGAAAAGAAAAGAAGGAGTCTCATGTGTCCATGTGAAGAGACCAGCAAACAGGCTTTGCGTGAGCAACAAGGCTGTTTATTTCACCTGGGTGCAGGGAGGCTGAGTCCGAAAAGAGAGTCAGCAAAGGGTGATGGGATTGTCACTAGTTCTTATAGGTTTTGGGATAGGCGGTGGAGTTAGGAGCAATGTTTTGTGAGCAAGGGGTGGATCTCACAAAGTAAATTCTCAAGGGTGGGGAGAATTACAAAGAAACTTCTTAAGGGTGGGGGAAATTACAAAGTACATTGATCAGTTAGGGTGCGCAGAAACAAATCACAATGGTGGAATGTCATCAGTTAAGGCTATTTCACTTCTTTTGTGGCTCTTCAGTTGCTTCAGGCCATCTGGATATGTATGTGCAGGTCACAAGGGATATGATGGCTTAGCTTGGGCTCAGAGGCCTGACAGAAATAAAGAAGGAAGGAAGGAAGGAAGGAAAGGAAGGAAGGAAGAAAGAAAGAAAGAAAGAAAGAAAGAAAGAAAGAAAGAAAGAAAGAAAGAAAGAAAGGAAGGAAGGAAGGAGAGAGGGAAGGAGAGAGGAAAAAGAAAGAAAGGAGAGAGGGAGGGAGAGAGGAAAAAGGAAGAAAGAAAAAGAAAGAAAGAAAGAGAAGGAAAGAGAGAAAGAAAGAAGAAAAGAAAGAGAAAAGAAAGAGAGAAAGAAAAAGAAAGAAAGAAAGAGAAAGAAAAGAAAAGAAAGAGTGGAGATATGTAACATGACTTGGTAACCCAACTGTGAGAGGAGGGTAATTGCAGGAGTGAAGTTCTTAGACATGGTGAGCTGAAGGGACAAGGCAGGGCTGGCCCCATGGAAGCAGAGGAGAAGGGATGCTGGCTGACAGCAAGATGGGGGAAGGAAGGCAAGTGCCCGATTCCTCTGTTTTCTCTGTAAACTGAGACAGGAGGCCCTCAGCTGGGGAACAGTGTGCTGGGTACTCAAAGACAGAAAAGTCCAACACACTTGACTAAGGAGGGGAAGGCGGAGTGTGGTAGGAATCCAGGCAATTCGAGGATGATTGGAGAAACCGATCAAGTCCATCGCCCTTGGTGGCTTGCATCCAAATTCATTAACTCACCCAACAAGCACTCAAGGATTGCCATCTACGAGGGAGGAGGAGGAGGGGGAGGTTAGGGATAGAAGAAGGAGAAGGGAAAGAGAGCTACATTGGTAGAGCCCGTACTGAGTGCAGGAGCCAAGCAAAGTTTGTCTCAATCAATCACAGCATCTCTGGGGCTTTGAGGCTGCCCACGACTCCCATTGACTTGGGGGAAGACAGACTTGGAGAGACCACAGAACTTGCCTGGCATCACACGACTAACCAGTAATGGAGCCAGCACATAAGCACAGGTCTGGTCCAGGTTCCCTGGTTTAACCTCTATGCCACCTGCTCCCAGCTGCTGTGCACAAAACAATCTACTTCTTGGTGTGTCGCTCCACAAACTCAGAATGCAAATTATCTTTGAAATTAATCATTCTGGTATTCACTGGCCTTAAAAATAGAAAGCCCCATATCTTCCCCTGGCAGTCCCCTCTTGCCTTGAATTCTCAAGAAATCAATCAATCAATCCAAAAAAATCCCTGGGGACTTGGTGCAAAGTTTTCTTGGTGTGGGAAGAGCAGGTTCCTGACATTGCTCCACGCTGCCACGTGGCGGCGCCATTGAGGCCTGGTCCAACAGAACCTGGAGATGTGTGTCTTTGCTGCTGGCCTGGCCCTCCCTGCAAGGGCACCGTGACCTCAGAGGGGAGCCCAGTCCCTCAGACCCAGCTGCTCCAGGTGTGTCCTCTGCTGTGATCCCCAGGCTTGGCCTTTTTCCCAGCGACCCTCTTAGAGTGACAGTGTCCAGGGCCCTCTGACCACATGTCTAAACATGTAAAAATCATAGTCAGGTGTGGTGGCTCACACCTGCAGTAATACCACCACTCGGCCAGGCGCAGAGGCTGACGCCAGTAATCCCAGCACTTTGGGAGGCCGAGGCGGGCGGATCACGAGGTCAGGAAATCGAGACCATCTTGGCTAACACGGTGAAACCCTGCCTCTACTAAAAATACAAAAAATTAGCCGGGCGTGGTGGCGGGCACCTGTAGTCCCAGCTACTCGGGAGGCTGAGGCAGGAGAATGGTGTGAACCCGGGAAGCAGAGCTTGCAGTGAGCCAAGATTGCGCCACTGCACTCCAGCCTGGGGGACAGAGGGAGACTCTGTCTCAAAAAAAAAAAAAAAAAAAAAAGAAAAAAAGAAAGGTAATCCCACCACTCTGGGAGGCTGAAGAGGGCGGATCACTTGAAGTCAGGAGTTCTAGACCAGTCTGGCCAACATGAGGAGACCCCATCTCTACCAAAAAAAAAAAAAAAAAAAGTAAAGGTCATAAATCAAACTAATATGTATAAAGTTACAGTTTTTATATGATTGAAACGTGGCAAAATATCATAGATGGCTGAATTTAATTATTGTTCATGTCTGGGTGTGATGTTGATGGGTTGGTGTTGTTTGCATGAATAATAAAGTCATACTTCATAAACTGTTATTTATTCTGTAAAATTTATTTTTCCTGCCTTTGCTTTAGCAAAATCACTGATTATGTTGAGATAATGAGATTTTCATAGATTTATGTTCAAATGATAGGAAAGCCAAGTTACACCTTTCCTGAATCAACAAAATAGTTGTTATATATATATTTAAATATATTTAAATTCAATTTAGAGAAACTTTGCTCTGATGAGGTGGTAGCAACTGGAATCATTACTCGAATTCTTTTCTTTTCTTTTCTTTTTTTTCCAGAAAAAAAAAAAAATGCCCAGCCCAGCCTGGAGTGCAGTGGCATGACCCTGGTTCACTGCAACCTCTGCCTACCAAGTTCAAATGATTCTCCCAGCCTCCTGAGTAGCTGGGATTACAGGTGTGTGCCACCACACCTGGCTGGCTAATTTTTGTATTTTTAGTAGGAACAGGGTTTCACCATATTGGCCAGGCTGCTCTCGAACTCCTGGCCTCAAGTGTGATCCTCCCGCCTCAGCCTCCCAAAGTGCTGGGATTACAGATGTGAGCCACTGTGCCCGGCCTCATTACTCAAATTCTTAAAGCAATACTTAGGTTTGAAAATTAATCCCAAATTGTACATAATATGATCAAATAGTGCAATGGGTCACATATGATAAAGTTTCATTCATGTGGAAAACATTACAAAATATCTTAAAACTTAATGAAATACAAAATTTCATAATGAAAATTTTCATCATCTTTGTAGGTGGTGGTTTTCATGCAATCTCACTGTCCTTTTAAGCAATATCTAGATCAACAGCCAAGTACACGGTAGGAAACCTATATTACACACACCTGTTGAGGAGGAGAGGTCTGCAGGTCCTGGGATGGATCCCAATGCTCCTATTCATTTTGCCTGCTGACTTGCTTATGCAGGGAATGGAGTTTCCGTGTGTCTGTTCAATTTTTTTATTGTGATGTTATCTTCAGTGATTATATATATAATTTATATATATAATATATATATTATATATAATTTATATATTATATATATAATTTATATATATAATATATATAATATATATTATATATATAATTTATATATATAATATATATAATATATATAATATATATAATTTTTATATATATAATATATATAATATATATAATTTATATATATATAATATATATATATATATAATTTTTTTTTCCTGTGAGAATTTTTCTTTCTTTTTTTTTTTGAGCTGGAGTCTTCGCTCTGTCGCCCAGGCTGGAGTGCAGTGGCACAATCTCGGCTCACTGCAAGCTCCACCTCCCAGGTTCACACCATTCTCCTGCCTCAGCCTCCTGAGTAGCTGGGACTACAGGCGCCTGCCACCACGCCCGGCTAATTTTTTTGTATTTTTTAGTTGAGACAGGGTTTCACCGTGTTAGCCAGGATGGTCTCGATCTCCTGACGTCGTGATCCACCCGCCTCATCCTCCCAAAGTGCTGGGATTACAGGCGTGAGACACCACGACCAGCCTTCTGTGAGAATTTTTCTATTTGCCTCTGTCATGCACTGCAAAGATATCTCCTGCCTGGGACCTAATGGATGTTAATCATGGAGATTTCCACAATTCGACAGGTGTAAATTCAGACTCCAAACCCATATGTGGCAAGCGGGATTCTAGCATGGCCCCAAGAGTCCTGCCCCTGGTATGAACTCCCTATAGAATTCCTTCCTCTTTAGTGTGTGCAGAATCAGTGACTATGATAGGATGTCACTCCTGTGATTGTCACAAGTCAGTTGACATTGAATTAATCAAGAGGGAGACTATCCAGGTTATCCTGGGTGGGCCTGGCCCAACCAGAGGAGCCTTTGAAAGAAGGTGAAGCTTCATGGAGACGTGGCCCAGAAGACAGCAGACTGTCGTGTTGCAGACTGCTTGTGGGTCTGATATGGTTTGGATCTGTGTTCCCACCCAAATCTCATGTGGAATTGTAATCCCCAGTGTTGGAGGTGGGGCCTGGTGGGAAGTGATTGGATCATGGGGGCAGTTTCTCATGGTTTGACACCATCCCTTTGTTGCTGTCTTCATGATAGTGGGTCCTCACCAGATCTAGTTGTTTAAAAGTGGATAGCACCTCCCCTCTCACCTCTTTTGCTCCTGCTCCAGCCATGTAAGACGACGTATCTGCTTCCCCTTCACCTTCTGCCCTGATTGTAAGTTTCCTGAGGCCTCCCCAAAGCCGAGCAGATGCCAGCATCATGCTTCCTGTACAGCCTGCAGTACCATGAGCCAATTAAACCCCTTTTCTTTATAAATGACCCAGCCTCCGGTATTTCTTTATAGCAGTCCCAGAGTAGATGCACACAGAGTCCATGTCGCGAGGACCAAGCATGGTCTCCAGAAGCTGAGACAAGTCCCAGGGTGGCCTACAGCCAGCAACAAAGTGGGGACCCGAGTCTTGGAACTGCAAGATAGAACTGAATCTTGCAACTTACAAACTGGGCAACCTGAATGAGCTTAGAGAGAACATGGAGCTCCAAATAAATGAACGGAAACTTGATTACAGCCTGGTGAGACCCTAAGCAGAGAGTTTTTTTTTTTTTTTTTTTACTGTGGAGTTTCGCTCTTATTGCCCAGGCTGGAGTACAATGGTGTGATCTTGGCTCACCACAACCTCCACCTCCTGGGTTCAAGCGATTCTCCTGCCTCAGCCTCCCAAGTAGCTGGAATTACAGGTGCATGCCACCACACCCTGCTAATTTTGTATTTTTAGTAGAGATGGGGTTTCTTCATGTTGTTCAGGCTGGTCTCGAACTCCCGACCTCAGGTGATCCACCCACCTCAGCCTCCCAAAGTGCTGGGATTACAGGCGTGAGCCACCGTGCCCAGCTGAGAGTCTTTTTAAGCTGTGCTTGGACTCCTGACCCACAGAAACTCTGAGATAATAAATTCGTCTGGCCTATGTCACCAAATTGTGGTGATTCACTGTGCTGCAATAGAAAACTGTACAGTGTGGGGCATAGGCTGGGCTTTGTTGCTTTCCCCTAGTCCTCAGGTGGAGACTTACTTCCTGGCCATCTCTCTGTGACAGTGGAGGGAGTTTCCACCACCCCGTTCCCTGAGGCTGCAGCCTCCAACCAGGGACTTCAGCGAGGACCCGCAGCCTTGTGAGGGCCTCAGCCACATCCCCTCGTCCAAGCCCCACTCTCAGTTGCAGTGCCTTTCCCTCACCACAGTCTTGGAGCTCCAGCACCCACCTTTCCAGCCTTGGAGGGTCTCCCTCCTGCCTCTGCCCTTCCAGCCCCGACACAGATCAGCTCAGTCCTGAGTACAGGCACTTAGAGTGTGGTGGCCACAATGGGGGCTTCCAAGTGTCCGCTTGGCCTTGCGCTGATCTGTGCTGGTCTCCCGCTCCCATCATCCCGGATCCTGGCGAGCAGGTCCCAGAGTGTTGGATGGGTGGATGGAGGGATGGATCCCATCTGTCAACCGCTGAAAAATCTTCCCTAGGCCATTTTTCCTGAGGGAAAGCAGATGGAAGAGGGAAGTCCTCTGATCTGAAGAAGTCCTGGTCTACCCCACTCCCAAATGGCCTGGGATGGGGCCTCATACCTGCCCGACGCCCTTCCTCTGAGTTCCCTGTGCTGAGGCCCCTTGGTTCCAGGGCCACAGTCTGGAGGTGTCTGCAATGGCAGCATCTGGGGCTCCAGCTTAGTCTGTACCGGCCCTCACCTGAGCCTCCTCCTGACCACGTGCTGGTAACGGTGGCTCCACTGGGTCATGTTGGGCCCAACGAATCATCCAGCCATGCAGAAAAGGAAGGGAAGCGGAGGAAGGGGACTGCCTCCAGACACTGCCCCAGCTTTTTGGGGCTCCTAGGCCAAGGGACCCAGGTTCAAATCACAGCTCATTAGTCTCTCAGAGTGCATTTCAAGGAGGATCTGAGTGTTGAGGCCTGGACTTTCTACACTTTGGAAGACCTTCTTTGAGGAAGCTGACTCTTTACAAAAGTGGCCATGACAATATTTATCCTTCTAGAACCTTGCCTAATCCCGTGAAGAAGTAAGAATTCCCTCCCCCTGTGTCTGGGGGAGACTTTGTGACTGCGGATTTGCCGGGTGACTCCTGAGGCTCAGTCAAAAATGATGACACTGCTTCCCATTGGCTTGGTTTTTTTAACTGGGACACTTGAACTTGAAGCCAGCCACCATGCTGTGAGGAAGCCCAGGCAACACAGAGAAGCCATGTGTGGGTGTCCTGGTTGACAGTCAAGTTCGGGTCCCAGCCAGCAGCCAGCAGCCAGCACCAACTTACTGATAGATAGGTCGGGAAGAGGCCTCCAGTTGGTCCCACCCCTGCCTTAGCATTTTTCACTTAAGACCCCAGACACACAGGAGCAAAGACAACCTGTAGCTGCCATGCTCACAGAAAACAGGGAGAGATAATAATCTATTATTATTGCTTTTTTAAAATTAAACTTTTTTATTTTGAGATAATTGTAGATTCAAATGCAGATATTAGTAGTAATACAGAGATTTTCATGTACCCTTCACCAGTTTCCCCCAATAATCACATCTTGCAAAACTGTAGTACAACATCACAATCAAGATATTGACATAGATTCATCAAGGCACAGCTATTTCCATCCCCATAAGGATCCCTTTTAATAGCCGCTCCATCTCCCTTTCCTCCCACCCTTTCCCTAACCCTGGCAACCACTAATCTGCTCTCCATTTTTATAATTTTATCATTTCAAAGATGTTACATAAATGGATTTAGACAGTATGTACCCGTTTGGAATTGACTTTTTTCACTCAGCATAATTCTCTTGAAATTTCATCCAAGTTGTTGTGTGTGTGTGAATGGTTTGTTCTTTTCATGACTGAGTATCCATAACATGGATGCTCCATAGTTTGTTTAGGCTTTCACTTATTGAAGAATATCTGGGCTGTTTCTACTTTGGGTCTATTACAAATAAAGCTGTTATGAACACTCATGCACAGGGCTGTGTGTAAAAATAAATTTTCATTTCTCCGAGATAAATGCCCAAGAGTGCAATTGCTGGGTCATATGGTAGCTGCATGTTTGGTTTTATAGGTAACTGCCAAACCGCATCCCAGAATGGCTGTGCCACTTTATATTCCCGCAGCAATAGATGAGTGATCCATTTTTCTATACATCTTCACCAGCATTTTTAAAATGTTGAATTGTGGTAAAATATATATAACATAAAATTTACCATCTTAGCCATTTATAAATGTACAGCTCAGTCATGTTAAGTACATTCACATTATTGTGCAGCCAGTTTCCAGAACTCTTTCCAAGTTGCATATCTGAAATTCTGTATCCATTAAACAACAACTCCTCATTCCCTCCTGCCCCCAGCCCCTGGCAACCGTCATTCTACTTCCTGTTGCTATGGATTTGACTACTCGAGGTACCTCATATAATTGGAATCTTACAGTGTTGTCCTGTTGTGACTGGCTAATTTCACTTATAGCATAATGTCTTCAAGATTCATTCCTCTTGTAGCATGTGTCAGAATTTTCTTCCTTTATTCCATCATATGGACATAGCACATTTTGTTTGTCCATTCATCTTGGACACTTGAGTTTCTTCCTCATTTTGGCTATTGTGAATAATACTGCTATGAGCATTGGTATACAAATAGTTCTTCAAAAAAAAAAATATATATATATATATATATATTTTAGACTGAGTTTCACTCTTGTCGCCCAGGCTGGAGTGCAACGGCACCATCTCAGCTCACTGCAACCTCCGCCTCCCGGGTTCAAGCAATTCTTCTGCCTTAGCCTCCCAAGTAGCTGGGATTACAGGTGCCCACCAGCATGCGCAGCTAATCATTGTAGTTTTAGTAGAGATGGGGTTTCACCATGTTGGCCAGGCTGGTCTTGAGCCCCTGACCTCAGGTGATCCACCCACCTTGGGGCCTCCCAAAGTGCTGGGATTACAGGTGTGAGCCACTGCGCCCAGCCCAAACAGGTATATTTTTACTTCTTCTTTTCCAATTTGGACATCTTTTCTTTTTCTTGTCTAATTTATCTGGCTAAGATTTCTAGTATTATGTTCAATAGAAATCCTGTTCCTGATCTTAGTGCAAAAGCTTTTAGTCTTTCACCATTGAGTATTATGTTTGCCTATGAGTATTTCATATATGCTTTTTTAAAAAATTTAATCTAATTTTATTTTTTTTGAGAGAGTCTTACTGTATCACCCAGGCTGGAGTGCAGTGGCATGATCTTGACTCACTGCAACCTCCACCTCCTGGGTTCAGGTGAGTCTCGTGTTTTATCCTACCAAGTAGCTGGGATTACAGGCGTGTGCTACCACGCCTGGCTAATTTTTGTATTTTTAGTAGAGACAGGGTTTTGCCATATTGGCCAGGCTGGTCTCGAACTCCTGGCCTCAAGTGATCCACCTGCCTCAGCCTCCCAGAGTGCTGGGATTACAGGCATGATATATATATATATGGCTTTTATTATGTTGAGGTAGTTCCCTTATATTCCTACTTTGTTGAGTGTTTTTCTCATGAAAGGGTGCTGACTTTTGTCAAATTCAACAAAAATTGAGATGTTTTCTGGATCAATTGCAATAATCCTGTGGTTATTTCCTTCATTCTATTGATGTGATGTAAAATGAAAAAACATTGATTGATTTTTATATATTGAACTATCTTTGCATTCCAGGAATAAATCCCACTTGAACAAGATGTATAATTCTTTTAATATGCTGTTGAATTCTGTTGACTAGTATTTTGTTAAGGATTTTAGCATTAGTATTCATTGGAGATATTGATCTGTTGTTTTCTTTCCTTTTAGTGTCTCTGTCTGGTTTTGGTATCAAAGTAATACCACTTAGAATGAGTTAAAGTGTGTTTCTTCCTTTTTAATTTATTGGGGAGTATGTGCGGAGGATTGGTGTTAATTCATTACTTAAATTCTTGGTAGAATACATCTGGTCCAGGGCTCTTTTTTTGTTAGAAGCTTTTTTGTTATTAATTCATTCTCCTTGATGGATATAGGTTTGTTCAGCTTTTCTATTTCTTCATGAATCAGTCTTGCAGATCATGTGTTTCTAGGAATTTACCCATTTCATCTAGGTTATCCAATTTGTTGAGAGTCGTTCATAGTATTCTCTTACAATCCTTTTTTATTTCTGCAAAATCAGTTTTAATGTACCCTCTGTCATTTCTGATTTTAGTTATTTAAGTCTTCTCTTTTTTTCTTATGCAATCCAGCTAAATATTTGCTGATTTTGTTGATCTTTTCCAATAACCAACTTTAGTTTCATTGATTTTCTCTATTGTTTTTCTATTCTCTATTTATCTCTTCACTAATCTTTATTATTTCCTTCCTTCTACTACCTTTGAGTTTAGTTTGTTTTTCCTCTCCTAGTTCCTTAAGGTATAAGTTAGATTGTTGATTTGAGATCTTTCTTCTTTTCTACTCTAAGCATTTACAGCTATAATTTTTCCTCTTACCACTGCTTTTGCTGCACCCACAGTTTTGACATGTCATGTTTTGTTTTTATTTTTCTCAAGATATTTTCTAATTTCAGTTGTGGTTTCTTCTTTGACCCATTGGTTATTTAAAGTGTGTTATTTATTTCTCACATACAAATTTCCACATTTGTGTTTTTTTCAGTTTTCCTTCTGCTATTGATCTCTAGTTTCATTCAATTGTGATCAGAAAAGTTAAGTTGTATGATTTCAAACTTTTAAAATTTATTAAGACTTGTTTTGTGTCCTAATATATGATCTACCCTAGAGAATGTTCCATGTGCACTAGAGAAAAATGTGTATTCTGCTCTTGTTAGGTGTAGTGTTCTATATATATCTGTCAGATCAATTGGTCTATACTGTTGTTCAAGTCCTCTGTTTTCTCAATGATTTTATATGCAGTTGTTCTATTCATGTATTAGTCTGTTCTTGCATTGCTATAAAGAAATACCTGGAATTGGATAATTTATATATGAAAGAGGTTTAATTGGCTCATGGTTCTGCAGGCTGTACAGGAAGTATGACAGCTTCTGGGGAGGCCTCAGGAAACTTTCACTCATGGTGGAAGATGAAGAAGAAGCAGGCACATCTTACATGGCTGGAACAGGGGAAAGAAAAGAGTGGGGAGGTGCTACACACTTTTAAACAACCAGATCTCATGAGAACTCTATCATGAGATAGCACTAGGGTGATGATGTTAAACCATGAGAAGTCACCTTCATGATCCAATCACTTCCCACCAGGCCCCACCCACAACACTGAGAATTGCAATTCAACATGAAATTTGGGTGGGGACACAGATCCAAACCATACCAATCCATAAGTGAAAAATAGTACTAAAATATCCAACTATTATTGTAGAGCTGTCTATTTCTCCCTTCAATTCATCAATATTTCCTTCATAGATTTAGGAGATCTGATATTTGGTGCATATATGTTCATAATTGTTACATCTTCTTGAAGAATTGATCTTTTTATCATTATACAATGTCCTTAGACCTTAAACTATAAATATCCCATAAGAGACTCTAGAAAATATCCTTCTAGACATTGGCCTAGGCAAAGACTTTATTACTAAGTCCTCAAAAGCAAATACAACAAAAACAAAAATTGACAATTGGGACCTAGTTAAACTAAAAATCTTCTGCACATCAAAATAAACTGTCAACAGAGTAAATAGACAACCTACAGAATGAGAGAAAGTATTTACAAACTATGTACCCAACAAAGGACTGATATCCAGAATCTGCAAGAGAGTTAAACAAATTAACAAAAATAAATAAATAGCACCATTTAAAAGTGGGCAAAAAACATGAAAGACAGTTTCAAAAAAAGACAGAGAAGCATCTGAGAAACATATGGAAAAAATGCTCAACATCACTAATTATGAGAGAGATGCAAGTCAAAACCACAGTGAGATATCATCCCATACCAGTCAGAATGGCTATTATTAAAAAGTCAAAAAATAACAGATGTTGGTGAGATACTGGAGAAAAGTGTATGCTTATACACTGTTGATGGAAATGCAAATTAGTTCAGCACCTGTGGAAAGCAGTTTGTAGATTTCCTAAAGAACTAAAAGTAGAATTACCATTCAACCCAGCAATCCCATTACCCAGGTATATATCCAAAGGAAAATAAATCATTCTACCAAAAAGACACCCGCACTCATATGTTTATCACAGTACTATTTATTCACAATAGCAAAGACATGGAATTAATCCAGGTGCCCATCAATAGTGGATTGAATAAAGAAAATGTGGTACATATACATCACGGAATACTATGCAGCCATAAAAAATAACAAAATTATGCCCTTTGCAGCAACATGGATGCAGCTGGAGGCCATTAATCTAAGCAAATTAACGTAGAAGCAGAAAACCAAATACCTCATGTTCTCACTTGTAAGTGGGAACTAAACATTGGGTACACATGGACACAAAGATAGGAACGATAAACACTGGGGATTCCAAAACGGGGAGAGAGAGGGAAGGAGACGGGAAAGGGTTGAAAAACTACCTGTTGAGTACTATGTTCACCACTTAAGTGATGAAATCATTAGAAGCCCAAACCTAGATTAGAGCATCACGCAATATACTGATGTAACAAACCTGTACATGTTCCTCAACCCCAAAATTTTAAAAAAAATGTAAAAATCTGTCCTTGTGTACAATATGATCAGTGATGTGTGCAGGTGCAGGTAAACGTACATCTTTCATGCCTATAGTATTCGCATATGACTTTATACAAATGTTTGGATCTGCGTTGCAAGTGGAATAAACCCCTTCAAAAATTTTTTTTAGTTGGTTGCTGCAGTTTCTTAACTGGTTTCTAGAGTTCTCACAAAGCTATTTTTGTGCAGTGTTGTTATTTATTCAGTGTTTCCTTGGGGGATCCTGGAGCTTCCTAAACTGCCATCCCGCTTGTCATTAGTTTTTATTTTAAATATTCTGATAGCTGTATAGTGCTATCTCAAAGTGGATTTAATTTGCATTTCTCAAATGGTTACTGATGTTGAATGATGTTTTTATATGCTTATCTGCCATCCCTTTGCTCTCTTTCAGTGAATTGTCTGTTCATGTCTTTTGCCCATTATCTAATTGGATTTTTGCTTGGTTTTGCTTTATACTGTCAAATATAATATTTCTTTATGTATTCTAAATACAATTTTTTGGGTCAAATACATATTAGCAAAGATTTACTCCAAGTCTATAAATTGCCTTTTTATCTGAACTGTGTATTTTGTCAAACAAAAGTTTTTTCTTTTCATGAGGTCTAATTTTTCAGTTTTTCCTTTTGTCAATTGTGTTTTTGGTTTAAAATCTGTAACTCTATCCATAGCCCTAGCCCATAATCCATTTTGAGATAATTTTTTAACGAATTGTGAGGTTTAGGTTAAGGTGTTTCTTTGTTTTATCTTTGTTTGATTTTGACAGACATGGTCTCACTCTGTTACCCTGGCTGGAGTTCAGTGGTGCAATCATAGCTCACTGCAACCTCAACCTCCTGGGCTCAAGGGATCCTCCTGCCTCAGCCTCCCAAGTAGCTAGGACTACAGGTATGCACCAACATGCCTGGCTAACTTTTATTTTTATTTTTTGTAGAGATGAAGTCTTGCTATATTGCCTAGGCTGGTCTGGAACTCCTGGCCTCAAGTGAGCCTCCTGCCCTGGCCTCTCAGAGGACTGGGATTATAGGCATAAGCCACCATGCCCAGGCAACACTATTTGTTGAAAAGGCTTTCCTTCCATTGAGTTACTTTTGCACCTTTAAAAATATCAGCTAGGCATATTTGTGTAGGTCTACTTCCGGGTTCTCTAGTATTTTCCACTTATCTATGTGTCTATTCCTCCAACAATACCACACTCTCTTGATTGCCTTAGCTATGTGATATTCATTGTTTTATACGTGTGTGTGATTGTATGTGTGTGTGTATTAAGAGGCAGGGTCTTGCTCTGTTTTCCAGGCTGTAGTGCAGTGATGGGATCATAGCTCACTGCAGCCTCAAACTTCTGGGCTCAAGAAAACCTCCCACCTCAGCCTTTCGGGTAGCTAGGACTACAGGCATGTACCACCAGTAATTTTATATATATAAAATTTTGTAGAGACAAGGTCTCACTATATTGCCCAGGCTGGTCTTATACTCCTGGCCTCAAGCGATCCTCCCATCTCGGCCTCCCAAAGCACTAGGATTACTGGCATGATCCACAACATTTGGCAGGCCTGTGTTTTTTCATATAACTTTTCGAATAAATTTGTCTATGTCTACAAAAAAAAATTTTTTGGAATTTTTGTAGAAATTGCATTAAACTTGGTTGGTGCAAATGTAATTGCAGTTTTGCCATTACTTTTATTTTTTATTTTTTTTTAATTTTTTAGTATTTATTGATCATTCTTGGGTGTTTCTCGGAGAGGGGGATTTGGCAGGGTCATAGGACAATAGCGGAGGGAAGGTCAGCAGATAAACATGTGAACAAGGGTCTCTGGTTTTCCTAGGCAGAGGACCCTGTCGCCTTCCGCAGTGTTTGTGTCCCTGGGAACTTGCGATTAGGGAGTGGTGATGACTCTTAACCAGCATGCTACCTTCAAGCATCTGTTTAACAAAGCGCATCTTGCACCGGCCTTAATCCATTTAACCCTTCGTGGACACAGCACATGTTTCAGAGAGCACGAGGTTGGGGGTAAGGTTATAGATTAACAGCATCCCAAGGCAGTAGAATTTTTCTTAGTACAGAACAAAATGGAGTCTCCTATGTCTACTTCTTTCTACACAGACACAGTAACAATCTGATCTCTCTTTCTTTTCCCCACATTTCCCCCTTTTCTATTCGACAAAACCGCCATCGTCATCATGGCCCGTTCTCAATGAGCTGTTGGGTACACCTCCCAGACGGGGTGGCGGCTGGGCAGAGGGGCTCCTCACTTCCCAGAAGGGGCGGCCAGGCAGAGGCGCCCCCCATCTCCCGGATGGGGCGGCTGGCCGGGCGGGGGCTGCCCCCCACCTCCCGGACAGGTGGCTGCCGGGCGGAGACGCTCCTCACTTCCCAGACAGGGCGGCTGCCGGGCAGAGGGGCTCCTCACTTCTCAGACGGGGCGGCCGGTCAGAGACGCTCCTCACCTCCCAGACGGGGTGGCGGCGGGGCAGAGACACTCCTCAGTTCCCAGACGGGGTCGCGGCGGGGCAGAGGCGCTCTTCACATCTCAGACAGGGCGGCGGGGCAGAGGCGCTCCCCACATCCCAGACGATGGGCGGCCAGGCAGAGACGCTCCTCACTTCCTAGACGGGATGACGGCCGGGAAGAGGTGCTCCTCACTTCCCAGACTGGGCGGCCGGGCAGAGGGGCTCCTCACATCCCAGACTATGGGCGGCCAGGCAGAGACGCTCCTCACTTCCTAGAGGGGGTGGTTGCTGGGCAGAGGCTGCAATCTCGGCACTTTGGGAGGCCAAGGCAGGCGGCTGGGAGGTGGAGGTTGTAGCGAGCCGAGATCACGCCACTGCACTCCAGCCTGGGCAACACTGAGCACTGAGTGAGCGAGACTCCGTCTGCAATCCCGGCACCTCGGGAGGCCGAGGCTGGCAGATCACTCACGTCAGGAGCTGGAGACAAGCCCGGCCAACACAGCGAAACCCCGTCTCCACCAAAAAATACGAAAACCAGTCAGGAATGGCGGCGCGCGCCTGCAATCCCAGGCACTCGGCAGGCTGAGGTAGGAGAATCAGGCAGGGAGGTTGCAGTGAGTCGAGATGGCGGCAGTACAGTCCAGCCTCGGCTCGGCATCAGAGGGAGACCGTGCAGAGGGAGACGGAGACAAGAGGGAGGGGGAGGGGGAGGGAGAGGAGGAGGGAGAGCTTGCCATTACTTTTAATGGTAAAAATCGCAATTATGTTTGCACCAACCTAATAGATCAACCTAATAGATCAATAGTTCATCTTTACTATGTTGAGTCCTCCAATCCATAAACATGATGTCTCTTTACTGACTTAGGGCTCCTTTGATTTATTTCATCAGCATTTTATAAATTTCAGCCTAGAGATTCTGCATGTATTTTGTTAAATTCATACACATGTATTTCACTTTTGTTGTAAATGGTATTGTGCTTCTCATTTCGGTTTCTACATGTTAGCATATAGAAATGGGATTGGTTTTTGTGTTTTGATCTTGTATCCTGAAAACCAGCTGAACTCACTTCTTAGTTCTGGGAGTTTTTTTTTAATTACCTGAGATTTTACGTAGACAATCACGTCATTTGCAAATAGGAGTGGTTTTTATTTCTTTCCTTTCCCTATGAATGCATTGTACTGCATTTTCTTGCCTATTGCCTTACTGAAGCAGCTAGAGCTTCCAGTACCATACTGAATAAGAGTGGTGAGAACAGCTTACATGCCTTCTTCCCAATCTTGGGGGGAAAGCATTCAGTTTATCACCATTAAGTATGATGTTAGCTGTAGGGTTTTTGTAGATTATATTGATTGATTTCAAATGTCGAATCAGGCTTGCAACTCTGGATTAAATCCCACTTGGTGATGGTATATAATTCTTTTTATACTTTGTTGGAGTTAATTTTCTAAGATTTTTGCATCTAAGCTCATGAGAGATATTGGTCTATGGTCTTTGATATTGTTTGGCTCTGTGTCCCTACCCAAATCTCATGTTGAATTGTAATCCCCAGTGTTAAAAGAAGGGCCTGGTGGGAGGTGATTAAATCATAAGGGTGGTTTCTAATGGTTTAACACCATATCCCTAGTGCTGTCTCATGATAGAGTTCTCATGAGATCTGATTGTTTGAAAGTGTATAGCATTTCCCCCTTCACTTGCTCTCTCTTCTGCTGGCCATGTGAAGATAAGCCTTTTTCCACTTCACCTTCCACCATGATTATAAGTTTTCTAAGGCTTCCCCAGAAGTAGAAGCCTGTACAGCCCACAGAACTGTGAGCCAATTAAACATCTTTTCTTTATAATTTACAAAGTCTCAGGTTTGTCTTTATATCATGTGAAAGCGGATTAATACAATCTTCTTTCTTTGTATTGTCTTTGTCTAGCTTTGCCATCAGGTAATTCTGGCATGGTGGCTCATTTCTGTAATCCCAGAACTTTGGGAGGCCAAGGCTAAGGAATGCTTGAGGGCAGGAGTTTGAGATCAGCCTGGGCAACACAGTGAGGCTCCATCTCTACCAAATATATATATTCTCACTCTCTAACATATATATATATACACATGTATGTGTGTGTGTGTGTGTGTATATGTATATGTGTATGCATGTATATATATATAGAGAGAGAGAGAGAGTAAAATTTCTGTATTTGTGTTAATTATTTTTAAATGTTTGGTAAGATACTCCAATAAGACTGTTGGACCTAGAGATTTCTTTTCTGAGTGTTTTTGAATTACAAATTCAATTTATTTAATGGTTATAGTTCTATTCAGATTATCTATTCCATCATAGTGAGTGTGGTGTTTGTGAATTTCAAGGAATTAGTCTATCTTTTCTAAGTTGTTGAATTTGTGAACACGAAGTTGTTTATAATATTTCCTTATTACCATTTTAATGGGCCAAGTATGTGTAGCAATATTTTCTTATTTATTTATTTAGCTGAAAAAAGTGTGCATGATATAGTGATATTTTCTATTTCATTCCTGTTATTGGTGATTTGTGTCTTCATTCTTTTTATATTTATTGGTTTTGCTAGAGGTTTATCAATTCTATGGATTTTTTAAGAACAGGTTTTTTGTTTTATTGATTTCATTTTTTGTTTTCAATTAATGGATTTCTGCACTTGTTAGTTTCTTTCTTCGGCTTGCTTTGGTTTTATCTTGCTATTTTCTCTGTACATTTTTGAAACAAGATCTCAGAGTATTATATTGAAAGTTTTTCTATTTTCTACTGTAAGCATTTAGTGGTTTAAATTTCCTTCTCAACATTGCTTTATCTGCAGTCCATAAATCTTATATGTTGTGTTTTTATTTTTATTAAGTTCCATGTATTTCTTCCTTTGAGACTTCCTTTGATTCATAGATTACTTAAATGTTTGTTGTTTAATTCCCAAGTGTTTAGAAATTTTCTTGTTATGTTACTGTAATTTTTAGTCTATTTCAATTATAGTCAGAGAACACACTTTGCATTATTTCAATTTTTAAAAATTTGTTGTTCTGATGCAGTGGTTCATGCCTGTCATTGCAGCACTTTGGGAGGCAGAGGTAGGAGGATTGCTCAAGGCCAGGAGTTCGAGATCAGTCTGGACGGTATAGCAAGACCTGTCTCTATATAACAATTTTAAAAATTAGCCAGACATGGTAGTACACACCTAAAGTCCTAACTATTCGGGAGGCTGAGGTGGGAAGAATGCTTGGGTCTGGGAGTTTGAGGTTACAGTTCAGCCTGGACAACAGAGGGACTCTGTCTCAAAAAAATTTTTTTTGTTGATATCTGTTTTGTGGCCCAGGATACAGTCACTCCTGTTGAATGTTTCATAGGTGCTTGAGAAAAAATTATATTGTACTGTTTTGGGGTAGAGTGTTCTATATTTGTTCATTAGATCCTGTTGGCAAATCATTTTGTTCAGATCTTCTGTATTCTTGCTTAGTTTCTGTACAGTAGTTCTTTTGGTTGCTGACAGGGAGGTGTTAAAGTCTCTAGCTACAACTATAGACTTGCCTATTTCTTTCTTTCTTTTTTTTTTTTTTTTCAAGATGGAGTCTTGCTCTGTCACCCAGGCTGGAGTGCAGTGGCGTGATCTCAGCTCACTGCAACCTCTGCTTCCCAGGTTCAAGGAATTCTTCTGTCTCAGCCTCCCAAGTAGCTGGAATTACAGGTGCCAGCCACCACACCCAACTAAGTTTTGTATTTTTAGTAGAGACAGGGTTTCACCATGTTGGCCAGGCTAGTCTCTAACTCCTGACCTTGTGATTTGCCCACCTCAGCCTCCCAAAGTGCTGGGATTACAGGTGTGAGCCACCACTCTCAGCCTACTTGCCTATTTCTTTATTTTCTCTCTGTTAATCAGATTGGGTAAATTCTATTGATCTGTCCTAAAGTTCTGATTCTATCCTCTGTTGTGTCCACTTCACTATTTAGTCCATCCAGTGAATTTTTATTTCTTTTGTTGTATTTTTCAGTTCTATAATTAGTTCTTTTTTAATAACTTCTATTACTTTGCTTAGATTTTCCTTTTTTCATTTATTTCAAGAGAATTTGTAGTTAATCATTGAATCACTTTTATGATTGTTTTTAAAGTTTTGTCAAATTGACCAGGCGTGGTGGCTCATACCTGTAATCCCAGCACTTTGGGAGGCAGAGGCAGGCAGATCACTAGAAGTCAGGAGTTTGAGATCAGTCTGGCCAACATGGCGAAACCCCATCTCTACTAAAAATATGAAAAAATTTAGCCAGGCATGGTGGTTCATGCCTGTAATCCCAGCTACTGGGGAGGCTGAGGCAGAAGAATCATTTGAATCCAGGAAGTGGAGGTTGCAGTGAGCCAAGATTGTGCCACCGCACTCCAGCCTGGGTGACAGAGTGAGACTCTGTCTCAAAAGAACTAAAACAAAATAAGATAAAATAATTGTTTTATTAAATAATTCCAACATCTGATTCATCTCACTGTGGGTATCAGTTTGTCGCTTTTCTCATTTAAGTTGCAATTTTTCTGGTTGTTGATATGACAGATGACTTTCTATTGTGGCCTGGAATTTTGAGTCTTAGATTAGGAAATTCCAGGTCTTATTTAAACTTTTTATTTTAGTAGGCAACTACCCTGTTTAGGTTTAGCAATGCAGGTGTGACCTACTTTTGTGGGCTGTGGTTGCAATAACATCTAATTTTCAGAGACTTTGCTGTGCTTTTTTAGACTGCTTGATTTTTCTCATGAGCCTGGGGCTCCTACTGGTCCCTGCAGGTACTGATTGAGGGAGCAGAAGGAATTTCCTCAGACATGCTCCCTGGTGCTTCCTAGGTGAAGGAAGTGTGTCTCCAGCCACAGAGGGGAAGAGTGCTTCCTAGGCTAGGTACTTGTTGCAGTGAGGGCACTTCCTCCTTGATAATGCCACCCATTGCCTGGTATATTTATCTCAGCATCAGTCTCAAGGGAGGGAAGAGAGTCACAGTCTTGCAGAGACAAAGAAGTTTCCCAGGCTGGGTGCTTGTTACGGTGGGATCCTCTTTGCTGACCCCCGTGACCCACAGGCTGCATGGTTTCTGCGCTGAGGAATGGAATCTCAGACCTGACAGGGCAGGAGAGCGCGTCCCCTGGCAGCAGAGGGTCTGCTGGGCTTGTGATGGATCTCCCCGGCCAGTTCTGCTGGGCTCGCCTGGTGTTGTCAGTGGGACTCCAGCTCCCACTATGGGAGAAATGAGCCAACCCTGGCCACCTAATCCTGGTGGCAGGAAACACTAGGCCTGGGTCATTGTTTTATACCTGGGAAGGAGTTGTAAGGTGCCCACCTCTATGCTGTTTATCCAGTCCTGTGGCCCAACCAGTTTGCCTTCATCTTACAGCCTTTCCAAGTGCTCGTTTGGTTGTCTTTTGTGTTATTTCCAGGGTGTATCTAGTTGGGAGAAGCAAGAGGAAACAAGTTTAAACTATCTTATCTAGACAGGAAATCCAGCTCTGATTATTATTGTTTGAAGCCACTAAATTAGGGGGCAATTCGTTACACAGCCAGAGTAACTGGAACACTCTTTAATAAAAAATATCAAAATATCCTACTTTTGTAAATACATGAAACAAAACCGTGCAAGAATGTTGCTAGAGCCATTTCCAGGGTGGAAAGTTCCTGGGCAGGTGAAGGTCCCTGAGAGGAAACTCCGTCGGCTTCTTGATGGACCTGCACTGTCTGCGGCTTGTGTTTGAACAGCAGCAGTGAGCCATTCTGCCTGGGCCTTTGTGGGGACTCAGAGGTAAAATATAGAAAGCCCAGCACGTGGGTGGTGCTTGGCAAATTACTTCCTTCTCTTTTGCTCTATGCAGTTTTTAAGTTTCTCAGTTACATCTGTAATTAAGTATTTTTTATCCACAGAGTACATTTTTACTACTCTCAAGTAATTCCCTATTTTCATTAAGTCCCAAATTAAGCTGAGATCAATATCCCTGAGTGTGAAGGATCAGGGTCATTTGCAGTCCATGTGGCATGTTCCTAGTGCACATTATATCCTATGGGGGTGGCCTCTTGTGAAGTTTTTCTCATATTTGGTCAAGCAAACCCCCATGAGGATCATACTTTGGAGCCTCAATTGACAGTATATAAGAAAAAAATTGCAGAATGGTGAGATAACAAGTGAGGTGCTTTTCTCAGTGCCTGGAAGCCTGGCGGTGAGCAGTCCAGGACACAGACAGGGGCTCTGTAACACCTCCAGGGCCAGGCTCCACAGCTCTGCACCTCACCCTGTCTGGAAAATGGTTTTCATTCTCCTGCTTGAAAATAGGCTCCTCCTGTGGCACTGGATTGAGTCTGAGCTCCAGGCAGGAAAGGAAGACGGAGAGGGAAGTAACAAGGAGGATGAAGGCCACCTCACCAGGAGTGTAGGAGAGTCCCCCAGCAGGACACATCCTCCCACACCTCCCTGAAAGGGAAATGGGCACATGTTTCTCCAAACAGAAGCTCCCAGGGCGGGGAGTGGGGGAGGAAGGCTGGGAAGGTCACTGTGCTTGTGCTACTGACTCTGACAGTATCCTGTAGGGCGTAATGACTCAGCCAGTCCTGAATCCTCCTGGCCAAGGTATCATCCAGCTTCTTGCTACTCAAAAGTGTGGTTTGAGGACCACAGCATAACATCCCCTAGGAGTTCACTAGAAACTGGGTGTTAACAAGATCCCCAGGAGACTCACATGCACATTACAGATTGGAGTGCACTGGCCTGCTGCGCCACTTTGTCTTCTAAAAGACGTGATGAGGTCATGCAGTGCCAGGCTCCACACAGATTGCAGATTGGAAGCACTCTGTTCTGGCTGCCTCAGTCTCCTGGAGTCTACACTGGTTCTGATTATGGCCACCTGAATCTGCCTTGTTGGAGCAGTAGGAGGCAGACGTTAGTTAGAGGATATTGATACAGACAGTAGGGTATAGATGGTGCAGTATAGGCAGTGGGATATAGATATGCAGGTAGTAGATGCAGACATTAGGATGCAGGTAGTAGCTGTGGACAGTAGAGTGTAGGTACTTGGATATAGGGGCCAGGCAACATGGCTCACGCCTGTAATCCCTGCACTTTGGGAAGCCTAGGCAGGCGGATCATGAGGTCAGGAGTTCAAGACCAGTGAACTCCGTGAAACCCCGTCTGTACTAAAAATACAAAAATTATCTGGGCATGGTTGTGCACGCCTGTAGTCCCAGCTACTCAGGAGGCTGAGGCAGGAGAATTGCTTGAACCCGGGAGGTGGGGGTTGCAATGAGCTGAGATCATGCCACTGCACTCCAGCCTGGGCAACAGAGCAAGACTCTGTCTCAAAAAAAAAAAAAAAAAGATGTTAGATATAGGTAGCAACCTAATAACACCATATCTACTATCCCTACTGTAGACAATAGGGTATAGACATTAGGACACAGGGAGTAGGTACAGGCAGTAGATTGTAGATATTAAGATACAGGTAGTAGATACAGATGGTAGAGTATAGACATTAGGATACAGGTATCCTAATTAGTATTAGTATACAGGTAGTATACTAACACTGTATCTACTAACACTATCCCTGCTATAGACAATAGGGTATAGACATTAGCACACAGGTAGTAGGTATAGACAGTAGAGTGTAGACATTAGCACACAGGTAGTAGGTATAGACAGTAGAGTGTAGACATTAGCACACAGGTAGTAGGTGTAGACGGTAGGGTGTAGACATTAGGATGCAAGCAGTTAGTATAGACGTAGAGCATAGACATTAGGACACAGGTAGTAGGCATAGAAAGTATACACATTAACGCAGGTCATAGGTGTAGACAGTAAGGTGTTTGTTGATGGTGGGCCATGGGCAGACAAAGTGTAGACAGTATAGTACAGAGAGTAGCTGTAGACAGTAGGGTGTCACTGTGGGGTGGTTATGAAGGCCCACAGGGATGGGGTGAATACGGAGAACACAGCATGCCAAATCTCTGCTATTTTACCCTCGTCACATTTTAAATTCAGGATTATAAATTAAATTATTAATAATTCAGTAACAAAACAAATGGTGCTTCTCTGCACACTGTTGTATGTATTTGCCTTCTTTCCCTTTTATGTAACCTGCTGAATAAGCTGGGTGTGTTGTATAGTGCGTTGCATAGCTGGTTCATTGTCCAGAGCTATATTGGCCAAGACCATAACCAAAGCCTGCTTTCTGGATTAGTATCAATGCCGGAGTGGAAGATCTGTGGGCCTTACTGATTAATATAAAGATTTCAGTGGCCGGGTGTGGTGGCTCACACCTGTAATCCTAGCACTTTGGGAGGTCAAGGCGGGTGGAACACCTGAGGTCAGGAGTTCGAGACCAGCCTGGCCAACACGGCGAAACCCGGTTTCTAGTAAAAATACAAAAATTAGCCAGGCGTGGTGGCACACGCCTGTAATCCCAGCTACTAGGGAGGCTGAGGCAGGAGAATCACTTGAGCCTGGGGGACGGAGATTGCAGTGCGCTGAGATCACACCACTGCACTCCAGCCTGGGCGAAAGGGCGAAATTCTGTCTCAAAAAAAAAGAAAAAGAGATTTTCAGAACCCAGATCTTCTTCCTCTTGCTCCTCAAAGTCACCCCCACTTAGGCCCTGATGCTTTGAGTGAGGGGCCCATTTCAGGAACTGGAACTCACAATCCTTGTGCTGGCTGCAACCCAGGGTCCTGTTGGAGCAAGAAGAGCCCAGGACAGGTGGGAGCCAACCCTGTCCAGTGTTGACATCATCCAGAGATGACATCATATGATACGGTATGGTATGGCATGGCATGATATGGCATGATACGGTATGATATGATATGACACAGTATGATGATATGACACAATACGACGATATGACAATGATTAAACCTTGGTGCCAAGACCTACAGCCTCCTCAGTGAGCTTTTCCAAGCCTCTCAGCAGAGAGGGCGGTACCCCACCAGCTCCTCCAGGCCTGGTGGTGCCAGTCAGGCATGGGAGGCAGGGCTCGCTGGCTGGGGGCCAGGATGGACCTTGCCTCCAATCCCAGGGTGACTCCCGGTTGCTGTGGAGGGGAGATTAAGAGGTCACTTTGGTGGCCCACCAGAAAATGACCACACTTCGGTCACTCCTTGGGACACCCAAGTGGCAGCTCTGCTCTTAGCCACCTACGGTGGGGTTTCTTTTCACTCTTCCTCTCTCGGTTTTATGCTTTCAAAAATTTGATGACATTTCTGGAGTTCTGAGTTTTGGAGTTTCATGGGATTTACAGCCATGCATGAGTTCTTGGATGCATTAAACAAAATGAGTCTGTTGGGGTCGTTTCTTCTCTAAAATGCTCATCTCAAGAAATCTTCCAGGATTTTATTTTCACATCTAATGAAGAACAATGGGCAATGTTTCAACAATCAGATTTTCAAAAGAGTTCACTCAAATTATGCTGCGTCTTTCAAATGAGCTCTTCCACTCTCTTCTTTTGGGGAGAACACAATTACTAGATTCTGTCAGAGTTAAAAGTGGGTATTTTGTGGTTTCCATACAACGAGTGTGGTTTTATTATTATTTTTAACTATGCAAGCCTCAAGAAAAATCAGAAGCAGGGAGAGATGACTGAGCCACGACTGGTCACTGCAAGCGTCACGAGGCAGCAAGAAGACCCTATGCTTCCTGACTCCGTGGGGCCTTTAGCTTCCACTTCCTTCACTGGCTCTAGAGAGACCCCTCAGAGACAAGGACCACCTTTCAGACCCCTCTGTCCATTTTACAGCACTAACGGTGTGCAGGCCTATGACAGGGGCCCATGGTGGTGGAGTATGAGGCTTGGTTACCATTTGTCAAAACAATATCGAGTGCATGTATGCACGGCATCAAATTCACCCTGTCCTGGCGACCACCACAGCCCCCAGCCCCTATGAGTACACACAGGTAGCTTCTCCCTGAAGCAAGTGAAGCTCAAACTTGATGTGCAACCCCAGCCCTGCCAAGGCTTTGCACCTAATTACGCATTTGTAAGTTTGTGTTCATTTTCTTCAAGAGGGTCACCCAATTGCACAGGATTCATGCCTGGCTAAACCTGGATCTGCTTTTAGTGTGCACCCAGAAGGCCCAGAAGCACAGGGAAAGAGGTGGCGATAAGCAGCAGTCCCTGCCAGGAGCCAATCAGTTACAGACCTGGATGGCACTGAAACTGACCCTGGGACCCCATGTGCCCTGGCTCTCAGCCTCAGTGTGGGCAGGAGAAAGGGGATGAGCCCACTGATCAAGCACTGTGACAAATGATCCTTGCAGCACTCCCAGACATGGGTGAGAAAGTGAGAGAAGAGTGGGAGGGGGTGGCCTAGAATGGCTCAGCAACAGCAAACCAGACCCTAAAATCCTGCCCGGGACTTTCCCACTGCACCAGGTGTCCACCTAAGTGGCAGCCCAGGGTCCTGGCAGGAGGCCTGGGAGGAAGACCTGGCATGGCAGCTGTCCTTATTTCCTTGTTCCCTGCAAGAGAAGGAGGAGTGCACTGCATTCACAGTCCTTCCCACACACCATGGTGTTGGAGAGCAAAGGACACAGCAGCCTCAGATGAGGGCCACTATTAGCATGAAAATTTATATGACATGGTATGACATGACGTGATGAGATGAGAGATGAGATCATATGATACAGTATGGTATGACATGGTATGGCATGGCATGATGTGGCATGATATGGTCTGATATGATATGACAGTATGATGATATGATACAATATGATGATATGACATGATATATGACATAATATGATGTGACATGATGTGATATGACATGATATGATATGACATGGTGATATGACATGATATGATATGACATGGTGATATGACATGATATATAATATGGTATGATATGTTCTGACATGATATGATATGACACAATATGATATGATGTGATATGACATGATATGATGATATGATACTCTTGAACATAGAGTGTTTGGATGATCGCAAAGTCAGGCCCACGAGGCCCCTTCTCGAGGGATTCACCTCAGGTGTTAATTGGCCCCACAAACAGATCTGGAATTGAGTGGGAGAAGAGGGGTGTGCTTGCCCTCCCGCCTAGCACTGGCTCTTCTGTTGGATGTTGTTATGGGCTGAATGGCATCCCCTCCTGAAGTTCTTTGTTGAAATCCTAACTCCCATACCTCAGAACGTGACCTTATTTGGACATTGGGTCTTCACAGAGGCCCTCAAATTAAGACGAGGTCACTGGGGTAGGCCCTCATCCAGCATGACAGATGTCCACATAAGAAGAGGAAATTTGGACGAAACACACTGGGAGAACACCTCGTGCAGATGAAGCCAAGGAATACCAAAGATCGCCAGCGAAACACCAGCAGCGGGGGAGAGGCCTGGGGCAGATTCTCCCTCACGGCCCAAGAGGCACCAACCCTGCTGACACTGCCTCATACCTCCCACCTCTGGAACTGAGACAGAGGAAATGTCTGTCCTTTAAGTCCCCCAGTCTGTGGTCCTTTGTTAAGGCATTCCCAGGAGACCACCTCAAATGGGACTAAAGTGTGCCTGGGCAGGGACTTACCACTGGGGCTAGGCCTGCATGGCCTCAGGCTTGCTGAATCCAGCCTCACCTGCCCACACCAGCATCTTCCCAGGGGCGGGCTCTAGGGTACCGGACCAGATCACCTTAGGGTGCCTCCTTTCTTCATAGGGTGCCTCCTTTCTCCTGATATGTGTTGAACACCTCCACTGGTCCCAGCCCTGTGCTGGGAATTGCAGGTGCGAGGCCCATCCCTTCTCGGGGTCAGGGAGAGAGGGCTTTGTTTGGGCATGGGTGCTGGGCATGGCCTGGAGGAGAAGGGAGGACAGGCGCAGCTGTGACCAGAGGCTGACTGGAACCCCAGCAGCCCTAAGGGGGCCCAAGGCCGCTGAGCCCTGGCTTTCCCACCCACAGGGTGGAGGCAAGCCCTAGCGGGCACAGATTTTGTGCTTGGTGTCAGGAACAGGCCTGCAGGGGTGGACAAGAGACAAGTCCCTGAAAACACTTGGCCTGCTAGAGACCCCCAGGCGCAGTGCCCCCCATCCAGGGCATGTTCTTTCATCCTTTTGCTCTCCTTTTCAGAAGAAGTACTTACCATCAGTGCTAAGCTAAGCGTCTGCTGCTTTCAGAGCCCAGTGGGGTGGCTTGGTTCCCAGGCATGTTTTCCATATAAAACTGAAATTTCTTATCCATTTTCCCCCGAGCCTTTTAAAAGCTCAGCTACAACATCAAATGGCACACGTATAATTATTTCATACACAAAAGAGGTCCTACCAAAGCTGGGGTGACCCGCAGCCCGGCCTCCACTCCCTGGGCCAGTGCTTAACCAGCACTTGAGGTGATCCCTGGGTAGGGGCCGGGCCAGTCCAGGTGCAGAGCCAGAGGAGGGTGGTGAGGCCTGCAGGGGACATGCTTCCCTCAGCTCCCCTCTCTTCTGAGAGATGGGAAAGTGGGTTGGGGGAGGCTGGGGTCCAGGGAGGCAAGGCCCACACCATGGAGGGGCCATTGGAGGCAGCTAGGCCAGGCCAGGGTGCCCCTCACCCACCCACCCAGCTTGCGCTTCCAGGAAAACGTGGTTCAGAGCACCATCTTTCCACCCTTGGGTTCACTTGCCTGCTTACTGTTGGGCCAGCAACAGGTTCTGAGCACCTCTTGTGCCATGGGCTGGGCCAAAGTCACCCAGAGCTGATACCTCCCGCATGGCGCCACTGTGAGTGCCTCCAAGAACTCAGGCTGGCAGAGTGGGAAGCAGGCAGCTTGAGGAGCCGGAGGTGTGGGGGAAATGACTCTCGGGAGACTGCAGAGCTAGAGGGACACACGCCATACAGCTAAGGGGCCAGGGAACCTCCTCCAGGGTGTATGGGATGAATCATGTACCCCAGCATTTATATGCCGAAACCCTAACCCTGAGGGCGTCAGAAGGAAACTGTATTTGACAACAGTCTTTAAAGAAATAACTAAGTTTATGAGGTCTTTGGCATGGACCCTAATCTAATCTGACTGGTGTCTTTATAAGAAGAGGAAATTTAGTTTAGCCGGGCATGATGGCTCACACCTGTGGTCCCAGTGTCTCAGGAGGCTGAGGCAGGAGGATCACTTGAGCCCAGAAGCTGGAGTCTGCAGTGAGCCATGATTGGGCCACTGCACTCCAGCCTGGGTGACGAGACCCTGTCTCTAAAAGAAAAAAGAAAAAAAGAGGAAATTTGGACACAGATGTGCACAGAGAGACAGCCATGTGAGGACATAGGGAGAGGATGGCCAATTCTAAGCCAAGGAGAGAGGCTTCAGGAGAAACCAGCCCTGCCCACACCTCAGTCTCAGACCTCCAGTCTCCAGGACTGTGAGGCAATGACTTCCAATGTTGAAGACCCCCAGCCTGTGGTCCTTAGTCACAGCAGCCCAAGCTGATGACACGGACATCGGGAAGGTTGTCATATGCCTGGCGGAGGCCAGGGAAGGGACTGGCAGAAGCAGAGGAGTGAGTGTTAGCCTTACCCCCTCCCACCTCTGCAGGTACCCTTCATTTGCTGGGCAGACACAGGCAGGTTGCGGGAGGCTGGGGTCCATGGAGCCAAAGTCCACACCATGGAGGTGTGGCACCTCTTGATGCCAAATGAACCAATAATCCCCTAAGTAGTGATACCCTCTCCTCACTCTGGGCATGGTAACTATGCCTTTGAGCCCTTAGGAGCCAGCGACATGAATCAGGACCACCCTGGTCACTCTACCCTTGACAATTCATGGAGATCTCTAGGGAAAATGCATTTTTAATATTTGCAGATGTTTGTTTGTAGTATGTGGTTACAATTACCAAGTTGGATGCCTTCATCTAAACATGAGCCCCCAGAACCTCACACTGAAACGCAGTTTGCCTCCAATTTTTGCTCTGGGAGAGACATGCTCCTCTCGGGACAGGTCTGCATGCTCTTGAGAATGAACCCTGGCAGCTTCATGGTACACTAAGCTGCACTCCGGGGCTTGGGCAGAGCTTGGTGGTCCTCAGGCAGCCCCCTGGGAGGTGTGTTGGTGGGAGCCCCTCCCATGCACACACCTTCTTTGGTTCTGGGGTGCAGTAGCAAGATCAGGGGTCTAGTCTCACAGAAGAGAAATAATATGCACGTGACACACTGTCCACTGAGGCTTGGCAAGAGTGGTCCCTAGTCTCTGGGCCTACCCTGGCCCTGGAAGTAGGGAAGGTAGAAAGCAGTGACCCAGGGTGAGAGACACCAGATGTGACCTAGAGTAGCCGGGGTCTGGAGGAAGATAGAGGGCAAAGGGAAGGGACTGTGAGCTGTATTGCAGGAGGACAGGTCTCTGGCTGGCCTTGGCCAACCTAGCTCTTCCCCATCTGCTCATGGATCTTAAAATCACTGTGGAGTGTACTGAGGTTGCAACTGCCTGAGATAAGGAGGAGCTGCCCAGAACCGCCTGGGCAATGTTCTCGTCCCTCCTAGAACAGGATGTCCCAAATTGCTTGTGCTTAGTGATCCTAGTCACCCGTAGGGCATAAAACCCATTTGGGGTCTCTCAACTGTGGTGCGACTTGGGGCACACAATGATGAGACTCCATCTGCCCTGTGCAGCCTTCCTGAGCCTTAGAGGACTGGCTCACCATGAATTCTAGCAATAAATTCCATCTTTTCCAAATATCAGACACTCAACTAATAAATGTGAAAAATGTTAGAATGAAGCAGACTGTGTCTGTGGATGACTGTGCCCAAATTTGTCAAAATCAAGGCAGCCAGTCTGCTAGCCTCAAACCTTGATCATTGCAGCAATACCCTAAGCCTTAAATTAGGAAGCATTCTGCGGTTTACAAGGGACTCCCCCACATATTAGGACCTCTGACCAAAACAGTGGGCCATGTGGGGCTTTTGCAGCTATGGGGAAGGGAAGTCAACATGCCCAAAGCCCCACAGCTCTGCATAGCTGAGCCCAGGTCCCCTCCCAGCACAGAGCAGACTCTCAGAGAAGGTCCACCTGTCTCACGTCCTGTGACACAGTGGCAGGTGGGCAGCCAGATGGGCCACAGAGATGAGAAGTCATCCCCAACTCCGACACCGCAGGGCAGCCTCGGCCGCTCTCCCCGTACAGGTGCTCCCCCACTCTGTTCAGGGGCTCAGCTCTGGCCTGGCCCTGCATGCTCACTTTTTTTTTTTTTTTTTTTTTTTTTTTTGAGACGGAGTCTCGCTCTGTCGCCCAGGCCGGACTGTGGACTGCAGTGGCGCAATCTCGGCTCACTGCAAGCTCCGCCTCCCGGGTTCACGCCATTCTCCTGCCTCAGCCTCCCGAGTAGCTGGGACTACAGGCGCCCGCCACCGCGCCCGGCTAATTTTTTGTATTTTTAGTAGAGACGGGGTTTCACCTTGTTAGCCAGAATGGTCTCGATCTCCTGACCTCATGATCCACCCGCCTCGGCCTCCCAAAGTGCTGGGATTACAGGCGTGAGCCACCGCGCCCGGCCGCATGCTCACTTTTAATCCTGATTTGGGATGCTCCAAAATGCAGACCGCTAAGCCTGGGGGATGGAGCGAGAATAATCACGTTTGGGCTTAATGTGAAGTGAATTCTTTCCACTCTTTGGGGTCTGGAGATTTCTAATGGCACATTTAATGACATGAGCTCCCTCAGTCTGTTTTTGCAGAAAGTTTCGAGGCCATCCACTTTTAGAAGCATCCTGACCCCGACCCAGAGAAGAGCCCTCCTGCCGAGCTCTCCAGCCTGGGCTTTCTCTGGGTGCTGCTACCATGAGACTCTTCTCTTCCTTGGCCTCAAACCATCGAAGACATTTTGTTCCCTGACAAACCAATTTACACGTTTTTAAGGGGAAAACTACAGGGCAACATGAAGAGGGAGATGGCAGGAGAGACAGACACAGACAGGCAGAGAAAGAAAACAATAGATAGAGAAATATAGATAAATAGATATAGATAAATAAAAATAAATAAAAAACAATAGATAAAGAAAACAAGATAGAGAGAAAGATACAGATGGGAAGAGATTGAAGCACAGGTATCTGTTGGCAAAAATGATGCCCTTAGTGAAAATCAGTGGCTCCTGCTACTAGCCAGACATGCTGAATATGACCACTACACAGCCCGAGCCACCTCATCTGACCCATGGCAGTCGGAGCTGGTCCATTAGAGTTCTTTATCTGCGGTCCCCAGGTGGCCTCAATGTCTTTCCAACACAGAGCGGCAGGCAACCACGACTGTGTATTTGACAGGTAGCTCTCTCAGAGCAGTCATTTTATTCTTCCTGGTAAGTGTTCACATGCATGTCCTCCTGGCAGAAGGTGAGCTCCTTGCTGGCCGGAATTGTGTCTTTCTTTTCTTTCTTTCTTTCTTTCTCTCTTTTTCTTTTCTTTCTTTCTTTTTCTTTCTCTCTCTCTCTTTCTTCTTTGTTTGTTTCTTTCTTTCTCTCTCTCTCTCTTTCTCTCTCTCTCTGTCTCTCTCCTTCCTTCCTTCCTTCTTTCTTTCTTTCTTTCACGGAGTCTCGCTCTGTCACCCAGGCTGGAGTGCAGTGGCATGATCTCGACTCACTGCAAGCTCCACCTCCCGGGTTCATGCCATTCTCCTGCCTCAGCCTCCCGCGTAGCTGGGACTACAGGTGCCCGCCACCACGCCCGGCTAATTTTTTGTATTTTTAGTAGAGACGGGGTTTCATTGTGTTAGCCAGGATGGTCTCGATCTCCTGACCTCGTGATCCACTGGCCTCAGCCTCTCAAAGTGCTGGGATTACAGGCGTGAGCCACCGCCTGGCCCGGAATCAGGTCTTTCAAACTGAAACTGAGCTGGTAATTTCTGGAGCAGATGACATCGGTCATTAGGGCTTATTGTTTCTGAATCAACCCCTCCTGCCTCCACCCCAAGTTCAGCGCCTCTACCCACAGTTTCCTGGGGCTGAGAGGTGAAAAGTTCCCCAGGAAACCCTGCCTTTCTTTGTCAGTAATTCAGGGAAACAGAGGGCAGGGAGAAAGCTTCCAGGTGAGTTGGTGAAAAGGCCCCAGTGACCCCAGGGAGACTGGGATGGGGTTGGGGGAAGAGTCAGGTCGGGGAAGGGAGGGAAACTCCCAGCTCCATCCCAAGCTAGAGTGATATGGTTGGAGCCAACCTAGAGAGCAGCCAGATAGAAGCAGGTTGGTTCCAAGAAGAAAATGGAATGCATGTGTCACCAATTTGACAATATTCAGAGTTATGTTACAGGTCTGGAATAGAGTTTAGAGATAAGTTAATAATAAAAACAAAACTAATTAAATGAAGGAAAACTCAGCAAGTATCAACTTCAGGCAAAATTAAAAGGTGAAGGGAAACTATACAAACGCTATATGAACTATAAGTAAATTATTCCATAGTAAAGAGAACACCAAATATTAATTTACTCCAGAACTATGACATCACCCCATGAAGACTGCAGGAAAGGAAGTGTGGTTGGTGGGAGTGGTGAGGGCTACAATATCTATATATTTACCTTCCTTAATAAAAAGTCAATTATAAAGTCTACAATTGAAAAACTAAGAAATAATATTAAATGTATGTTATTTAGAATCTGGAGGTAAATACCAAAAAAACAGATAAGTGAATTGAAAATGATTATCTCAATGAACAGGAGATGAAGGGGGAAAAGGTAAGGCAGAGGTTAAGTTTTATTGTGGGTCGTATAACTGTTCAGCACATGTGTATCATTTTGCTAAACGTTAAAACTAGAATTGGCCGAGTGAGGTGGCTCGTACTGCAATCCCAGCACTTTGGGCAGCCAAGGCAGGAGGATCACTTGAGCCCAGGAGTTCGAGACTGGGCTGGGCAAAATAGAGAGAGCATGTCTTTAATTTTTAATTTGTATTTTTTCTAAAAATAAAATATACATAAAATAAACATTTTTAAAACTGGAATTAAAACATAGATTTACTATATATCCATCTATACTTTTCTCAACGTTCAAATAAACACACCATAGGTTAGAAGATAAATTGATTGACTGATAGATGTAATCTCTTTGTAAACATGTGTAATACGTTTTTATTATACATGTTCATGGGTGCAGTGGTTCACGCCTGTAATCCCAGCACTTTGGGAGGCTGAGGCGGGTGGATCACCTGAGGTCAGGAGTTCGAGACCAGCATGGTGAAACCCCGTCTCTACTAAAAATAGAAAAACCAGCCAGGTGTGGTGGCACACACCTGTAGTCCCATCTAGTCGGGAGGCTGAGGCAGGAGAATCACTTGAACCGGGAGGCGGAGGCTGTAGCGAGCTGAGATTGCGCCACTGCACTCCACCCTGGGCAACAGAGCGAGACTCCATCTCAAAAAAGAAAAAAGATATCAATACAGATAGATGTAACATCTATATATATATATATATATATATATGTTTTGTTTTACAAAAATATTACATCATACTATATACACTTTCTATACCTATCTGCATCTTGCTTCTCGGTTTCCATAAAAATATATTATGGAAATCCTTCCACGTCAACTGGCATAGAACCAACTGTTTTAAATGGTTATATATTATTCCATGGTGTGCATGCACCACAATTTATTCTACTATTTTTCCTTTGAAGGGCACTGACTTTGTTTCCAGTTTTGTGGGGATTTTTTTGCCACTATAAACAATCATTGAAAATACTGAGAGTAATGTTGTCAGTATGGCATACAGTTTACAGATAAGTTAACATCCTTGAAAGTATATTTTTACATATCACAGTTTTAATTTTTAAGGAATGAATTCCCAGGATAGGAATTGCTAGTAAGAGTATGTATACTTTAATAGCTATTGTGAGATTGATTTCTTAAAAATATTCCAGCAATGAATGAAAATATATATTTTGTCGGCCAGGCGTGGTGGCTTACGCCTGTAACCCCAGCATTTTGGGAGGCCGAGGCGGGCGGATCACAAGGCCAAGAGATCGAGACCATCCTGCCAACATGGTGAAACCCCGTCTCTACTAAAAATACAAAAATTAGCTGGGGTGGTGGTGCGTGGCTGTAGTCCCAGCTACTCGGGAGGCTGAGGCAGGAGAATCACTTGAACCTGGGAGGCAGAGGTTGCAGTGAGCCGAGATCGTGCCACTGTAACTCCAGCCTGGGCAACAGAGTGAGACTCCATCTCAAAAAAAAAAAAAAAAAAAAAGAAGAAGAAAAGAAAGAAAAGAAAAGAAAATATATTTTTTGTCAAGATCTCCTTTTATGTTCTTCAGTAAAATTTTATTGTTTTCTTCCTATAGACTTTACACACTTCTTTCTAGGCTTGTTACTAAGTGTTTTACTGTTTCTTTTGCAATATGATTGGAACTATTTTCTAATTGACTATGCTTGAGGACAGAAAACCTGTTATTTTATTCCTGTCGACCTAGTATCTGGCAATCTTACTGAATCCTCTTCTTAATTTGAATAGTTTGCTTGCTAGTTTTCCTGGCTTTTTATGGGCAGATATATATTTTTTTCTATTCCTTCTCAATGTTCATACTACTTCTCTCTTTTTCTTTCTTTCTTTCTTTTTTTTTTTTTTTTTTTTTTTTTTTTGAGATGGAGTTTCACTCTTGTTGCCGCCCAGGCTGGAGTGCAATGGCACAATCTTGACTCACCACAACCTCCGCCTCCCAGGTTCAAGCAATTCTCCTGCCTCAGCCTCCCGAGTAGCTGGGATTACAGGTATGTGCCACCACGCCCGGCTAATTTTGTATTTTTTAGTAGAGACGGGGTTTCTCCATGTTGGTTAGGCTGGTCTCAAACTCCTGACCTCAGGTGATCCGCCCACCTCAGCCTCCCAAAGTGCTGGGATTACAGGCGTAAGCCACTGCGCCTGGCCTCTTTTTCTTGTCTTACTATATTTCTGCATTGGTTAGAACCTCCAGGAAAATGTTGAATAAAACTATGGAGACAGCAGGCTTTATTCTGTCCTTGATCTTTATGAAACTGTTTCTAATATTTCACCAATTATCATGGATGCCTGCAGGATGCCTCTAGGAGGTATCTGCCATCAAGTTACAGAAGTTTCCTTGTATTCTTAGGTTGCTGAGAGTTTTTGTTTGTTTCTATTTTAATAAGGAATTGTTTCTAAATGTCAAATATTTTGGGGTTTTGTTTGTTTTTGGTTTAGACTTCTTTTTCTTGTGTGGTTTTTTTTTTGTTTTTTTTTTTTTTTTTTTTTGGCTCTACTGAGATGGACCATATGGTTTTGGCAGCTATTGAGATGATCACAGGGCATTTCTTCATTAATCTGTTAATATGCTTAATTACGTGAATGGATTTTCCAGTGTTGAGTCATCCTTGCATTCCTGAGAATAAGGTATGCCTGTTGCCTGTGCTGGTCATGTGGTCTTGTTCTTTTAGAACTGCACTAGATTCAACTTGTTCCCATATTCTTTTTTTTTTTTTCTTTTTCAGATGGAGTCTCACTTTGTCACCCAGGTTGGAGGGCAGTTGCATGATCTCTGCTCACTGCAACCTCTGCCTCCCAAGTTTAAGCAATTCTCCTGCCTCAGCCTCTGGAGCAGCTGGGATTACAGGCTGGTCTCGAGCTCCTGACCTCAAGTGATCCCCCTGCCTTGGCCTCCCAAAGTGCTGGGATTTCAGGGGTGAGCCACTGTGCCCGGCCGTTACTGTATTCTTTCTAAGTTTTGTGTCTGTTTTCACCAGTGAACTGGTCTAAGGTGACCTCTCCTGATCTGGCTTTGGTGTTAGGATTGTACTAGCTTCATAAGACAAGTTTGGAGCATTTCCATACTTTTGCAATGCTCTGAAACTCAAAGAAATGATAGAACTGGTGAGCCCAACAGATCCAGGACAGGTGCCAGGAGGCCCAGAGATAGGAGGCACAGGTTAGCCAAGTAACGTTACACACACATGCCATGGCCAGCATCTCAGTACTGCTGAGGACAAGAGAACGCTGTGCTGCCCAAGGAGCATGGCAGGGGAGAAGGGCAAAGGATGCCACGGCAGGGAGGCGGGCAAAGGCAGCATCTTAGAGGCAGGTGAGGATCTGAGTCAGTCCTGAGCTCTGAGGGGCTTTGAGCAGGAACATTACCTGACCAGATCTGCATTTTTTAAAGTTACCCTTTTTTGCATAGGTGTAGACAGCTGTCTGGGAGACCACAGTACAGAGGTGGCTAGGACATGGAGTCCCAGAGCATGAAGGCTTCCTGTCTTGCTGATGGGGTAGCCATCACTGAGACAGGAAACCTAGAGGAAGACCAGGGCAAGAAGTGGACCAGAGAGTGGTGGGGAAGTGCTGCATTTGAGGCGGGTTCTTCGATGGGGAGCCAGCTTGGAAGCCCAGTACGAGGTGCAGAGAGCCCCGGATGGGTGGTCAGGGCAGGAGGGTGCCCATGGTAACGGAGCTGACAGGGAGGGGGAGGTCACCCAGGGTCCAGTGAGAGGAAAGGAGGGCTTGCACAGAGCCTCAAGGAATGTAACAATTCCAGTTAGACGCAAGATGTCAGACCACGCAGGGTGCTGAGGATTTGCCTGAGGACAAGGAGGCAAACTGGGACGGCCTGAGGATGAGGCATCGGCTGCATCCAATCCTCTGCGAGGCCTCAGAAAATTAGGACTGGAAAAAGCCATTATGTTTAGCAACACAGAAGGCGTGGCCCCTCCCCCAAGCCCACCCCATCCACAGCCTTCTCCATGTCACCTCAGGTGACCCCATCTTTCGGGCAGTCCCGGCCCAAAGCCTTGCAGCTTCCTGATGTCTGTCCTCCTCACACATCCCACATCTGACCCTCCTGCACATCCTCTTGACTCCACCCTCCAACACTCTCAAGAGTCAGACCTCCACCCATCACTCCTCTGCCCCCACCCTGTTCCAGGTTGTCAAGGTTCCCACTGCAGCCCTGGACCCGCTGGCTAGTGCACCTTAAGAACCACGGTGGTCCCTTCAAACTGCACATCAGATCATAATCAGAAACGAACCCCAAGGTGCTTAGAATGGCTCCCAGGTCCTGCACTATTGCCTCTGCAGCTGCCCTCATCCCTGCATCCCCTCTCCCAGCCGCCTGTGCCTTCTTGGTCTTCCTTGAATATGTCAGCCAGGCTCCAGAGTCAAGGCCTTTGGCTGCTGCCTCTGCCTGGAAATCCTCCTCCCACATCCCTGCCCAGTGGGCTCCTTCACCAGCCACCTGCTCCCAGTCTCTGTTCAAAAGCCATCTTCTCAGAGACCTTTCCTTTTTCTTTTTTTTTTTTGAGACGGAGTCTCACTCTGTCACCCAGGCTGGAGTGCAGTGGCACGATCTCGGCTCACTGCAAGCTCCGCCTCCCGGGTTTACGCCATTCTCCTGCCTCAGCTTCCCGAGTAGCTGGGACTACAGGTGCCCGCCACCACGCCTGGCTAATTTTTTGTTTTTTAGTACAGACGGGGTTTCACCGTGTTAGCCAGGATGGTCCTCAGAGACCTTTCCTATTTAAAATTGCCACCGCCCCCAGCCCGGCCTTTCTCTCTGCTTTCTTTCCCTGCCTGGCTCTTACACCCTCTGGCATGCTATATAGTTTATTGCTCGAGGCATCTGCCTCCCCATGATAAGGTCAGTTCCAGGAAGGCAGGGACTCTCCCCTGCTGTTCCCAGATGTATCCCTAGCACTTGATGTATACAATATGTGGCCCATAGTACCAGCTCAAAATATATCAGTTGAATTCACTTCAGGGGTGTGAGAGATAGAGGGGAACAGAGGGCCGGCCCCGCACCATAAGAGATGTGTTGGTTGTAAGCCAGACCCCAAGAGGTGGAGGTCATGCCTCCACCCTCCAAACTTCCACAGCCGACAGGCCTCCCAGAGGAGGTGGTGGGTCCTGGCCTCACAGCTATGAGGGCTCCACAGCCTTCTATTATTTTATTTTCAGCTTGCTGGTCCTTAGATAAAAATCTATCTAAGACGATGGGAATACATGGCCTGTTCTCTCTGAGCTCCAGTCTGTTCCCTTGCATGTGGGAGGTGACATGCATGTGCCTGTAAGAGACAGAGGAGGGTCGGCAGCAAGGGTGGTACACTTCAGGCCAGGCTTGTGCTGCAAAGACCCATGACCCCATCTGCCTTTAAAAGGGGCAAGACAGGCACCCCTGAAATCAGAAATGACACAGAGAGCCCCACACACAGAGCAGCACAGAACAGACGGGCCACCGGCCACAGGATCTTCAGAAGAAGGCTTGCTGTGTCGCTGCCAGATTAACGGGGCGAAAATGCGCACTGGCAGCTCCAAGGAGAGAGCTGAGACCCACAGCCTGGGCCTGGATGCAAATTCTTCTCTGAGACTCAGGCGGTTGGCCAGGTGGGCACCGGGCCTCTGGGATCTGGATGCCACCCTCCAAGGGGCCTCAGATGCCAGCAGCAAGGGGCTGTCTGCCCTCGCAATGCGCCTTTCCAGACGCCCAAATCCTTCCCATTTGACCACCCTTTGCAGCCACCACTTTCTCAAAGTAGATTTACTTTCAATCTCCATTTGCTAAATCTCTTCCCTCTAAACCTTTTGGGGATGGAGGGATTAAGCCTGATTACAGATGTTGGGGGTGGTAGCAGGAGTCGGGCAGGAGGGGCCACCAAAAGCCAGCACATGCTCCTCCTAGGCTGAACCAGCCTCCGGCCGGCCTCGCCCCAGGATCTCGGCCCCCTCGCCCAGTGCGTGGGGCTGCCGCCGAGTGTGGGGCTGCCGCCGAGTGTGTGGCTCCGCTCCTGCCCACCCAGGGAGGGCAGCCCCTGTGCCACTGGCCTGGCCACCCGAGGGAGTCAGCAGGGTGGCTCACAGGCTCACTGAGAGAGATGAGCTCCTTCAAGCGGGGCTCGCTCAAGAGCTCCACATCAGGGTCGCAGAAGGTGAGTGAGCTTTGCCAGTGGCCTGCGGGCAGCTGGGCGGAAGGGCAGAGGGGCACTGGTCTCCAGCTCTGTCATCTCAGAGTGCTGGCCCAGCGGGTCCTGTCCTCCCAAACTGTGCTGGGTGGGCATGGGGCATGGGGTGTTCAGAGCTCTCACGTCAGGGTCCCTTCTCAGAAGGTGCCCTATGTTTCCTGCCATGGTGTCCAACGCCTGTGGTCTCAGTTGCTCCCACCTTCGAGTGGCTGTGGCAAACCCGGGAGGCGTCTGAGTGGCACAAATCCTTTCACCATTCCAGAGTCAGCAGTTGCGGAGTTTTGCATCTCTTGCTTTCCCCACGAGGGTGGTGCCCCTTAGTTCTCTCTGCTGGACTCAAGCTCACCCTCTGTTCTGCATCAGATGTTTGTGTGGGCCATGGGGACCCAGGGATGACTCAGGCTTGGGCCTCGCCCTTAGGGGATGGGGTCTGGCAGAGGAAAGCAGGCAGCAGCATCTAACAGGAGGGAGGGCCAGAGGGGCCCTAAGTGAGAACCTGGGAGGGCAAGAGGCTCCCAGGACTAGGCACCAGCTGTGGGGAACGGCCTCTCCCAGGAACCCCAGACAGGACCTCCCACAGCACATGCTGATTTGAATCTTAGGTGTGCTTTTCCTAGGTGACTCTGAGCCAGCCTGGGAACTGAGCACCCAGGGCTGCCTTAAAGGACCACTTGAGCCCAAGGAGACTGGGCAGGCCACCACCTCATCCTAACTCCCTGACTGCCCCTCGCATGCAGTGGGAGGCAAGCCCAGACCACACCGGAAGCCTCTGGACACCACTTGCATGCCCTGAGGGCTCAGTGGGGATCTCTGCTTCTTCCAGGGGGCTGCCCATTGTGCACAGAAGGGTGGGGGGAGGCAGCAAGGGAGCTGGCAGAGCGGCAGTAGGTGCAGCCCTTGTGTGGGCTGGGGAGGATACAGCCCCCCAGCTGGCACTTACTGAGCACCCACGACATGCCCACCAGTACCCCAGAGCTGGGAACGGAGCCGCTGAAGCAGTGTGAGCCAGGTGACCACACTCAGAGAGGTTATTTATCTGGGCTAAAAACAGAGCCCTAGGCGGGAACTGCTTCCCATCCATACCCAGCTCACCAGGCTGCAGTCTCCCCGTCCATAAAATGGGGCAGAAGCAGATGTTGAACCAGGTGTTTGCAAGTCTCTGACATCTCATGAACCTGAAAATGCAAATAGAAAAAATAAAAGGCTCTTTAAAAAATAATAACAATAAAGAGTTAAAGCTCGCCTCCATTCCAAAATGGGAAAGATCCATCCTTGGGGCTCAGTGGGGGACAGGCGCATATATCTGCTTTTGTGCGCATGTGTGAGAGTCAGCATTATTTTTAGAGACAGCACATACCCATGTTCTTGTGTAAGTTCACATTCGCAAATGCACTGCTGCATTTGGCAGAAACAAGAGACATGCCACTGGCCGTGCAGCCCGGGCCAGGTGGCTCCACGTGACCTCCTCCTCCCCAGCACAAAGCTGGCCCACACTGTTCTTGCTGATAAGCTCTGAAAAGGAACAGGCTTTTGTTGTTCTTGAATTTGATGTCACCTGTTCACCTGTGCCCAGTGTATTGCTGTATGTTTGGTGCCTTGAAATTGCAATGGGTAGGGTCTGGGAGCAGGGAATTCAGCAAAAGGGGAGGAGGGGAGAATCACTTCGATTTTGGTCCAGACTGAAAAACAGCACCTCCTTTATACCCGCACACGCACAGCCATTCCTACAGGACCTCACACTGCATTACTTCAAGCCCAAGGACGAAGGTGACCTCCTCCCCCTATCTGAGGTGATCCCATGCTGTGGTGGGGTCAAAGGTGTTTGAACCAGAGCGACTCCATTTGAGTGAGGGCTGGGGAAATGGGGCTGGGACTTGCTGGGCTGCATTCTCAGAAAGTTAGGCATTCCTCGTCTCTAGATGTTTACAGTTATGGCAACAAATTAATAATGTTTACTAAACAGACCCAGACTTGGGAGTGTCCAGATATCTGGATATCTGGAGAACAAAGGGATTCCTAATTTTGCTTTAAAGATGATAATATTGATTCCTGCAAAATATAATAATTAAGAAAATAAATCCTTTATCACAAACCCTTGTAGCAGAACACATCTCTCCGTATATATGAGTATCACACCTAGGGTGGACGTGTTCCTCCTCTTACTTTTGGGAACGTCCTACTCTGTCTATGGAGTAGCTGTTCTGCTGTTCTTTCACTACTTTACTCTTTTTTTTTTTTTTTTTTTTGAGATGGAGTCTCACTCTGTCGCCCAGGCTGGAGTGCAGTGGCGCGATCTCAGTTCACTGCAACCTCCACCTCCCGGGTTCAAGCGATTCTCCTGCCTCAGCCTCCCAAGTAGTTGGGACTACAGGCACCTGCCACCACACCCGGATAATTTTTTGTATTTTTAGTAGAGACAGCATTTCACTGTGTTAGCCAGGATGGTCTCAATCTCCTGACCTCGTGATCTGCCCGCTCCGGCCTCCTAAAGTGCTGGGATTACAGGCGTGAGCCACCGAGCCCAGCCTACTTTACTCTCTTAATAAACTTGCTTTTACTTTGCACTGTGGACTCACCCTGAAATCTTTCTTGCACGAGATCCAAGCACCCTTTCTTGGGGTCTGGATCTGGACCCCTGTCCTGTAACAGTGGTGCATGCCAAACTCCTACAAAAACTTGTAGGAGTTAAGAACCTTGATGGCACAGTTTGCCCTAAGGCCTATTTATAAAAGCCCTCACTTAAGAAGTAAAATTATTGGTGGAAGAATGAAAGACAATACCTCTGGCTTTAAGGAAGCCATTCTTAAAGAAGTACTAGGAAACAGCCGTGAAATCACATGAGCATACAGTGGGCTGTTTTCATTCTATCTCGTTGCACACTAGGCCCTTCATTGACGCAGCAGCTCAGTGTCGGTTCCCGGTTTCCTAATCGAAAGCAGCACCCCTCTGCACCGTGTTTGTTGAAACACACCAGCTGCCCTGTGGGAAAAACAAACACAAACTGCACTATGTACGAGTCTTCCAGGGTCATCTCGCCTGGCCCTCTATTTGTACAAGGCAGATCTGACCCTTTGTCCTTGGCTGGCCAGCTCTTCCCAGCTCTGAAGCTCTTCCCTTGGTCTTAGACCAACTGGGGTGCACAGCGTGGAATCCTGAGGCAGTGAGCAAATCCCTGGGGACACTGGGGACCCTTGAGCTCCATCCCTCAGCAGCCTGCTGCTTGGAGGCCCCACTGGCCAAAACAGTCCCTCTTCCAGGAAAGACCTCCAAGTACTCATGCAGGAGAAGAAAAATGAGATTCTGCCTTGCACTTTTATCCCTGTCTACATTTTTTTTGTTGTTGCTAAAAGACACATAAAGTCAAGAGTCAAAGTTCAAGATCCTAAATACGATTAATAATAGGATAGCCCAGCAATTGTACCCATCTGCCTTAGACAAATTCTAGCATATGTGTACAAGGAAATGTGCAAAAATGCTCACATTCACATTCATGCTGTAGAAGACCAGAAACAACAAACAGTTCATTCAAAACAGTATAGGTAAGCTTTTGTTTATTCACATAATGAAATACTACACAGCACTTAAAACAAATGAACCAAGCCACCTGTATCAACATGGATAAACCTCAGAACATACTGCTGGATTAAAAAATAAGCCACTAGCCAGGCGTGGTGGCTCACACTTGTAATCCCAGCACTTTGGGAGGCCAAAGCGGGCAGATTGCTTGAGTCCAGGAGTTTGAGACGAGTCTGGGCAACATGGTGAAGCCCCATCTCTATGAAAAATACAAAAAATTAACCAGGTGTGGTGGAGTGCACCTGTAGTCCCAGGTATTAGGAGGCTGAGGTGGGAGGACTACTTGAGCCCAAGGAGGTCAAGGATGCAGCGAGCTGCACTCTAGCCTGGGCAACAGAGTGAGACCCTATCTCAAAAAAAAAAAAAATAAATGTAAGTACACTATTTATAGAAAAATCTAAAACAAGGGAAATCCAAAATAAATACATACATCTCTTCAAAGTGGAGATGGTTAGCTGTATCTATAATGTTGACAAAAATAGTCAAACTCTGTGAAACATTTAAAGACATTTATTCTGAGCCAAATATGAATGATCATGGCCCAAGGCACAGTCTCAAGAGGTCCCGAGAACATGCGCCCAGGCACTGGGTTAGAGCTTGGCTTTATACATTATAGGGAGACGTAAAAGATCAGTCAATACATGTGAGGTATACACTGGTTCGGCCTGGAAATGGGGACATATTGTGGGGAGGGTGGCCCACAGGTCACATAGGTGGATACAAAGGTTTTCTGGTTGGCAATTGGTTGAAAGAGTTATTATCAAAAACCTGGAATCAATAGAAAGAAGTGTCTGGGTTAAGATAAGGAGTTGTGAAGTTCAAAGTTCTTATTATGTAGATGATGTCTCTTAGGTGGCCACCCTTAGAGACAATAGATGGCAAATGTTTCCTGTTCAGGTCTTTAAAAGGTGCTAGACTCTCAGCTAATCTCTTCAGCAGTGGGAGGGCCTAGAAGGGGAAAGCTCTATTATGTTAATAGAACTCTTTACAGCTGCAAATTTTCCCCCACAAAAGATGGCGGGCCATTTCAAAATATGGCAAAGAAACATATTCTGGGGTAAAATATTTTGATTTCCTTTTTTTTTTTTTTTTTTTTTTTTTTTTGACAGAGGTCTCGCTCTGTCACCCAGCCTGGAGTGCAGTGGTACAATCTCGACTCACTACAACCTCCGCCTCCCAGGTTCAACTGATTCTTGTGCCTCAGCCTCCAGAGTAGCTGGGATTACAGGTGCCCACCACCATGCCTGGCTAATTTTTGTATTTTTAGTAGAGACGGGGTTTCACCATGTTGGCCAGGCTGGTCTTCAACTCCTGATCTCAAGTGATCCACCTGCCTTGGCCTCCCAAAGCGCTGGGATTACAGGTGTGAGCCACTGCACCTGGCCGATTTCCTTCTTTATCTGTCATGTGATGTTATGCCATAGTCAGGTTGGAAAGTAAGTCACATTATATACAGTTAAATGAAACCCAACTGATGAGATTTTATGGTCTGTAAGGCATGACTCCCCAGTCCCTTAGATAGGAATTTGGGCAAGAGAGAAAAAAGGTCAGAGTTTAGTCCTCAGTAATGTTCATTCTCTCTCTCTCTCCCCCTCCCTTTCTCCCTTCTTCCTTCCCTCCTTTTAAGAGAGAAAAATATATATAAGTACACATGTAAAGTCACAACATCTGTAAAACAGAATTGTGGGTCTTCACTTGTCTGTTATATCAGTCTTGTCTATGATTTTGAAATTTAATTTTGAATTAAATGTTTTCACAATTTAAACATGTTTTGATACTTCGCAAGCGAGCCACAGGAAGAGTGAGGGTGAAGCTGAGGAGCACAGCCTCAACGGTTTGTGCCTGCCTAAGGCACAAACAGGTGATAGAGTGGAGCTAAGAAGAACTTCTGCAAACTCCCCTTGGTTATCTGAGCTTCCTTGTCTAACCATGTGTGGTTGGAGCTGCAGGCAGGAGCCTCCTTCACCAAGCTCCCCCACTGCAGTCTCCCACTCTTCAGAGCAACTGAGTAGCAGGCACGCCCCCGGCTCAGGGGACAGCAGCTCTCACCTCTCCCTGGGCCCGAAGCACTAGGACCACGCTTGGCTCCCTTTGAGGCTACAGCACCTCCATTTCCCAGAGAGTGTTGCTGGAACCCAGGGAAGTTTCATGTACGCTCACATAGGCTGTGTTTGGAATCTGCTTGGATGCAGAATTCCACATGGAAATTTGTAACCACCCAAGGGGTTCACCTTGCCTGCTGCTTAAACAGAGCCAATTCATGGAGACAGGGGAATTGCAAAGAGAAAGAATAATTCACACGGATTATTACTCAAATCAATCTCCCTGAGCATTCGGGGAGCAGAGCTTTTATGGATAACTTGGTGGGTGGGGGGAAGCCAGTGAGCCAGGAGTACTGATTGGTCAAGGATGAAATCACAGGGAGTCAGACCTGTCATCCTGTTTTCAGTCAGTTCCTGGGTGGGGGTCACAAGATCAGATGAGCCAGTGTATTGATCTGGGTGGTACCAGCAGATCCATCAAGTGCAGGTTCTGCAAAATATCTCAAGCACTGCTCTTAGGAGCAGTTTAGGGAGGGTCAGAATCTTGTAGCCTCCAGCTGCCTGACTCCTAAACCGTAATTTCTAATCTTGTGGCTAATGTTAGTCCTACAAAGGCAGTCTAGTCCCCCGGCAAGAAGGAGGTCGGCTTTGGGAAAGGGCTGTTATAGTCTTTGTTTAAACTATAAATTATAAACTAAGTTTATCCGAAAGTTAGTTCAGCCTGCGCCCAGGAATGATCAAGGACAGCTTAGAGGTTAGAAGCAAGATGGAGTTGATTAAGTTAGATCTCTTTCACTGTCTTAGTCATAATTTTGCAAAGGCAGTTTCAGATTCAAAACAATTCCTGTCTCACAGAAGGAGGAGACCCAGAAAACCTCCTCTGTTCCCCAGTCCTCATCAGAGGCCTTGAATGTAACACACCCCATGCCACCCTCACCCATCTCTCTATGGCTTCACATCATACAAAGAATAAAACCCAAAATCTGTCTGTGACAAAGGGCTCATTGCTGTCTTGCTAAATTTTTCAATCCATTGAAGACCTGTACTTTCATACAAGGCAATAAAAATGAATTGCCAAAAAATGAAATTTTAAAATGACATGCAAAATCCAAGCCCTAAGTTTTCTTTAATTGTTAAATTCCGTAGACAGACATTGATTCTTTCAAACTGCTAAAATTAGGTCTAAATGTAGGCTGTCGTTTCTGAACCCTCTGGGTATGGCCAGTAGCCAACAGTTTGCAGCCCATGCTTGGAACACACTTTGAGTACTGGGGTCCAAGAGACTCCACACATCCCATTCAATCCTCTCCCCAGTCCTGGGAAGCAGGACTCTGGTCCTCTCTCCAGCTGAGAAAGAATCTCAACGGTGGAAGCCTTGTCCAAGGGACCTTGTGAACCAAAAAGTATCTGAGACAAGTCTCAATCAGTTTGAGACTTGTCGATGTTTTCAATAACATGCCCGTGACACAGGCTCAGGAGCTCCTGACAACATGTGGCTCACACTGTTGTTGGCTCAGCCTGGAAAAGCAGAAAATCTTGAAGGGCGGGGAGGGGAGGCTTCCAGATGATAAGTGGATTCACAGATTTTCTGACTGGCGATTGGTTGAAAGAGTTCATCTAAAGACCTGGAATCTGGCCAGACACGGTGGCTCACACCTGTAGTCCCAGAACTTTGGGAGGCTGAGGTGGGTGGATTGCCTGAGGTTAGGATTTCGAGACAGCCTGGCCAACATGGTGAAACCCTGTCTCTACTAAAAATGCAAAAATTAGCTAGGCATGGTGGCAGGTTCCTGTAATCCCCACTACTCAAGAGGGTGAGACAAGAGAATTGCTTGAACCTGGGAGGCGGAGGTTGCAGTGAGCCAAGATCACACCACTGTACTACAGCCTAGGCGGCAAAGTGAGACTCCATCTAAAAAATAAAGACCTGAAATCCATAGAAAGGAGTGTCTGGGTTAAAATAAGAGTTGGGAGACCAAGGTTCTTATTATGCAGATGAAGCCTCCAGGTGGACAGCTTCAGAGAGAATAGATTGTAAATGTTTCTTATCAGACATAAAAAGGTGCCAGACTCTTAGTTAATTCTTTCCTGTATCAGGGAAAAGACCTGGAAAGGGAAAGGGATTCTCTACAGAATGTAGATTTTCCCCACAACAGACAGCTGTAAAGGACCATTCCAAAATATGTCAAAGAAATATATTTTAGGGTAAAATACTTTGAGTTCTTTCAGGGCCTGCTATCTGTCATGATGCTATACTAGAGTCAGCCTGGAATTTAGTGTCTTATTGCTACAAAGGCCTTGAGATCTCTGTTTTAGGCTGGGTGCAGTGGCTCATGCCTGTAATCCCAACACTTTAGGAGGCTGAGGCAAGAGGATCACTTGAGCCTAGGAGTTCAAGACCAGCCTGGGCAACATAGTGAGACCCTGTCTCTACAAGAAAATTTTAAAATTACCAGATGTGGTGGTGTGTGCCTGTGGTCCCAGCTACTTGGGAGGCTGAGGTGGGAGGATCACTTAATCTTGGTAGGTCAAGGCTGCAGCGAGCCATGATCGCACCACAACACTGTAGTCTGGGTAACAGAGCCAGACCCTGTCTCACACACACGTAGTCTCTGTTTTAATGTCAATGCTGGTCAGTTGTGCCTAAATTCCAAAAGAAGGAGGGTATGCTGAGGCATGTCCAAATCCCCTGCTTCCCGTCATGGCCTGAACTAGTTTTTCAGGTTAACTTTGGAATGTCCTTGGCTGAAAGGAGGGGTCCATTCAGATGGTTGGGGGTGCTTAGAATTTTGTTTTTAGTTCACAGCCTCAGTCAGGGGTCCACTTTGTCCAAGGCCCTGCAGTGGGCCACTTCCACAGGAGCATCTTCCAGGGCAGCAGTGCCCAGGGCTGCTGAAGACACCTTTTGAACCCAGTCCTGGGAGAACTCCTGAAGCGGAGACATGCCTGATTCACCAGCCTCCAAGCTGGGCAGGTGGTCCCACATCTGTGCCCATAGAGGGTTGGGGGGCACTTCAGACCCAGGCACTAATCCATGCCCATGCCTGAGCAGAGTTCTGCAGGCAACTGCCCTTGAGGGATGGGGCCCAGGGCCTGAGTGATGGGTTCAAGGACCCTTGAGTTGGGGTAGGGTGTGCTATAGAGGACCCCAAGCTTGAGAGCAGGCCAGCTGGCCAGTAAGTACTCCATTCAGCCATGTGACAGCAGGTCTTCCTAGGGACAACATGTCCAGCCCCCTCTCTAGAGCTTGCTGGAGTCACCGCCACCTACCAGGGAGGTCCAAGTCCAGTACCTCGTTCTCTTGGATTCCTTGTTCTTCTGTATCCTCTACTTTTAGTGGGATGGCAAAAAGGGCACTTGCCTGGTTCCTGCACACTGAGGGGCAAAGGCCTCAGCCAAGGCCAGGAGGTGGGAGGACAGGGAATGGGCCAGGACCAGGGTCATTTGCCAAATGGACATTGATCCCTGGAGAGCCAGAGAAGACAGTGTGAGGGAGATGTGAGGTCAGAGGTGAGGGAGACAGTCCCAGCAGGGCTGGAGGAGGATGTGGGACAGGGAGGGAACCAGTGATGTCTAAGAAGGTGTACGGAGTTTATGGTACACTGGGTCCAGCCAGGGCCAAGAAGCACCACTGGGCTGGATGGGGCTGGCAGCTGCCCCACACCAAACCCTGGCCAGAGCACCCCATGCCCACTGAATTGCCAGCACAGCCTGGAGACCTTCTGTAGGGTAGCTGCTCAGCAAGGGGGCCTGTGCCAAGGAGCTGTGTGGCCCTGGGCAGGCCACCCTCCAGGCTATGAGAGACAAGGGGATACCCTTGGCAGGAGTGGGTGCTGGGCAGAAGGCAGCCCTGTGAACTCCAGGGAGGACTCTGGCCAGGAGGGTATAAAACACTTGGCCGCTTTGTTTAGTTGGCCTGAGAGTGAGGGAGAGGGGTCTTAGACTTGAGTAAAAATCTCCGACCAGTTGGGAGTGACGGTAAACAACTGAGGTATTACCCTGCTTCAACCCTCACCAGAGTGTTAGAGTCTTGCCAATGCACCACAATGTCGCAGTCTCTCATTGTGAGGTATCGCCTGGAGTTTTTTGTCTCAGGATCAACAGGATTAAGGAGCCTGACATAAAGGGTGAGGTTGGAGGGAAAGTTTAACAAGCAAAAGAAGAAAGCTCTCAGCCACAGAGAGGGGGCCGAATGGGTTGCTGTTTTTGCAGTTGAATGCAAACGCTTTTACAAGAAACCAATGTGGGCTGGGCATCTTATTTGCATAGGGTGTGAATTTCGGGTAGCTTCACCCTGTCCTCCTAATGCGCATGTGGACTCTTGGCTTGAGATACTCCATATTGCTTTGTTCCCCTTACTGCGCATGTGTCAGGGGATGAAATTTTCCATGGCAGGCATGTCTGGGCAAGTCACCTGTGTAGACTTTCTTACCTGTGTAGCTGTGGGCATGTCTTAGGCAACTCCCCTGTGCAAGTTCCCATATCTGTGCCTGCTGGCTGTTCTTTTGTTCGAAAGTATTCAACCGCCAAGTGCAGTGGCTCATGCCTATAATCCCAGCACTTTGGGAGGCTGAGGCGGGTGGATCACGAGGTCAGGAGTTTGAGACCAGCCCGGCCAACATGGTGAAACCCCATCTCTGCTAAAAATACAAAAATTTTCTGGGCGTGGTGCGCATGCCTATAATCCCACCTACTTGGGAGGCTGAAGCCGAAGAATCACTTGAATCCGGGAGGCAGAGATTGCAGTGAGCTGAGATCGCACTACTGCACGCCAGCCTGGGTGACAGAGCAAGACTCCATCTCAAAAAAAAAAAAAAAAAAAAGGAAAAGAAAAAATTCAACTGAGGAGCCACCCTAACTGCCTGCCTGACCAGTTTCTTCTTTTCTCCTCTTAAGGGGTCCCTCTATAGCCTAACACCAAATGCACCTGGGAACGCCAGCCTGAGGGCATGCCCAGCTCCAAACCAAAGGGATCACAGAGTCCTCCGTTAGAGATCCACAATGCACATCAGCAAACTAAAGGCTCTGATAAGTCCTGCAGGAAAGAAACCTCCTTTTAACCCAGAGTCACCTATAGAAGAAACCCTTTCCATGCAAAATACATCACCATTTCAGGAGCCCAGGCTAGGCTGAGGACACTTAAGAACACTTAGGGCTGCGGGCAACACAAGATTAGGAGTTAGCTCCTAAGGATGAAATGGAGAATGGGCTTTACCCCTTACTTCCTGCACAGCTAGAGGATGGGCTCCTCCTTCTGCCGCCCAGGCCTGGGGATGCAGCAAGCACAGGATATTTAAGAAAGAAAGACAGAAAAGAAAAGAATTTGCTGCCCAAAGTCACTACCAAATCGTCAATGCTCGCCAACAGAATATCTTCAAGTTTCAGAATTGAAGAAATTGGCAGAATGTCAAGATGGAAGAGGGATTTTAAAGATGCACGGCCTGGCGCCGTGGCTCACGCCTGTAATCCCAGCACTTTGGGAGGCCAAGGCGGGCGGATCACAAGGTCAGGAGATCGAGACCATCCTGGCTAACACGGTGAAACCCCGTCTCTACTAAAAATACAAAAAATTAGCCAGGCGCGGTGGCGGGTGCTTGTAGTCCCAGCTACTCGGGAGGCTGAGGCAGGAGAATGGTGTGAACCTGGGAGGCGGAGCTTGCAGTGAGCCAAGATCGCGCCACTGCAGTCCAGCCTGGGCGAAAGACTCCGTCTCAAAAAAAAAAAAAAAAAAAAAGAGAGAGAGATGCACATGACGAGCTATAGCAGCCATGCACCCCAAGGACCCAGGCAGCTCCCAGTTTATCCTCAAAGGCTCAGGGGGCCAGCCTTTGGTTCCTATGCATGCTGCATTAAACAGAGCCCTTTGTAGTTGCTGAAATACTTGAAAAACTTGGTTTCTTAAGCACGGCCAGAGAACACACACACCCGCCCCCCTCAGCTAAGCCAGGATGTTGTTTTCTTGCAGCAGTAGCTACCGGTGGCTCCTCAGAGACCAGGGTAAACTCTCAGGGGTCCTGAAAGCCACCTTCTCCTGCCTGCCCCCACCCTAAAGCCAATAGAGTCTCCCTCTGGCCATTCACGGATTTTGCTTCTTGCCTGGCCTCCCCAGCCCTCAGTTCCCTTCCACGTAGATCTGGGACATTGGCTATTAGGCTACTTGAGTGTTTTCCACTTTAGAAAGGTTGGTCACGGCATCTCACATGAACCAGCCACTCTCAGACCTGCGAGGTCACTCTTCCACTCTTCCACTGCAGCTTGGAGGGACACGGGTGGGTTGCACTCTTGCCGTGTGTGCTGTGCAGGGCATCTGCAGGTTGCCCAGGACTGCGGGGAGGGGAGGAGGAGACCTGGTGCCCACCCTGGCTGCCTGGCTCCCAGCATGCCTAGGGAACCATCAGACCACCCAGCTGTCTAACAGACGGCAGAACTGAGGCTACCCTGGGGTGGTGTCTGTGTGCTGGCAAAAATCAGCCAGCCACCTCCTTCTCCCCACAGGTTTCTGTGCAGATTACACACATTTGCTAGGGGGTAAGGTGACTAGCATCCCTTACAGCACCAAGGCCAGGAGAGTTCTTATCTGCACAGATGACAGGCTGCTGAAATAGACAGGTGCATGCCACTCACTAGCTGCTTTTCTGTCTCTTCATTCTTCGTGGTGAGGCATGGGAGTTTTTGATGAAGAGTTTACCTTTCCTCCTTTCACGGAACAAAGCCACTCCTCCACTGAGGGAGGCCTTGAAGCTCCATTGAAATTCACATCATCACAGAGGAGAATTCTTTGCTAGTGCATAATGTTGACAGTTGGACTTTGATTTACATAATCAGGATGGAGCGTTCTCTCCTACACAACGCAGGGTGCAGCTGCGCCCGAGCCAGGCCACCAGAAGGCTCCCAGCCCCCAACCCCCTTTGGAGCTGGAGGGTGTGAGCGCAACCTCATTGCACACCCCCAGCTCATTAACACATTTCCCAAGATCAAGGAGCCGGGTCCTGCTGTCCTCGCACCTACCATTCAGATCCATTTCATTTGAGAATCTTTGACTCAGAAAAGTTGTCTCTTGGTTTTGTCCCTTTGTTAGACCCTTGGGGTCAGCCTGGACTGCCCCATTCCCCACAAGGACACATTGTTATGGAAATCTTGGGGAAGGCTGAGAACACAGTAGACAAACTGCACAATCTCTGTGCCTCCCTGTTGTCCCTCCTTGACCTCTCTCTTCGCAGCCTCTGCTGACATTTTTTGTTTTGTTTTTTTGTTTGTTTTGTTTTGTATTTTAATTGGTCCCAGCAATGCCACAGGCACACCAGCCCCAGGCGAGATTTCAGTACTCAGCAGATCAGAAGCCGTAAACCGAAGCCACCATGATTGGCAGGCTGTTCGGCAGCCGCCCACCTCCCTGGGGACCTGGACCCCTGGCCCCCTTTAAAGCAGCTCCATCCCCAGGGTTATCTCAGCTACTAAGAAAAGTTATAGGTTTTTTTCCACATCAGTCTATTTGTGTCCTTGGAAATGCTCCCCCAAATGAACACAGGTAAATGTCTAGAGAAGACGCAAGTTACCCCGAGTGGTACCATCCAGCTGCACTTTGCCATACACAGGCCTCGCTCGCACCTCGATTCCCCGCCTGGGGACTGCAGGAGCAGCTAATCTGAGAGCAATCAGGAGTGATGAACAAGAGCCACTGGGAATCCTTAGTCCAAACCCCAGTTCAGATGTGTAGCCACAGGACAGCTGCTCCACCTCTCTGGGCCTGAGTTTCCATATCTGTGAAGTGTGATGACGTTGCACTTGCCTCTTCACTAGAAAATTCTTTGCTTTCTACATATTTCATGCCATTAAAGAAATACCCTTGTAAAAAGTCACAGATTTAATTTAATTTTAGAACCCCGACTGAAAAGTGAGCACAATCTTATTATCAGCTAGTAAAATGTTTATGGAAATTCAGAACGGTTCTTTGTTATTTTTCTCTGCAAGCCCACTGAGGTGCTTTAATAAAGATAAACGTGTGCGCATAGCACAGTTGTGTGCCAGGCAGTGTTCTTGGAGCTGGGGATCCAGTGATGACTGTGAAAAGACCAAATGACAACGAATCTAGTTTAAAGGCCTCAACTGGCTTTATTTGCAATTCTAGAATCAGGCAATACTTTATTCCATAAAAAAAGATAAGTTAATTCCAATGAGCTGAGCAAAGGAGATTGGCTTCATAGGCAGAAAAAGGGCTGAAGAAAACAGAAACAAGGAACAAACATTGAATTGGTCATTTTTTTTTTTTTTGAGACAGAATTTCGCTTTTGTTACCCAGCTGGAGTGCAATAACATGATCTCAGCTCACTGCAACCTCTGCCTCCTGGGTTCAAGCGATTCTCCTGCCTCAGTCTCCCAAGTAGCTGGGATTACAGGCATGTGCTACCACGCCCAGCTAATTTTTTGTATTTTTAGTAGAGATGGGGTTTCTGCATGTTGGTCAGGCTGGTCTCGAACTCCTGACCTCAGGTGATTAGCCTGCCTCTGCCTCCCAAAGTGCTGGGAATACAGGCGTGAGCCACCGCACCCGGCCTTGAATTGGTCATTTCAAAGTTACTTTCCTTGTAATGCAGGGACCGGGAGACTAAAAAATAGAAAACTCATGGATTGGTTAATATCAGGTTATTTCAAGTTAAGGATTAAAGCAAGGGGAACTTCATTATCATGCTGACTGAAGACTGAAATTGGCGTGTTTGGTAAATTAGGCTGTTATCTCTCTTTCCTGATTTCCCAGAAGGCCAGGTAACAACTTAGTTTCCATTTGGTGATGTGGAACTTTAACATGGGTGACTCCATTTTGATTTCTAGTCTGGTCTGTTGGGGCCTAGAGCAGGAACTTAGTCCAAGAGCAATGGCCTCTTTTAATTTTTATTTAATAATTCCCCCCTTTTGTCAGGCTGTCACCTAGGTGAGAGAGTGACCAGAACTATTAGCACTCCTCTCAGTTTCTGTGTTTCCAGTCTCAGCGTGTCACTCACAGGTTATGGTATCCTCATGATAATGCATTTCTTTGAGTTTTTGTCATTCCAGCTGAAAAGGGATCATTTGACATTTGGTGGATGGCTGCGTGCAAACATTTAAAACTTTTTTGAGAGGATACAGTGCACCAAGGAGACTACTATTGTGACGATAAGGAGTTTAATACTGAGTATGGAGTATGCTCCTTAGCCAGGGTCCTCATAAACCAAGTGTGTCCTACCTGTGGCCCAGGACAGCTTTGAATGAGGCCCACATTCAAAGCCTGGGCCAAATCAAAATCGTAAACTTTCTTAAAACATTATGAGATGTTTTTTGCGTTTTTGTTTTTGTTTTTTTTTTGTATCTGCTATCGTTAGCATTAGTGTATTTTACATGTGGTGCAAGACAATTCTTCTTCTTCCAATGTGGCCCAGGTAAGCCAAAAGACTAGACAACCCTATAACCAAACCAACTAAAATCAAATAGATCAAAAAATGAGCCTGTGAGTCCTCTACACATTTTGAGTGGCTGTGTATTGATTTTTTGCAGCCGTGTCTCTACGCTACCTGATGTATTCATCTATGTACAACGAGAAATGTCAGCAACTGCACAGCTTCCTCCCTGTTCCGTTGTTACATAGCAATTCTAACATCTAGCTTCCCAGGAGTAGGTTAAATTAAAAAAGAGAGTGCTACCTCTGGAAAAGAGACCACAAATACAATTTGAAAAAACAGTTGTGTTACGGATGTTGCTGAAGTTACCCACTAGGTGGACTAGAGGATTTGTTAGGTCCTGTAACTATTTAGGTTTGATATGACAGGTTCAACATTCCATCCAGTTACCCACAGAAGATACGGATTGTGAAATTCTAACTGCAGCATTATCCTGCCAAGTGAAAGAGGCAGGCATAAGTAAAAAAAAATTAAAAGGGGTAAGAGTCATTATGACATGGAGTCTTCTTCTGCCATCTTGGAGAAGGCTGTCCACAGCTTTAAGTCAGCATCTTGTTGTCCTGGCTTCCAGTTTGAACGTCTCTGACTGTGGCATTGCACGTTCTAGGGAACTCTGTGTGGCTCACACATCAAGGGCATGAGACGTTCCCTTGAGATTTATATCAAGTTGTCCAGCTTCACCTTATAGGACTTCAGAAACAGAGCAGTTTTTGGTTTTAGTCGGAGAGTTGTAAGATATTGGAGAAAATTAGAAGAAGTTAGAATCTAGTCCAGTCTACAGACAGATAATAAAAACTCAAAAACAAGGCCGGGGCTGGGTGCGGTGGCTCACGCCTGTAATCTCAGCACTTTGGGAGGCTGAGGCAGGCAGATTACCTGAGGTCGGGAGCTCGAGATCAGCCTGACCAACATGAAGAAACCCCATCTCTCCTAAAAATACAAAAATTAGCCCGGTGTGGTGGAAGTCACCTGTAATCCCAGCTCCTCGGGAGGCTGAGGCAGGAGAATTGCTTGAACCCAGGAGGCGGAGGTTGCAGTGAGCCGAGATCATGCCACTGCACTCCAGCCTGGGCAACAAGAGCGAAACTATGTCTCAAAAAAAAAAAAAAAAAAAATCTCAAAAACAATGAAAAGGGCCACAGTTTTATAATAGGTGTATTATAGCTTTCTTCTAAAATGTGATTTTTGTCTTATAGTCACCCCCATTTATACCAAAGATCAACAGAGTAAAACTAATTTGTTTGCAAAATAAATTTAGTCTCATTGACCTTATTTACATAATTAATTATATAATTGCAGCAAGAGTAACCACATAGGCTCCTTTTAAATTTGCATTGTTGCATATTTTGACAAAGAATCTCAGATTGGACTTTTATTTGTTCATTTATTTTGAGACAGAGTCTTGCTGTCTCACCCATGCTGAAGTACAATGGTGCGGTCATGGCTCATTGCAGCCTTGACCTCCCCAGCTCAAGTGATCCTCCCACCTTAGCCTCCCAAATAACTGGGACTACAGGCATGTGCCACCACACTGGCTAATTTTTGTATTTTTTTTGTAGAGACGGGTTTTGCCATGTTGCCCAGGCTGGTCTTGAACTGGGTTCAAGTGATTGGCTCATCTCGGCCTCCCAGAGTGCTGGGATTACAGGTGTGAACCACTGTACCTGGCCTCAGATGGGACTTTGAAAAACCTGGATACTAGGAAGCAGAACCAAGGCAGACATCAGACTTTGCCTGCAGTGTCCAATATATTGAGATTCCTGCACCTGCGATGACTTTTTACTCACTGTAAGGCTCGGAACTCTTGAAGCCTAACATTCCATACGTATTCTCAAATATGACATTCCAGTCAAAGCCTTGGTAGTATAACCAATGTTTCTAATTGTATCCTGTTATAAAGAGAGCAAATTATTATTGAAGTTATGCAAATAACCATATTACCATAAAAATAAGAATACTCACAAATAGCTTCTGAATTTAGGAAGTATCAGGTAAGAAGGAAAAGCAAACGTTCTAATTTTTGTTTACAAAAGTATGCTTCACAAAATTGCTGTAAGCTATAGATAGCTTAAAAGGGAAAAAAAAAAAACTTACTTTCCTTAAAACTGGAAGACAGGCTGGGCACAATGACTCATGCCTGTAATCCCAGCATTTTGGGAGGCCGAGGTGGGTGGATCACTTGAGGTCAGGAGTACAAGACCAGCCTGGCCAAGATGGTGAAACCCCATCTCTACTAAAAATACAAAAATTAGCCAGGTTTGGTGACACGTCTGCAGTCCTAGCTACTCAGGAGGCGGAGGTAGGAGAATCGCTTGGAGGCAGAGGTTACAGTGAGCCAAGATAGCACCACTGCACTCCAGCACCACTCTACTCCAGCGTGGGCAGCAGAGGGAGACTTTGTCTCAAAAAAACAAAACAAAACAAAACACAACAAAACAAAACTGGAAAACAAAACATTAAATGAACCAACAATGCTTCAAATTAAAAAGCTGTAAAAACTCGTAATTCTTCTTCATCAGTTCATTCAGCTTCATGTAATTAATTCTTGCTCTGTTTGATCTCAGCAGTTTCACAAACCCATCAGTTTCTTCAGTTGAACTTTAGACTTTCTTACTCAGTCCAATAGTATCTCAAAGTTATCGGAAGCCTATACTTGTTAGACTTCTTTCCATTCTTTCTATAAACCTCCTTGAAGACACAATACTTTAGAATTATAGTTGCCTGCAAAAAGCTTTCAGAAAGGCATCAGAATAAAGCAATTAACTGCAGACAACCAGACTTAAGGTGGCAATGGTTAAAAGCCTTTGAGAGTCCATTATAGAAAGGATGCAATTGACAGGAAAATTTGGTTATTTCTGCAAAGTACAACATTTTAACATAATAACTGACATTATGACTTGATAACACATCAGATTTCTAGAAATCTCATACAATTGTGGCACACCTTAGTAATGTATACAAATATAACTCAAAGAAAATTTAACACCATTTCTTATTTGACAATGTTTTCCACATAATTTAACATATCAAATAAGTCTAATTGGTTTAATATTTCTCTTTTGAACTTCCAGGGGCCCTTCTGGAGTGTCCAAAAGTTAGTTTGAGGTCAAAAATTAATTTTGAATTTGATTTTGGGAAGTTTGTCAAAAATAAAAGTTCAAAAGACTTGATCAAAAATAAGATTACAAGTCACTGTGAAATAATAGTCATTCATTTAGCCAGAGTGATAATTAAAAGACTTCAAAAGAAAATACAGGAAGTAACATAATTGTCAAAAACCTCAACTCTTTAATAGAGATGAGTGTCTGTTTTCCTAAGTAATCAATGACCTAATAAAGAAAACATGAAACATAGGAAATTATTTTGATTAAACAGAATCATTGTTTTCTAGGCCAATTACCTACAAGATCTCACAATAATTTACTAAGAGCAGATGAATACTTTAAAACAAAAACCTTGTTGTTTTAACACAATAAATCAAATTTCAGTTTTGCATCAGTGTACTTTTTTGATATTAAACATTAATTTTTAGAAAAACCTATACAAAGGTAAGGTTTGTTATGTAAACTTCAAGCCAATGTCTTCCCCATTGTAAAAGTTCCTAATGATTTAGATGCAGAGAGGGAGACACCCTTAAAAATAGAATTTCTTTTACAAAGAATTTCAAAAAAAGACAGCTAAGTGCCAAGAAATTGTGTTTTGGAAATCATTTAGTTGATACATACTCTTTTCTACTTTTTAAAAATTTTCATTTATTTATTGATTTGTAGATCAAGATGAAGTCCCACTAAATTGCCTGGGCTGGTCTTGAACCCCTGGGCTCAAGAGATCCTCCTGCCTCAGACTCCCAGAGTGCTGGGATTACAAGTGTGAGCCACTCTACCCAGTCTGGTCTTTTCAACTTAACCTGTTTCTTAATTAGACAACTGGCTTCAGGGCACTGGCCTTGAATAAATAGGGCAAAGAAGGTATTTTCTATTCCTGGATTCATTAATAGAACTCAATTTGATATCCCTCACAACCAATTTTAACCAACTTGATCACACACAAAATTTCTTTCATAAGATTTTACTTCCACAAATCTTCTACAACTTGCTTAAACCTTGTTGTCCTAAATTTCTTTCTTCATATTACAATAACCAATCATTCTACCTAAAGACAAAAATATACTTTTTTCCCCTGTCATTATGACCACACAAAATTCTCTCTCATACAAAAAAAATTACTTTCTCTTTTCAACATTTTTCTATCAAAAATACACACTTATATTTATAGATTTTTTTGCACCACTTTCTCCTACTTACTGGTTTCTGTCTGCCTTGCTTCTATTTTCTTCCTTAGTCCATATTTTGAGACATCTTCTAAATAACCTCCAAGTTAGATGAAATTAGTCTTTTCTTTAACAAAGGTATATCCTCATGTCCTTCTACAATTTTCTCACCAAAAACACATCTTACTTTTTTAATACACTTTGTGTACAGAATTACCTATATTAATTAAAAATTTTAATATGTAATAATCTTAATTTCTAGTGAAAGCCTAGGAAATAAATTTTGAACTGTCACATACTAACATTTTATAAACATGCATGTTATAATTTATAAAAATATGTGATTCCTCATAGAACAATTTTTTATGTTTACTAACAGACCCAAACATATTTAGCTTCACCATACCATATAAAAACAAGATTAGAGGCCAGGTATGGTGGCTCATGCCTGTAATCCCAGCACTTTGGGAGGCTGAGGGGGGCGGATCGCTTGAGGCTAGGAGTTCCAGGCTAGCCCGGCCAACATGGTGAAACCCCGTCTCTACTAAAAATACAAAAAAAAAAAAAAATTAGCTGGATGCAGTGGTACGCACCTGTTATCCAAGCTACTTGGCAAGCTGAGGCAGGAGAATCACTTGAACCCAGGAGTTGGAGGTTGCAGTGAGCTGAGATGGCACCACCACACTCCAGCCTGGGCAACAGAGCAAGACTCTGTCTCAAAAAACAAACAAACAAACAAACAAAGATTATAAAATGTCTTATTCTGTTTAGTGTTGCTATAAAGGAATATATGAGGCTGAGTAATTTATAAAGAAAAGAGGTTTGTTTGGTGCACAGTTCTGCAGACTGTATGAAAAGCATAATGCCAGCATCTGCTTCTGGTGAGGGCTTCAGCCTGCTTCCATTCATGGAGGAAGGTAAAGGTTATCCAGTATGTGCAGATCACATGGAAGAGAAGAAGCAAGAAGGATGGAGAAGGTACCAGACTCTTTCTAACAACCAACTCGTGAGGGAACTCTCACAGGAGCTAATTAAGCAAGAACTCACTCATTACCACTGGGGCGGGGGAAAGGCATTCATGAGGGGTCCCACCCCAGACCCAAACACCTCCCATTAGGCCCCACTTCCAACACTGATAATCACATTTCTTTTCTTTTCTATTATTTAATTTTTTTTTTTTTAGACGGATTCTCTCTCTGTCGCCCAGGCTGCAGTGCAGTGGCACGATCTCGGCTCACTGCAAGCTCCGCCTCCTGGGTTCAAGTGATTCTCATGCCTCAGCCTCCCAAGTAGCTGGGTCTACAGGCTCCTGCCACCATGCCCGGCTAATTTTTTTTTTTTTTTTTTGTATTTTTAGTAGAGACAGAGTTTCACCATATTGGTCAGGCTGGTCTCAAACTCCTGTCCTCAGGTGATCCACCCACCACGGCCTCCCAGAGTGCTAGGATTACAGGCATGAGCCACCGTGCCCAGCCAAGAATCAAATTTCAACATGAGGTTTAGAGGGCCAAATATCCAAACTGTAGCACAAAGCATATATACTTTAAACTTATGTTCAGCAATTAATGTTTCAGTGTTTTAACTTAGAAATGCCTTAAACGTTTCGTGAATATCTATTAATCATAACATGACTTTAAGATTAAGTTACTGAAAAAGATTTTAAAATTATGAGAATGCTATTTATATATTTGTATCCCATTTACATCCACATAATTTACTCATTCTTAACAATTATGCTTACATTGCTGGTTACACAAAGTTAGCCATCATCTCAATGATTTTCCTGCTAACCATTTTACAGCACGCAAGTGATAGACAGTTGCCACCTAAGCAAGAATGCTAAAGTTCAATACATTAGTATTTTGCTGATCAGAAGACACAGCTGTTTTTATTAAACCAACAATATTAAACTAGTCTTACTTACCAAAGATTTACCCAAGTCACACGAACAAAAAGGCATTGAGGTTAGTTTCTTTTTTCTGATAAAATATTTAAGTGCTAACTTTTTCTTTAAGCCAATTCATTATGACTCTTTCTTATATTTTGGTAGAGACACATCACATATACATAACACATATAGACATACAGACACACAGACAGAGGCAGATCTTATAGTTTTAATAAGATTATTCATTTGTAGGTTTTCAAATAGTTTCTCTCCCCTGTTTAGACTATTAATGTCCTGATTACCTGTTCTATTGGCCTAAACAGTTGTTATCTAGGCAACACCAAATTTGTACATCCAAAGGCAGGACTCTTAAAAAGGTAGAAAAGAGTGGAAAGAGGTAGAAAATTTACATGTCAAAGGCACAGAACCTACATCTCTAATTTCTAAAAATCTGAGTACTGTGCCTTCTGATATGCCTGCCTTTTTCATGGGACAAGAGTTATGGCCCCAGAAGCTGCAAATATTCTCAAAAGTGGCAAAGTCTTACTAAAGATAATTCAGAATGACAATGGCTGTTATATGGAATGTTCCAGGTGAACACAAAACTGGTTATGTAAGAAGTGCACTTGAGTCTCAAGTGCCATTTGCCATTATTTGCCAAGACAAAAAAGGTCATAGGTAAAGGCCTAGTTCAGGCAAAATGGCCAGCCAAAGCACCTTATACAAAGGTAAGTCATTTTTTTTTTAAATGTAAACTTCAAGCCAATTTATTCCCCATTGTAAAAGTTCCTAATTATTTACATATAGAAAGGGAAGCGCCCTTAAAAATAGATTTTCTTCATAGATATAAATTTCTTTTACAAAGAATTTTTTTTAAAAGTCAGCTAAGTGCCAAGAAGTTGTGTTTTGGAAATCATTTAGTTGATACATAGTCTTTTCTTTTTTAAATTTTCATTTATTTATTTATTTATTTGTAAATAGAGATGAGGTCCCACTATGTCACCCAGGCTGCTCTTGAACTTCTGGGCTCAAGTGATCCTCCTGCCTCGGACTCCCAAAGTGCTGGGATTACAGGTGTGAGCCACTACACTCAGCCTGGTCTTTTCAACTCAAAAAACCTGTTTGTTAATTAGACAACTGACTTCGCGACACAGCCCTTGAATAAATAGGGCAAAGAAGGCATTTTCTATTCCTGGGCTCATTCCTAGAACTCAATTTGATATCCCTCACAATTGAATTTTTCTTTTTTATTCCAAGAGAGAGGTTGTCCCGTAAGAGTGGGGTTTAAAGTAGAAATAGGGGCTCTGGTGTCTACTCAGACTGGATAACTGGAGGAAGCTTATCAGAGCTTCCCTTGGAGGCCCATCAGTCTTGGTGGTTAATACGAAGATTGTCAGAGGGCTGGCAGGCTCTTTTTATGAGCTTCCCTCAAAATCTTTGTGAGGGCGGCCCCCTTTCCAGTGCCCTGGTTGTTTGCACCAATGACAACAATTTTCTGGAAACCATTGTTTCAGGGACCCAAAGGCCACCCTAGGTTGTTGGTTGCCATGGAGCTGAGGCTCTTCAAGAATGGCTTTCAATGGTCATTTTTCAGGCTTTGCTTGGCCCATAAGTTAGGGCTTGTGAGGTAATATCATTCTGCCTCTTTCTTCCATGTTTGGGCTTCCCCAGTTCCCACACACATGCGGGTTAGTTGGTAGAGATCAGATAACCCAGGGTCACAAGTTCTAGTTGAGATCCCAAATTCTTCAGAAAACTTCCGTAGGTTTTTTCTAGGTTTAGGAAAATTTTAAACTATGGCTCTGAGCTCTATTTTTATCCAGGGAATATAAGTCACTTGAGTATTATTTCCTGGAGTTTGGGGTGGTTTTCTCTTATAAGAAAACTGCTTAACTGTTTTCTTCTGAGAATATAGGCAATTCCGACAGAAAGTTAATAGATTGTGAATATTTAGGCAAAATAGGATAGAGAGGAGCAGTAGGGGTCATGTCAGTTTTACTGTCCTTGGTATGGGTGATGCCTTGCACTTTTAGCTTTTTATTAGCTCTTCACAGTGAATTTTTTAAAAAGCAATTTTAGAATCTTGTTGTCTCTTTGAGACTTCTGAATGCCTGTTAGAATAATAATCCCATTCTCCCTGCCTAATTCAAGGGGCTTGAGACTCAAGTGCACTTCTTAGATAACCAGTTTTGTGTTCACCTGGAACATTCCATATAACAGCCATTGTCATTCTGAATTATCTTTAGTAAGACTTTGCCACTTTTAAGAATATCTGCAGCTTCTGGGGCCATAATTCTTGTCCATGAAAAAGGCAGGCATATCAGAAGGCAGAGTACTAAGATCTTTAGAAATTAGAGATCCCATGTTTATGTTGGCTCTTGGGTATCTCAGAGCCACGATGACTTTTGCTCTGAGACCTCACCATTGAGAAGAGAAGAAATAAAGAGGATCCCTCCAGTAATAACCACTTACTGCCACTGTTATCAGTTACCTTAGAAATGACAGTTTTGTTGCCACAGTGACTCCTCAGTCACTGCAAACCGAAAGGTGGTGTGCCCTGCCACAGCACAAATTAACCTTGGTACTCCAAATGCCAAAAATATCAGAGAGCACTAATGCAAAAGAGAGCAGAACTTCTCAGGACTCCATGAGGAAGACAGGGACCTCCCCAAAAGGTAGAGCGAGCAGGGCCTTCCCTGTGCTCCTGCAGGGGTCTCAGGGTTGTCAGATCTGTCTCTTTCAGGTTCCTTCCTTGGTTGCCAGATCTGTCAAAAGAAGAAATTACAGCAAACTTAGTTTAAATACCTCAGTTGGCTTTATTTGCAATTCTAGAATTGGGCAATACTTTATTCCATAAAAAAGAATTAGTGTTCCAATGAGCTGAGCAGAGGAGGTTGGCTTTATAGGCAAAAAAAAAAAAAAAAAAAGGGTGGGGGGCGGCTGAGGAAAGCGGAAACAAACAGCAAAAAGCAGATTGGTCTTTTCAAAGTGACTTTCCTTATGAGACAAGGACAGGGAGATGGAACTTCGTTCGGGTTAAGGATTAAAACAGAGGGAACTTTATTATCATGCTGATTGAAGACTGAAGGTGGCCCATTTGGTGAATTAGGGCCTTGGCCCCCACAATGGCAACATTGTCTGTTTCAGTAGCAGCCTAACCCAATCTGTGATGATGGCAGATCAGTTACCTCGTAGAGGGTGGGAACTGGATTTACCACACATGGCATTCCATGTGCTTGAAAGAGATGCTTGTTTGAACAATAAAGTGCTACAAATGCCTTCCGATTATAAATGGTGCTGTGACATCCACCTTGTGGTGGAAGACAAGAGTCCCCATGCTCAAACAGCAAGCACGGCAGGGGCTGGTGTGGGAGAGACAGGCACATGGAAACACAGAGCTAATGTCTCCGCCTCCAGACACCTCCTGCTGCCTTGGTGACCCCATGGAGCCTGGATCCGATGCTCTCCCCATTCCTACCACCCATCCAGAGGAGGCGCTGCAACCTCCTCCCACCCCCTCCTCCCACTCTCCCAGAGATAAGAAGGAGATGGCCAACATGACCATGGCCACGCCTTCCTCGGAGTTCTACACACACAGACCAAAACGCCTATACACGTTCAGGGGTTTGTTGACAGATTTGTTTTTACTGAACTAAAATTACACAATTCTCATCACTATGCAACTTTATTACTGCTCCACTTACTTTTTCAAGGGTGTCTTTGTCCATTTTGTATTACTGTAAAGGAATACCTGAGGCTGGGTAATTTATAAAGAAATCTCACAGTTCTGCAGGCTGTATAGGAAGCATGGAGCCAGCGTCTGCTTCCTGTGAGGGCTTCAGGCTGCCTCCACTCATGGTGGAAGAGGAAGAGGAGCCGGTGTGTGCAGAGATCATGTGGCGAGAGAGGAAGTAAAGGAGAGAGGTGCCAGGCTCTTCTTCACAATACGCTGTTGTAGAAACCAACAGAGTGAGAGTTCACTCATTACTGCAAGGATGACGGCACCAAGATACTCTTGAGGGACCTGCCCCCATGACGCAAACACCTCCCACTAGGCCCCACCTCCAACACTGGAGATAAAATTACAGCATGAGATTTGGAGGGGAAAATAGCCACACTATAGCAATGGGTATCCCTACAAACTTAGTAGATTTAGATCTAATTCTATCTTGCATTTCTAATTATTTCATCCATATGCATGTACTTGGGTAGGATGGATCATTCTCTTTTTTTAATTTAAAAATTTTATTTATTTTTAATTTTTTTAATTGACAAGTAAAAATTGTATGCATTTATCATGTTCAACATGATGATGTTTAGAAATATTTTAATAAGGTGTTTATTTTATTTGGCCTTCTCCTTTCTTCCTAGGAAGCCCATATTGGCTATGGTGGTGTGTAACCTTCCATAATTCTCTGCTTGAGTGCACATGTAGTAATGTGTATGGATACAGAATGTGTGCACATATCTAGGGTTTTCGTCAGTGTTCACTTCTAAAGATGGCATCATAGGGAAGGAAAAATAATTTTCTCCTTCACCCTTCATGAGTTCTTACCGGGACTTCTTGTAACAAAAGACAGATAACAAGAGAAACAAACAAAAGTTTAATCATATGTATCCTTCCTGTATATATGGGGGATAACCAGGGAGTTGAGCCAATCTCTTTTTTTTTTCCTTTTGAGATGGAGTTTCACTCTTGTTGCCCAGGCTGGAGTACGATCTTGGCTCACTGCAACCTCCGCTGCCTCCCAGATTCAAGTGATTCTCCTGCCTCAGCCTCCCAAGTAGCTGGGATTACAGGCATGGGCCACCACACCCAGCTAATTTTTTGTATTTTTAGTAGAGATGGGGTTTCTCCATGTTGGTCAGGCTGGTCTCAAACTCCCGACCACAGGTGATCTGCCCACCTTGGCCTCCCAAAATGCTGGGATTACAGGTATGAGCCACCTTGCCCAGCCGAGTCAGTCTCTTTAGTAGATCTCAAAGAGTGGTCTTAGACTTCAGGTTTAAATACCAACTTTTTCTGAAACCAAGAAGGATGGGTGTGGGGAAAGACTTGGTTAAAATGAGATGGCCCAGGAAAATCACTGGAAAACCAGAGGTTAGGTTTGTTACACAGATTGAAGTTGGTGCCTTCTGCCTTGACTGAGTCTCTGGTGATTTAGTCACTCTTCTTTTCCTGGTGCAGAGAGGCAGACACCTTTACAAATGGAGATTTCCTTTATAGATTTAAATTTCCCTTGCAAAAGGGTAACTTCTATGGTGTTTTTCAAAGCTTTCCCTGTGCCTGCAGTTTCTTGAAATAGCCAGCTCAAAATAAACCTTATGCCAAAGAGGCATATGTGGGATGGCATGTTCTGGTCTCCTATAGTCATATTTTGGGTTGGCATGTCCTGAACCCCATTAGCATCATAACTAATATGCTTCTCTGCATTTTAGAACATAGATGATTAAGATTCTTAGAAGCAGTCCAATCCCTTCATTTGAGGAAACTGAAATCCAGAAAGGGGTGACCTGCTGAACTTGGCTAAGCCCAGCCCAACCTGAGCCTGTCCCATTCCCCTTCCTTCTCAACACTCCAGCCACACGGGCCTCCGGCGGCTTCCATCCACCCGTCCAGAGAGGGGGCCTTTGCATGGACTGCCAGGGCATCCTCTTCCCAGAGGGCCGCTTACTTGCTCAATTACTTGGGTCACCTCTGTCTTAAAGAGCTACTCCCATGGACTTCCCTTCCCTTTTTCTCCCCTCCCAGCCCTTATCACTGCCCTATATGATTATCTACTTGTTTATGCATCCCCAGGCCCACTTGAGGAAAAGCTCCAGAGGGCAGGCTCTGTCTCTATGTCCTAGCCCCACAAATACTTTCCATCTGCCATCTCGAGAGCCAAGGGGATCTTGTCTGGAGAAGCTCTAGGCTGGATGGGGCCTCTCCATTGTCTATTGTGTCCTTTTCCTTCAGTTTCCCACCCCCTCCCAATTTTTTTTTTGTTTTGTTTTTGAGACAGTCTCGCTCTGTCACCTAGGCTGGAGTGTCGTGGTACAATCTTGGCTCACTGTAACCTCCGCCTCCCAGGTTCAAGCACTTCTCCTGCCTCAGCCTTCTGACTAGCTGGGACTACAGCCATGTGCCATGGGCTAATTTTTTGTAGAGACGGGGTTTCACCATGTTGGCCAAGCTGGTCTTGAACTCCTGACCTCAAGTGATCTGCCTGCCTTACCCTCCCAAAGTGTTGACTACAGGTGTGCACCATTGGCTAATTTTTTTTTACTTTTGGTAGAGACGGAGTTTCACCATGTGGATCATGCTGTTCTCCAACTCCTGACCTCAAGTGATCCACCTACCTCAGCCTCCCAAAGTACTGGGACTACAGGAACACACCACTGGCTAATTTTTTGTATTTTTAGTAGAGACAGGTTTTTGCCACTTTGGCCAGGCTGGGTCTTGAACTCCTGACCTCAAGTGATCCACCCACCTCAGCCTCCCAAAGTGCTAGGATTACAGGTGTGAGCCACCATGCTCGGCCACTGCAGTTTCCTTATTGCAGCCTGACTCCCAGGGTCAGTGTCTCTAAATTCCTCAGGGGTCACAGAGACTGTCTGAAGAGGATTCATGACAAAATGAGTGAAATGCATCTGCAATCCGGTTTTACTGTATTAGTCTGTTCTCACGCTGCTAATAAAGACATCCCTGAGACTAGGTAATTTTAAAAAGAAAGACATTTAATGGACTTACATTTCCACATGGCTGGGGAGGCCTCATAATCATGGCAGAAGGCGAAGGAGAAGCAAAGCTGTCTTACATAGCAGCAGGCAAGAGAGAGTGCAGCGGAACTGCCCTTTATAAAACCATCAGGTCTCGTGAGATGTATTCACTACCACGGGAACAGCGCAGGAAAAACCCGCCCACATGATTCAATTACCTCCCACTGGGTTCCTCCCATGACACATGGGGATTATGGGAGCTACAATTTAAGATGAGATTTGGGTGGGGACACAGCTGAACCATATCACTGGCGCCCTGTCGGGAACTAGTGATGCTCAAAGTAAAGATGCCAGAGGTCTTCACCCAGAAGGAGAGTCCAGAACCCACCACAGTGTGGCTTCCTTTCCTTGTGTCTTACATGCCCTCACGTCCTCTGAAGCAAATATACTTTTTCATATGCGTTATCACAGCGACAAACAAAAGAGACATCAGGCAGTGGTAATCGGAGCCCTGATTTCACTGGGTAGCCAGTGGCTACTCTGTTGCAGGACTAGGGCTCCTTGGGTAGTAACTGAAAGAAATAGATTATGTCCAGCCATGTGTGGACTGCAGCTGGGGCTGGAGCCCTGAATCAGGAGCCGAGCACTTGAGCTTTCAGGGTGCAGGGCCTGTGGGAAACGGGCCATGGACCTCCTCGGGGGGATGGAGGCCCCTCAGTCGGGAGGTGCAAGAAAGAGGAGCTGCTTTTGGGGTCACAGAGGGGCCAGGGGAGGCAGAGCTTGTGCCCAACCTTGGGGTCAACCCGGCTGCCAATAGGCCCATGCAAACCCAAGACAGTGGGCCATCAGGAAGGCACTGTGGAGGGGTAATCCGCGTAATGGCCCAGAACACGGCGTAACAGCTGGCTGTGGCTAATGCTCCTCAATATCTGCTTTTATGTGATTAATGGCTGTGGATAAAACCTTGATCCCAGGAAAGCAGGCCCAGCGGCTAAGCCTAGCCAAGAGCACCACTTTGGTTATGCTGGGAGCCCGAGTCATTTTGGCGATTTTCATTTTAACCAAGCTGTCATTTTAGTATGTGAGGAAAAAAAATAAAAGTGGTAGGAACTACACTCACAGAGAGCCCAGAGAGGGGGCAGCAGGGGGGTGGGGGCGAGCCTGGTGCTGGAAGTGTGAAAACAGCTGGGGGCCCAAGTGCCCTGACTCCCCTGGCCACCCACTCACTGCTTCCACCCACTCTCACTTCCCTTGGGTTCACACTATCTCCCCGGACCCCTCTCTGACCCCTCCAGTCTAACCAGTGATCAGAGAATGTTTCTGCCACTACAGCAGTCCCCCCTTCATCCACAGGGGATGCCTGAAAGGGTAGCTGGTACTGAACCTGATGGCTGTCAATCAGAACACATCGCTGTCCATGTCTTCCACCCACAAATGTAATGCCTTTTCCATCTTAACTAAGCTCTTATCGCACATGGTGGCCGAAACTTTGGCAGTTTGAAGTGCGACAGCAAAACTTGCACACATTTTTTTTTCCTTCTTCATAATTTCACACATAGAAGATTCGTTCTTACTGTAGATCTTAGCAAACTAAGCATATGCTTTTTTCCCTTCAGTTGAGGACTTTCACCTTTTCACTGAAAGGAAGCACTGCGCTCGTCTCTTTGGCATATCTGAATTGCCAGCATCACTACTTTTGCGCGTTGGGGCTGTGATTAAGTAGCACAAGGCTGACCTGAACACAAGCACTGTGCTGCCGCAACAGTCGCTCTAAGTGGCTGATGGTTGGTGTAAACAACACAGATAGGCTGGATGAAGGGAGGATTCATGCCCAAGACAGGGCAGAGTAGCATGCAATTTAAAACCTATGAATTGTCCGTTTCTGGAGTTTTCTATTTGACCCTGGATAACACCCCAGAAAGTGAAACTGCAGATAAGAAGGACTACTGATTTGCACATCTTTTTTCTGTGCCTGTTTGTAACCGTTGCCCAACGGATTCTCCTTGCCCTCTGCCTAGACAGAGCCAATTTATCAAGACAGGGGAATTGCAATGGAGAGAGTTTAATTCACGCAGAGCTGGCCGTACGGGAGATGGGAGTTTTATTATTACTCAAATCAGTCTCCCTGAACATTCGGAGACTAGGGTCTTTTAAGGATAATTTGGCAGGTAGCGGGCCCGGGAGTGCGGAGCATTGATTGGTTGGACTGGAGATGAAATCATAGAGGGGCAAAGCTGTCCTCCCACACTGCAGTTCCTGGGTGGGGGCCACAAGACCAGATGAACCTGATTACCACCAGTCTGGGTGGCATCAGCTGGTGCATCAGAATGCAGGGTCTACAAAATATCTCAAGCACTCATCTTAGGTTTTACAACAGTGGTGTTATTTCCAGAAGCAATTTGAGGAGGTTTGGAATCTTGCAGCCTCTGGCTTCATGACTCCTGAACCTTATTTCTAATCTTGTAGCTAATTTGTTAGTCCTACGAAGGCAGATTGGTCCCTAGGGAAGAAGAGGATTTGTTTTCGAAAAGGGCTGTTATCATCTTTGTTTCAAAGTTAAACTATAAACTAAGTTCCTCCCAAAGTTAGTTCAGCCTACACCCAGGAATGAACAAGGACAGTTTGGAGGTTAGAAGCAAGATGGAGTCGGTTAGGTCAGGTCTCTTTCACTGTCATCACTTCCTCAGTTACAAATTTTGCAAAGGTGGTTTTATGATCTCTTTTGCTTCTCATTTTGACCCTGTAAATAGCAGGGTGGGGTGCACAAAGGTCAGATGCCAGGTAAGACACTGGGCAGGTCCTGGAGGTCCCAATGCACCCGGCATTAACCCTTCAGTTGCTGGGCCATGAAGATGTGTCCAGGAGTTTCAGGGGAGCCACACCACCCAGGCAGCTCTGAGCAGTGGCTACTTCCCGATCTGTATGGAACACCCTGATGTCTTTGTCCTGGAAGAGCATCCCTGCTGAAGACCAGCCCTGCCCAGGACATGGAGGAAGTGGATGCTTTGGTTCCAAATCACAGATGGGAAAACTAAGGCTCAGAGAGCATGTGGAGTCTGCAGAATGTCCCTGACAGAGTCAGCCACTGGTTGAATTTCACATATTCTCTCTTCTCTGCCAAGGTGGCCTACCGGAACCCATGGCCATTGGTCCACAGTGGGCTTTCACTCACTGTCCAGTGTTCTGTAATACCTGGGCAAGGAGGGAACCACACACGGGTGTCAGATGCCCCCAAAGTGACCACAGACAGCTGACACGAACATCTGGGCTATGTTTAGCATATACTACGGTTGTATGCCAGGATTCTCCGTAATACACACAGCCTTTACTCCTTTCTATCCCTCTGCTCCCATTTATAAGACCATTCTAAGCAATGGTATTATGTTGAACCACTTAAAATGGCCATCTTTGTAGGTCAAAATAGTCAGATAGCAGCAATTTCATGTATTTTTCAGAAAGTTGACAAACTACAGCTGAGTATCAGGTCGGCACTGGAGGCGGCCAGGTGGGGGCAGCAGAGAGCTGAGTGGGCAGAAACCGGGGCTCATAGGCGGTGAGGTTCTGTCAACGGAGCTGCAAGAGAAGTAACCCTGCAGGGTCCCACCAAATGACCCAAAGTGGAAAGGGCCAGGCGGCCCGGGTCCCTTACTGGACAGATCTGCGCAGTAAGCACAAGTCAGCACTGTTGCTGTGGCACTGGCACCATCAGTACTTGACCTAGGATCACCTGCCATGTCTAGTCCTGCCAACCTTCAAGACCGAGCTTCCAGGACAAGGGACCTGCCCAGCTCCAGCTCCTCCTGACCACAGTCCACAGTGGAGAAATGACACAGCACTTGTCCAAAAACAGCGCTACACGAAGCTCCAAAGGCTGATCCACATGCCATTCTCTGTGACTGAGCCTTTGACTCGTGAGCCTCCAGCAGGCTTCCTTTCCCCTCCTGCAAGCTCCCGAGGAGGCTGCCACCGGAATGGCATGTGGCCATCAGCACTGGCTGGAAGCGCAGATGATGCACTCTCAACCAGTGCAGTGATGCAGCCACCTCTGACTGGAAGCCGGAGCGGGGGGGCTTTCATCTGAATTAGCTACAAAATTTGCTGAGTTCTATGCAAAATAAAAATGCTGGCCCTCTGTTCAAAAATTGTAAAGAATTTCAAGATGGCAACAGCAAAGTATAAAACCAAATGCAGGTTTCTGATGGCAGGGCCCCATGAGCCTGCACAGGTCGCCCACCCAAGGGGCCAGCCCTGGCATTTGTCTTGAGTGGAGAGCCTGTCTGGAGTGGTATGGGGTGTGTTGGGGCTGCCTCTGCATGTCTGCCTATGCCCGTCAGTGATGCGGTGGCTTCATGGCTCTGGAAGCAGAGAATCCCTGGCACATCCCCATCCAGCACCGTCTCCCCCAGTTGTGAGCAGGAAGGGGGTTGTGGCACCTGAAATAAGAATGCAAAGAGCTCCCGAGGCTTGGGGGTGGTGTTGGGCACCCTCCTGGCGATATGGGGTGTGCACCTGTGCAGCCGGCCAGGTGACCAGCATCCCTTATGGTTCATGAGTCAGGAGCAGGGCTCAGAGAGAAGAATTCAGAACAAAGACAGACGATGCAGCCCACAAGCGAAAGAGACGGGCAGGCTAGAAAATGTGGGAGGGGTCAGAGCTCCACGGCAGCCGGTGGGCACAGCCCAGGACAGGGGGATGGCGTTCTCACCCCACAGTCATTAACTATTGAACATTGATTGATAGTGATTGTTGAATACTGTAAATATTGCTCCTGGGTGCCAGTGGGTTGGTTGCCCCCAGAGACAGTCACCAATCCTGAGCTCATGGGAATAGGGGAGCCCTTACCCTGTGTGCTGTGGTTAACGCACTGGTCAGCAGAGCGGGGAGGGGAGGCACAGGTCAAAGTCTGCAGATAATAAAGATCCAGTCCAGATAATAAAGATCTGGTTTCAGCCCTGGCTCTGCCTTGGACCAGCTCTGCTATGTCAGCCAAGTTACCACCTCTCTGAGTCGAGGGAAAGAATGCCAGCGCTTTCTCCTGGACTCCAGGCACAGACCCCACGAGCTACAGGGACCTCCACTTCCAGGCCCCTTGGCATCGCTTTAACACTTAAACCCCACTGGTTCGCGTCCTTGTTTCTCATCCTCTGGGAGCCGAGCGCCTGCCTCATTTCTGGGGCTCCCTGGCTGCCCTCGTTTCACAGTCACTGCTGGTTCCTGTGAGATCTAGATGCTCACCCTCCACCCCTTCCACCCAGCGCCTCTTGAAGCTCTGGTAGCTCTGCCTTCTCGCCACCCTGTCCCACCCAAGTATGGAACTGAGCTCTTTGTGACTCCACAAAACAAGACTTAGCTGAGGAAGCTGTGTGAGGTCAAGTTGTAGTGAAGGTTTGAGAACGACAGTGGAACCCAAACGGAATGTTAGCCTCACCACCTCCCTGTCCTGGGCTGCCCTCAGCTGCCACAGGGCCACCTTCCCACTTTCACCACATTTTTCTCTTGTGGAATTTTGAATTCTCTTGTGTTATTTGGCTTTGTTTTGAATTCCCCTGTCTGAGCCTTTCTCCTCAGAATTCTGCCTTCTGCGGAAACTCAGCGGTTAAGATGCTTTTCTGGTAAACTAAAGGCCACCTGCCCCTGGGGACTGGTAGGCCTTTGGCCACTCTGAATTGCACCCAGATGGCAGCTACCCACAAGAGGCCCCAAGTAGCAGAGAATGAGAAACATACACAAACTGACTGGGCATCCTTGGAGATGCCACGAGATAAGCTTTGCAATGGCCTCTTCTCCACAGTCAAGGTCAGGAATCACCTAGAAACCCAGAAGGAATGAGAAATCTCAAGACTTCAGCCTGGGGCCTTCACAAACCAGCTTCATGGGGTAAATTGCTTAACACCTTGATTTCTCCAGCTGAGAAATGGGGATACTAGCACCCTTTCCATTAACTTCTACAGTTATGAATATCATAAGGCAAATGCATTTCTGTTTGTTTGTTTGTTTGTTTGTTTGTTTGTTTGTTTTGAGACAGGATCTCACTCTGTCGTCTAGGCCGGAATGCAGTGGCACGATCTCAGCTCACTGCAACCTCCACCTCCCGGGTTCAAGCGATTCTTGTGCCTCAGCCTCCTGAGTAGCTAGAATTGCAGGCGTTCGCCACCACACCTGGCTAACTCTTGTATTTCCTTTAGTAGAGACGGGGTTTCACCATGTTGGCCAGGCTGGTCTCGAACTCCTAACTTCAAGTGATCTGTCTGCCTTGGCCTCCCAAAGTGCTGGGATTACAGGCTTGAGCCACTGCGCCTGGCCGGCAAATGCATTTCTAAAGTGCTTTGAAAAGCAAGCCATTTCTCAAATGCCTAATAAAAAAAATCTTCTGGCAACTCACCCAGCCTACACTGCCAGCATCAGCTCCATCCTCCCAGCTTCTGGCCACCACCTCCTAGGACACTGGACCCACTCTAAGAGACCATAGGTACTTCTAACCCTGCCAAGGATGGGAGAGTTGTGAAAGGAAGAGGAGTGGGGAGGAGAAGGGAACATCTACCAAACTGGGTTCTGTGTGCACATGCATTGATCACAGGAGGTATCCATAAGAGAGAGCCACACATCCCCACGGGAGTTTCGCAGTGGCTTCCTGCAGTTGTTGGATGCAGTCTTCTATGAATGCTCTTTGGTCAGTTTTGTTAACTGCATTCTTCAAATCTGTATCCTTCTTGAATTTGTTATCTGTTTTATTATCAATTACTGTGAAAGATGTGTTTAAATTTCTTATTATGATTTCTTATTGTGATTATGCCAATTTTTACTCTGTTTATTTTGTTTTGTTTGTTTGTTTCTTTCTTTTTGTTTGTTTTTTGAGACGAAGTTCCACTCTGTCCCCCAGGCTGGAGTGCAGCGGTGTGATCTTGGCTCACTGCAATCTCTGCCTCCCGGGTTCAAGTGATTCTCCTGCCTCAGCCTCCCGAGTAGCTGGGATTACGGGTGCCCGCCACCATGCCCGGCTATTTTTTTGTATTTTTAGTAGAGATAGGGTTTCACCATGTTGGCCAGGCTACTCTCGAACTCCTCACCTCAAGTGATCCACCTGCATCAGCCTGCCAAAGTGCTGGGATTACAAGCGTCAGCCACTGCACCCAGCCATACTCTGTGTGATTTTAATTTGTATTATTAGGTGCTGTTTTTTAGTTATATTATTAGGTGCATACACATTTTAATTTTAATTTTTTAATAATTTTTTTTTTTTTTTTTTTTTTTTTTTGAGACGGAGTCTCGCTCTGTCGCCCAGGCTGGAGTGCAGTGGCGGGATCTCGGCTCACTGCAAGCTCCGCCTCCCGGGTTCACGCCATTCTCCTGCCTCAGCCTCCCAAGTAGCTGGGACTACAGGCGCCCGCCACTACGCCCGGCTAATTTTTTGTATTTTTAGTAGAGACGAGGTTTCACCGTTTTAGCCGGGATGGTCTCGATCTCCTGACCTCGTGATCCGCCCGCCTCGGCCTCCCAAAGTGCTGGGATTACAGGCGTAAGCCACTGCGCCCGGCCGCATGTATTCTTTTAATGGCTAGAATTTCTTTTTCAGAGTAGTTTTAGGTTTGCAGAAAATTGAGCATGTAGTACAGAGAGCTCCCATGTACTTCCTGTCTCCCCCTCACAGCTGTCCCAGTTAGCAACATCTTGCACGGTGTATATTTGTTCTAACTGATGCGCCAATATTGACACATTACTATTAACTGAAGCCCAGAGTTTACATTGTAATTTACTCTTTGTGTTGTACATTCTGAGTTTTTTTGTTTTTTGTTTTGTTTTGTTTTTTGAGACACAGTCTCGCTCTGTCACCCAGGCTGGAGTACAGTGACACGTTCTTGGTTCACTGCAACCTCCTCCGCCTCCCAGGTTCAAGCAATTCTCCTACCTCAGTCTCCCAAGTAGCTGGGATTACAGGCATGCGCCACCACACCCAGCAAATTTTTTGTATTTTTGAAAGAGACGGGGTTTCACCATGTTGGCCAGGCTGGTCTCGAACTCCTAACCTCAGGTGATCCGCCCACCTCGGCCTCCCAAAGTGTTGGGATTACAGGCATAAGCCACTGCGCCCAGCCCATTCTTAGTTTTGACAAAACTTAATGTCAGGTATCCACCCACCATTACCATATCATACAGAATAGTTTCACTGCCCTAAAAATCCCCTGTACTCCAACTGTTCATCCCGCCCTGTCTTCCCCCAAAACCCTGATATTCACTGATCTTTTTAATGTCTCTATAATTTCGCCCTTTCCAGAATTGGAATCATACAGTATGTAGCCTTCTCAGATTGACTTTTTTTTTTTTTTTTTTTTGAGACAGAGTCTTAACTCTGTCATCCAGGCTGGAGTACGATGGTGCGATCTTGGGTCACTGCAACCTCCGCCTCCCGGGTTCCATCTATTATCCTGCCTCAGCCTCCCAAGTAGCTGGGATTACAGGTGTGCACCACCACGCCTGACTAATTTTTGAATTTTTAGTAGAGAGAAGATTTCACCATGTCAGCCAATCTGGTCTTGAACTCCTGGCCTCATGCGATCTGCCTGACTTCGCCTCCCAAAGTGGTGGGATTATAGGCATGAGCCACTGTGCCTGGCCTCAGATTGATTTCTTTGACTAAGCAATATCATTTAAGGTCCTGCAAATCTTGGGGCCTGATGGCTTATTTATTTATTTATTTATTTATAGACGGAGTCTCACTCTGTCATCCCTGCTAGAGCACGATGGCGCGATCTCGGCTCACTGCAACCTCTGCCTTCCAGGTTCAAGTGATTCTCCTGCTTCAGCCTCCCAAGTAGCTGGGATTGCAGGTGTGCACCACCACGCCCAGCTAACTTTTGTATTTTTTAGTAGAGATGAGGTTTTACCATGTGGGCCAGGCTAGTCTCAAACTCCTAACCTCAGACGACATGCCCACTTTGGCCTCCCAAAGTACTGGGTACCACACCCAGCCCCGATGGCTTATTTCTTTTTAGCACTGAATAATGCTCCATTGTCTGGAGGTACTGCATGTACCCATTGAAGGACATCTTGCTTGCTTCACATTTTTAGCAATTATGATGAATAAAGCTGTCATAGACATTTGTGTGCAGGTTTTGGTGTGGACATACATTTTGAATTTGTTTGAGTAAATGCCTAGGAGCCCATTTTCTGGATCATAAGATAAGACTATGTTTAGTTTTATAAGAAACTGCCAGACTGTCTTACAAAGTGGCACTCCAACCAGCAATGAATCAGTTTCTGCTGCTCTGCATTCTCCTAGCATTTGAAATTGTCAGTTTTTTGGGTTTTAGCCATTCAAATAGATGCGTAGTAGTATCCCATGGTTCCTTATATTCCCAATAACAAATGATGTTACAATTCCCACTATTCCTGATAAAAAATGATATTGAGCATATTTTGATATGCTTATTTACCATCTGTATATCTTCTTCGGTGAGGTGTCCAAATCTTTTGCCCATATTTTTAATTGGGCTATTTGTTTTCTTATTGTTGAGCTTTAGGAGTTCAACATATATTTTGGATACAAGTCCTTTATCAAATGTGTGTTTTGCAAATATTTTCTCCTAGTCTCTGTTTTTTAAATGTACATAGCCATGTCTTTTACAGAGCAGAAGTTTTTCATTTTAGTAAAGTTTATCAATTTTTTTCTTCCCTAAGCCATTCTTTTGACATTGCATCTGAAAAGTCATCGCCAAACTCTAGGTCTCCTGGATTTTCTCCTATGATATCTTCTAGATGTTTTATAATTTTATGTTTTACATTTAGGCCTGTGAGCCACTTTAATTTTTGTGAACGGTGTAAGGTCAGTGTCTAGATTCATTTATTTCCATGTGGATCTCAGTTGTCCCAGCATCATTTGTTGAAAAGACCGTCCTTTCTCCATTGGATTGCCTTTGCTCCTTTGTCAAAGATCACTTTATTGCATTAGTGCAGGCCTATTTCTGGGCTGTCTGCTCTGTTGCATTAAATTTTTGTGAGTGTGTATTATTTCACCAATACCACACTGTCTTAATTATTATAGCTTTATAGTAAATCTTGAGGTTGGGTAAGGTCAGTCCTCTGAGTTTGTTCTTCTTCAGTATTATGTTGCTTATTTGGGGTCTTTTACCTTTCTGTATAAACCTTTGAATGAGTTTGTCAGTATCCCCCCTGACCCAAATAACTTACTTGCTGGGGTTTTGACTGGGGTTCATTGCATCTATAGATCAAGTTGGGAAGAGCTGACATCTTAACAATATTGAGTTTTCCTATCTATGAACATGAAATATCTCTTCATTTATTTATAACTTATTTGATTTATTTCATCACAGTTTTATAGTTTTCCTCATGTTTATCTTGGACATATTTTGTTAAATTTATTACTAAGTACTCTATTGTTTGGTACTAGTGTAAAAGATATGTTTTTATTTGAAATTCCAGTTGTTCATATCTGATATATAGGAAAACAACTGACTTAAATCTATTAACCTTGTATCCAACAAACTTGCTGTTATCACTTATTAGTTCCAAGAGTTTTTTGGTTGATTCTTTGGAATTTTCTAGATAAACCATCAAGTCATCTGTGAGCAAAGACAGTTTTATTCCTTCCTTTCCAATTTTGCATAACTTTTATTTCTTTTTCTTATCTTATTGCATTAGCTGTAATTTTCAGTATGATGTTGAAAAGGAGTAGTAGGAGGGGACATTCTTACCTTATTCCTTATTTTAGTGGGAAAGCTTCTAGTTTCTCACCATTAAGTATGGTGTTAGCTGTAGGTTTTGTTGTAGTTGTTCTTTATCAAGTTGTGGAAGTAACCGTCTATTCTTAGTTTGCTGAGAGTTTTTATTATATACAGGTATTGGATTTTCTCAAATGCTCTTCTACATCTATTGATATGATCATGTGATTTTTCTTCATCCTGTGGATGTGATGAATTACAATGATCGATTTTTAGACATTGAATCAGCCTTGCATATCTGGGATAAATCTAATTTGGTCATGGTGTATAACTATATGTATTGTTCTTTATACATTTCATACACTAGTTTGATTTACTAATATTTTGTTGAGGAATTTTTGCATTTATGTTCATGAGAAATATTGGCTATAGTTTCTTTTTTTTCTTATAATGTCTTGGTTTGGTTTTGATATTAGGGAAATGCTGGCCTCATATAATGTTAGGAACTATTCCTTCTGCTTCCATTTTGTGGAAAAGATGGTGGAGAATTGGTATATTTTCTTCCTCAGACGTATGGTATAATTCACCAGTGAAACATCTAGGCCTGGTGCTTTCTGTAGGGGCAGCTTATTAGTTATTGACTTAATTTTTAATAGATATTGCCTATTCAGGCGACCTATTTCTCATTGTATGAGTTTTGAAAGATTGTGTGTTTCAAGGAATTTGTTCATTTCATCTAAGCTATTAAATTTGTGGACACAAATTTGTTCATGTTATTCCTTTATTATCCTTTTAATGTCCATTGGATCAGCAGTGATGGCCTTTCTTTGATTTCTCATATCAGTGACTGCATCTGATCTCTTTGGTTAACTTGACTAGAGATTCATCAATTTTATTGATCTTTTCAAAGAATCAGCTTTAGTTTTCTCTACTGATTTCCTGTTTTTAATTTCATTGATTTCTGCATTGATTTTTATTTCTTTTTCCTGCTTATATTAGTTTTAATTTGTTCTTCTTTCTACTTTTCTAAGGTGAAAACTTAGATTACCGGTTTTAGAGCTTTCTTTTTTTTTTTTTTTTTTTTTTGAGATGGAGTCTTGCTCTGCGCCCAGGTCAGAGTGTAGTGGCACATCTTGGTTCACTGCAACATCTGCCTCCTGGGTCAAAGCAATTCTCTGCCTTGGCCTCCCAAGTAGCTGGGATTACAGGCACCCACCACCATGCCTGGCTAAATTTTGTGTTTTTAGTAGAGACGGGGTTTCACCATCTTGGCCAGGCTGGTCTTGAACTTCTGACCTCGTGATCTGCCCACCTTGACCTCCCAAAGTGCTGGGATTACAGGCGTGAGCCCCTGCACCAAGGAGATCTTTCTTTTTTTCTAATACATACATTCAATACTACAAATTTCTCTCTAAGCACTGCTTTCACTGCATTCCCACACATTTTGGTAAATTGTGTTTTCATTTTCATTTAGTTCAAAATGTTTTAAAATTTTTCTTTGACTCCTGTTATTTAGAAGGGTATTGTTTACTCTCCAACTATTTAAGGATTTCCCAGATATCTTTCGGTAATTTTTTTTTTTTTGGTCTAATTCCATTGTGGTCTGAGAGCATACTTCACGTGATTTTTATTCTTTAATTTTGCTGGGGTGTGTTTTGTCTCAGAATGTTGTCTTTCTTGGTGAATGTTTCATGTGGGTTTGAGAAGAATGTGTATTCTGCTGTAGTTGGATGAATTATACTGTAAATGTCAATTAGATTAAGTTAATAGATAGTACTGTTAAATGCAACTATATCCTTACTAATTTTCCCTGTGTTGGATCCATAAATTACTGATAGATGTGTTTTGGAGTCTCCTACTACAACAGTGGATTTTTATATTTCTCCTTGCAGTTCTGTAAGTTTTTGCCTTTTGCAAACTGACATCATTGTTAGACACATACACATCAAAAATTCTTACATCTTCTTGGAGAACTGACCCCTTTATTATTATTATGTAATGTCCTATTTATCCCAATAAGTTCCATTTTTCTGCTTTACCTGGAATTAATATAGCTACTCCAGCTTTCTTTTGACTAATTATAGCATGGTATATCTTTCCCTATATTTTAACTTTTAATTTGCTATATCTTTATATTTAAAGTGGACATTATAAATGGGAGCTAAACAATGGGTAAAAAAAAGAAAAAAGAAAAAAATGTAAAATAAAGTGAACAACATAGTTGGGTCTTATTTTTATTATCCACTCTTGACAGACTCTGTTTTTTAGTTGGTGTATTTAGGCCATTTACATTTATAGTAATTATTAATATAGTCAGATTAATATCTATCATATTTGTAACCATTTTCTATGTATTACATTTGTCTTTTCTTCCCTTCTTTTTCTGCCTTCTCTAGTTTCAATTGAGCATTTTATAAAATTCCACGTTCTCTCTTCTCTTACCATATTAATTATCTTTTTAGTGGTTGCTCTAGAGTTTGCAGTATACATTTAAAACTAACCTAAACCCACTTTCAATTAACACTATATCACTTCATGAGTAGTGCAAGTAGTTTATGGCAGAGTATTTCCAATTTTACACTCCTGTTCCTTATAACATCATTGTCATTTATTTTCCTTATATATGTTATAATCGCCAAATACATTGTTGTTATTATTTTTGTACAAACAGTTATCTGTTAGATAAATTAAGAAAAAATAAAAGGTTTTACTTTACCTTTATTTATTTCTTCTCTAACACTCTTCATTTATGTAGATTTGAGTTTCTGACCCATATCTTTTCCTTCTCTTGAATAACTTCTTTTAGCATTTTTCACAAAGTAGATGTACTGGTGACAAATTTCCTCAATTCTGTTTGTCTGAAAATATCTTTATCTCTTTTTCACATCTGAAGGATAATTTCTCTGGATACAGAATCTAGGTTGTTGGTTTGTTTCTTTTAACACTTGAAATATTTCTTCTCATTTTCTTCTTGCCTTAATGGTTTCTGACAAGAATGCTGATATAGGTTTTACCCTTGTTCCTCTATAGATAAGTTTATTTATTTATTTATTTATTTATTTATTTTTGAGATGGAGTTTCACTCTTGTTGCCCAGGCTGGAGTGCGATGGTGCGATTTTGGCTCACCACAACCTCTGCCTCCTGGGTTCAAGCAATTCTCCTGCCTCAGCCTCCCGAGTAGCTGGGATTACAGGCATGCACCACCATGCCCAGCTAATTTTTTGTATTTTTAGTAGAGACGGGTTTTCTCCATGTTGGTCAGGCTGGTCTCGAACTCCTGACCTCAGGTGATCTGCCCACCTCGGCCTCCCAAAGTGCTGGGATTACAGGCATGAACCACTGCGCCTGGCCAGTAAGTTATTTTTTAATCTGTCATGCAACGGACTGAATGCTTGTGTCCCTTCCCCATCAAATTCATGTGTTGAAACCCTAATCCCAATGTGATGGTAATTATAGGTGAGATCTTTGGGGAGTGATTGGGTCATGAAGACAGAACCTTCATGAATGGGATTCATGCCCTTATCAGAAAAGACCGGAGATCCAGCTAGCTTGCTTTCCACTATGTGAGGATACAATGAGAAGCTGGCAATCAGTCTTCTCAGCTTCTTGGCCTTTTGGGTAAGATCAAGTGAGAAGTTGGCAATCTTCAACCCAGAAGAGAGTTCTAACCCAACCATGGGGCACCCTGATCTTGGACCTTCAGCCTGAGAACTGTGAGAAATAAATTTCTGTTGCCACTCGTTCTACAATATTCTCTTATAGCAGCCCAAACTGACTAAGCCATCTTGTTTTTTTTTTCCGAAATTTTCTCTTTGTCTTTGGTTTTCTATAGTTTGAACACGATAGGTCCACATATTTTGGTATTTATCATGCTTAATGTTTTTCAACATTTCTGGTTCAGTGGTTTGGTGTCTGCCCTTAATTTTGGAAAATTCTCAGACAGTTACTACAAATATGTCTCCTGCTCCTTTCCCTCTTTCTTCTCCCTCTGGTATTTATATTACATGTACGATACAGCTTTTTATTTATTTATTTTTATTATATAGTTTTTGAGACAGGGTCTGGCTCTGTCACCCAGGCTGGAGTGCAGTGGTGCAATCTCAGCTCATTGCAACCTCTGCCTCCTGGGTTCAAGGGATTCTCATGCCTCAGCTGCCCGAGTAGTGAGATTACAGGCATGCACCACACCTAGCTAATTTTTTGTATTTTTAGTAGAGATGGGGTTTCACCACGTTGGCCAGGCTGGTCTTGAACTCCTGACCTCAAGTGATCCTCCCACCTCGGCCTCCCAAAGTGCTGGGATTACAGGCGTGAGCCACTGCGCCCAGCCTGATACAGCTTTTTTAACTGTTCCACAATCTTTGGATACTATGTTCCTTCTCTTAATTCTTATTTTAATTTGCATTCCAGTTTTGGAAGTTTCTATTTGCATCTTCAAACTCATTAATTATTTTCTTGGTAATGTCTAGCCTCTTGATCAATGGCATTTTTATTGCTGTAGGTGTTTTTGATCTTTAGTTTTTCCTTTTGATTATGTCTTAGAGTTTCTCTTTGATAATATTACACAGCTGCTCTTGCATGCTGTCCACTTTGTTCATTAGAGCCCTTAGTGTGTGTGTGTGTGTGTGTGTGTGTGTGTGTGTGTGTATTTTTTTTTTTTTCTTTGAGACAGAATCTCACTCTGTTGTCCAGGCTGGAGTGCAGTGAAGTGATCTCGGCTCACTGCAACCTCCACCTACCGGGTTCAAGCAAGTCTCCTGCCTCAGCCTCCCAGATAGCTGGGACTACAGGCTTGCACCTCCATGCTCAGCTATTTTTTTTTTCCTGAGACAGAGTTTCGATCTTGTTGCCCAGGCTGGAGTGCAGTGGCACGATCTCGGGTCTCTGCAACCTCTGCCTCCTGGGTTCAAGCAATTCTCCTGCCTCAGCATCCTGAGTAGCTGGGATTACAGGCTCGTGCCACCATGCCCAGCTAATTTTTGTATTTTTAGTAGAGATGTGGTTTCGCCATGTTGGCCAGGCTGGTCTCGAACTCCTGACCTTAGGTGATCCACCCACCTTGGCCTCCCAAAGTGCTGGTATTACAGGCATGAGCCACCATGCCCGGCCTAATTTTTGTATTTTTAGTAGAGATGGGGTTTTGCCATGTTGGCCAGGCTGCTCTTGAACTCCTGACCTCAGATGATCCACCCACCTCGGCCTCCCAAAGTGTTGGGATTACAGGCGTAAACCACCGCACCCAGCCAGAACCCTTAGTATATTAATTGTAGTTATTTAAAATTCCCAGCCTGGTGATTCCAAACTCTCTGCTGTATCTGAGTCTAGTTCCCTTGCTTGCTTTCTCTCTTCACACTGCCTTTTCTTGCGTTTTGGCATACCTTGTAATTATTTTATTGAAAGCCAGACATGATGCATTGCATAAGAAGAAGTGAGGTAAATAGGCCTTTAATGTGAGGGTTTATGTTTATCTGGCCAGGGATTACACTGTTTACCGTAGGTGTGGGTGTTTCTGGCTTCACTTTCCTCCAGCATCTTTTTTTTCTCTCTCTCTGTTATCTTTGGGTTCCCTAGGAAATTCTTAAATAGTCTAAGCCTTGCAGTTTTTCAGCTGTGACCCTCTGGAATTATACAGAAGCCTCTGGTGATGCCGGTAAGGTGTGGGAGTAGGGAAGCACTTTATTTATTTATTTATTTATTTATTTATTTATTTCAGATGGAGTTTTGCTCTCGTTGGCCAGGCTGGAGTGCAGTGGCATGATCTTGGTTCACTGCAGCCTCTGCCTCCTGGGTTCAAGTGATTCTCCTGCCTCCCAAATAGCTGGGATCACAGGCTCATGCCACCACACCCAGCTAATTCTTGTATTTTTAGTAGAGATGGGGTTTCGCCGTGTTGGCCAGACGGCTCTCAAACTCCTAGCCTCAGGTGATCCACCTGCCTCAGCCTCCCAAAGTGCTGGGACTGCAGGCATGAGCCACGGCGCCGGGCACTTTAGAATGCTGTAATTAGACTTCAGCCTGTGTTCTTGGGCTGTGACTTCTACAAGTGCTTCTCAGCAGCTTTTCCCCAACTTATGTGAGACAGGAGGGCTGGAGAGAGCTGGAGTGTGGTATTTCCCTTCCAACACTGGGAAGACTAGAGGGGGCTGGAGTTTGGTATTTTTCCTCCCCCACATTGGTTAGGCTCTGCTATGGCTTCAATGTTTGTGTCCCTGCCAAAATTATTGAAATGCAACCCCAAATGTGACAGTATTAAGAACTGGGGCATTAGGGAGATGATTAGATCAAGAGGCAGAGTCCTCAGGGATGAGATTAGTGCCCTCATAAAAGAGGCCCCGGAGAGCTATCTCGCTCCTTCCACCATGTGAGGACATAGCTGAAAGGTGTGTCTATGAAGACACAAGCTCTTACCAGGCCCCAAATCTGCCTACACTTTGATTTTGGACTTCCCAGCCTCCAGAACTGTGAGAAATAAATGTTTGTTGTTTATAAGCCAGGCAGCTTATGACATTTTTTGTTTTAGCCGCTTGAATGGACTAAGACAGGCTCTGATAATGTAGTTTCCCTTGATGGCAAGCAGAAGAGGGCTCTGGGTGTGTCTCAACAGGGTTACTTTTCTCCATCCCCTGCTGGAAACAGGAAGGGATTTTTCTGTGGTATTCACTGTGAGAATCTGCTGGAGTGCTTGGAGGTAAAACTCACAAAAGTGTGAGGGGTACCCTAAGATTGGCCATCTCTGGAACCTTTACCATCTAAGCTAGTCCACAGTCAGCCTCCAGAAATTCATCAATTACAGCTTCAGTCCTACCCATTTCTGGCTCTAGCATTTTCTCCGATTCTAGAAGCTATAATTCTATTTCCCTTTCTCTTCATTTTTCAGGGTGTCAGTTTGCCCCTGTGACCTCAACTGTCTGATTGATCTAAACAGCTTTTTCGTGCTGTGAGAATGAAAGTGATGGCTTTTTACACATACAAGCCGAAACCAGAAGTTTTTTTTCATTTATTTAATTCCAAATCTGTTTTATTTTACTTTTTACTTATCTATTATTATTATTTTTTAGACAGAGTCTTGCTCTGTTGCCCAGGCTGGAATGCAGTGGCGCGATCTTGGCTCACTGACATGGTCGCCTCCTGGGTTCAGACGATTCTTCTGCCTCAGCCTCCTGAGTAGCTGGGATGACAGGCACCCGCCACCATGCTCGACTAATGTTTTTTGTATTTTTAGTAGAGACAGGATGTCACCATTTTGGCCAGGCTGGTCTTGAACTCCTAACCTCAGGTGATCCGCCTGCCTTGGCCTCCCAAAGTGCTGGGATTACAGGCATGAGCCACAATGCCCAGCCTCAGATCTATTTTAACTCCTGCAAGATATTATTGCTATTCTGTTATACAATTGGTATCCATTTAGATGTACACACATATTTACTATTTTCTTTGTTCTTTACTCTTTTTTGTGCTATGCTTTTATTTGTGATATTTTTACTTCTGTCTGAAGAAAGCTCTTTGTTAAGTCTATTACAAATTAACTCTGTTAGTTTGTCTAAAAATGTCTCCATTTTTCTTTTGTTGTGGAAGAATATTTTTTCTGGACATAAAATTCTAGGTTGGCAATTATTTCCTTTTAGCACTCTGAATATATAATTTTGTTACCTTCTGCCCTTCTTTGCTTCTGTTGAGAGGTCAGCTGCCTTTTTAGTAGCAGTCTGCTGTATAGAAGATAATCTTTTTCTTTTGCAATGTCTTAAAATTGTACCTTTGTCTTTGGTTTTCAACAATTTCACTATCGTTTGACTAGATGTGTATTTCTTTGTGTTTATTATGCTTGGAGTTCATTGGGATTCCTAAATTGTGGATTAACATCTTTCAGCAAGATATGGAATCAACCTAAATGCCCATCAATAATAGACTGGATAAAACATGTGGTACATATACACCATGGAATACTAGGCAGCCATAAAAAAGAACAAGATCATGTCCTTTGCAGGGACATGGATGAAGCTGGAGGGCATTATACTTAGCAAATTAACACAGGAACAGAAAACCAAATACCACATGTCCTCACTTATAAATGGGAGCTAAATGATGAGAACACTTGGACACATAGAGGGGAACAACACACACTGGGGCCTTTTGGAGGATGGACAGTGGGAGGAGAGAAAAGATCAGAAAAAAATAAGGGTACTAGTGAGAGGTGAAGCCAGCTGGGCTTCTGTGTCCAGTGGGGACTTGGAGAACTTTTCTGTCTAGCTAGAGGATTGTAAATGCACCAATCAGCATTCTGTAAAAATGGACCAATCAGCACTCTGTAAAATGGACCAATCAGCACTCTGTAAAATGGACCAATCAGCACTCTGTAAAATGGACCAATCTGCAGGACATGGGCAGGGCCAAATAAGGGAATAAAAGCTGCCCACCCGTTAGCCAGCAAAGTCAATTTGCTCGGTACCCTTCCAGCGTGTGGGAGCGTCGTTGTTTTGCTGTTCACATCTTCACAATAAATCTTGCTGTTGCTAACTGTGGGTCCTTGCCACCTTTAAGAGCTGTAACACTCACCGGGAAGGTCCGCATGCTTCATTCTTAAAGGCGGTGGGACCAGAAATCCACCGGAATGAACTAACTATGGGCACAGTAGTCTTAAAACGTGGGTGATGGAGGGCAAAAAACTAGTTGATAAAATAATTTGTACAGTAAAGTGCTATGACACAAGTTTACTTGTGTAACAAACCTGCAGTTGTATGGGGGAACCTAAAGTTAAAAAAAAACATTTTAGGAGTACAAAGAAAAATGTTTTTTGACAGTTTGGAAAATTCTCAGTCACTGTCTTTAAGATATTGTTTGACCCATTTTTATCTCTATACCTTAGAGATTTTGAAAAAAAAAAAACTGTCAGAGCTGGGTATTGAATTCTGTATGCATAGGTGACCCTTTGGAGAACCCCGTTGGTTGTGACAGTCCATGGTGGCCCTGGCTCTTTCCAAGTCTTTCCCAGTCAGGGGCTCAGAGGCAGCACTCTTCCTGGAGAGTTAGGGAGGAGCAGGCAGAATCAGGGGTCCTGTCCTGTGGAGCCCTCCCTTTCTTGTTGATTTGGCTGGGAGATTCACTCCTGTGAGTTACCATTCACCAGCTGGAGAAGGTGGGCCGTGGTGAGTTTTGAAGGGGGTGATTCAGGCAGAAGACACAGTGAGAGGTGATCTTAGCTACCTAAAGCCAAGACAGCAGCCCTGGACAGGGGTCCTACTGTCAGGAACCTGCTCCAGCCTTCTGAATGGGACTTCAGGAAGCAGATTGCTCCAACACGGAACACTTACCGGCACCTCAGATGGTTAAGCTTGTGTTAATCGAGTTTTTCCCAAGTCCTCTGTTGTGATACTTTCGTTATGTGAAATATTAAGAGGTATTTCAGAAGAAAAAAGATCCTATGGGCAAATGAGTTTGAGGAATGCTGGGTTACAAGAAAGAAAAGGGGGTTCTTTGTGGCAGGACTTCTCAGAATTTTAATATCCTAATATGCATTGTGAATCTCCAAGAGGAAAATACAGGAAGCAGAGTTGCCCAAATTTAGTTCACGTGGAATCTTTTTTGTTGAGAATGCCTGAGCTCTAAGAGGCCGAGTTTAGAGAATATCACCTTTGGGCAGACGCAGTACTCTAAGAGCTATCTCTGAATCAGGAACCCCTCAAAGTGGACACCACGCCTTTTCATCTCAGCCAATTAAAAAAAAAGTTTAATTGGCCCCTTGGGAGGAAGGAGCTGGGCACCATGAGATGGAGAAACCTCTGCTAAGCAAAGTTTCCCAGGACTGGGGAGCATTTGGGACTAATTGTTAGCAATCCTTAACTAGGGTGTTATTTGCTCAAGAACCCAGACTGGAGTGCAGTGGCACGATCTCGGCTCACCACAACCTCCACCTCCCAGGTTCAAGCAAGTCTCCTGCTTCAGCCTCCTGAGTAGCTGGGATTACAGGCATGCACCACCATGCACGGCTAATTTTGTATTTTTAGTAGTGATGGGGTTTCTCTATGTTGGTCAGGCTGATCTCAAACTCCCAACCTCAGGTGATCCACCCACCTCGGCCTCCTAAAGGGATTACAGGCATGAGCCACAGCTCCCAGCCACTCAATTTCTGAATCAACTCGGGAAGAAGGAATGAGCTTTAAAAAGTAGAATGCCACATCCCTTCTTCTATTGCCACACTTTCCAGCACTTGTCCTACCCAAGCTCTGTATGCTCACACTCTCTACCTTTCTGTTAGCAGCCTTGCCTTGGCCTGTGTTTCAGACTTTTCCAAAGATTTTTTCAAAAGATAAAAATGCGAAGTCTTTGTGCTTATTTAAACAAAAGTTTCGGGTAACAATACTCTATTCCCAGAACAAAAGTTTCACTGCGATTTACTAGGTACAGCCAAATTTTTTTGGGGGGGTGGGTGCTTTGTTTTGCTTTATGGGTTATTGTAACCAATGGGGTAAAATTCAGATTTTAGAAGCGATAAAGCATTACTTAAGGACATGACACTAACAGGAGATCAACTTGAAGACTGTTACGAGCTCTCCCGTTCTAAGAGGGCATGAGGACACAGGAGATAGAAATAACGCCCTGGGCGCCAGGTGTTGAAGAGGGGTGCCATGCGTTGAGCTCTTCTAAACACTGAGACGTCTTCCCGTGTGGACTGTGAGGAGCCACAGCTGCCTACATGGGGCTCAGGAGCATCATTTTGTCCCCAAAGATCCTGTTTTCATGCAGTCTGCTGCTATCAACAAAAGAAGCTTGAAGTCAGATTGAGGCAAAATCATCTCTTGCCATTATTCCTGCCCACATTTCTTCTCAGGAACACAGACATCTTGAAGGAAGAAAAGGTCGAATCAACTTCCATATAATTGGACCCACATTTTGGGAATTTTGCCATCACTCCAGAGTGAAGACTTCAGAAGTGTTAGCCATGGTGTTGGGATTTGAAAGTCCTCCATTAGGTCCCAGCAAAGGGCAGAACGTTACACTCAGACTCTCAGGGATGCCAGCACAGTGACACACTGGGGCTTCTTACGTGCAGTTAGTGGAGTTGCGGATTAATGAGATGTTAGGAGTTTGATGAGAAGGAAAGCCAGCTCAGATAATGCTCTCTGCTAGGAATTTCCGGAAGCTCCAGCTGCAACCTTTACTCATGGCAGGATCCAGGACCAACCAGGTTTACAGCTACAAAGCTGTAACACAATGGATTATCTCCACTACAGAGTCACTGGTTTTATTTTCATTGTAGAGAGTATTCTGAAGATTAAAACAAAGAAACAAAAAACCATTAAATGCTTGGCAGGTTTTTAACCGTGTGTTTGTTATTCTAGCACATATCATCTGCCAGCACTGCAACACAACCCACTGAGGAGCAGAAAAAGCAGAAGGGAGGGAGGGAAGGGGGGGGAGAGAGAGAGAGAGAAAGAGAAAGAAAGAAGAAAGAAAAGAAAAAGTGAGAGAGAGAGAAAGAAAACAGAAAGGAGAAAAAAATGAAAAGAAGGTTCTTAGAATCAGACAGGAAGTAACTGTCCAATTTCGATCCTCCCACTGATAACTCCATGGCCGGTCCTCACAGGCCTGTGCCCTCCAATGGAGGATGGGGAGCAATAGAGGGGCCTCAGGAGGTCTCACTTCCTGAATCCTGAGCCGTAGGGTGCAGAAGAGTGGTGCAAAAAGACTGCTGCCAACGTTCACCTGTTGACGAGGCTGGGCGGCCTACGGAGAACGGCCAGCATATTTTGGCCAACTTGGATCTTAAGGCTCACCAGGAAGACCCTCTGCCTTCCAGACAAAGAGAGGAGTTTCCAAGACCCACGTTCCAAATATCCGACGACCTTATTTTCCTCCAAGTGGGGAAACCTACTTTATTTTTTTCGTCAGTCAGTGGAGAAATGGAAGCAGAGTTTACGGTAATCAAAAGTATTGATAGACCTCTATGTCTTTGCCTAATCTAGTTATCCATTTGTTTATTTTTGTAATTATCTTTTACAACGACACCAAAGATTTTAAATTATTCTCTAGCCTTCTTAATTCATAGAGACATTGTTCAATGAAATATAAATTTAATTTACAAATGAAGATTTTTTTAACCTACCACTTTTATTTCTTTATTTCAGAGATTCTGCCAACTGAGAATCAGTAGTACTAAGCTAGTAGTAGTAGTGCTAACTTATTTTAAATATATGTAAAGAATTCAACAGTATGCAAAGTGGAAGCCCACCTCTGCAGCCAATGCCAGGAGCAATATAATTTTTTGAACCAATATAAGCCTTACTTCAAATAAGACTTTGAAAAGGAAGGTTTTTGGATCAGAGCTTTCAGATCAGGATTCACAAAACTTTTGCTTGGCCAGTGCTGGCCTGAGCCCTTGGACTCCCATCCTGCCCCACACCTGCCCTCTGTCCCCAGCATTATTGTCCTCTTTCTTTGCCCATCGCCCGTCTCCAGCCTGGGAACCAAGCTCCAGCTCACAGGATGTTTCCCTGATGCCCTACTGTCTGTCATCTCCAACTCTAAAGTGCCCCCTTTCCTCAAGTCTGCTGCCAGGACTCCCATCCAAACTATATGCTCAGTTTGAAGCCCCATTACTCCTGGTTTTTTTTTTTTTTTTTAGACAGAGTCTCACTCTGTTGCCCAGGCTGGAGTGCAGTGGCATGATCTTGGGTCACTGCAACCTTTGCCTCCCAGGTTCAAGAGATTCTCCTGCCTCAGCCTCCATAATAGCTGGGATTACAGGCACCCACCACCACGCCCAGCTAATTTTTTGTATTTTTAGTAGAAATGGGGTTTCATCGTGTTGTGGCCAGGTTGATCTCGAACTCCAGACCTCAGGTGATCCACCTGCCTCGGCCTCCCAAAGTACTGGGATTACAGGCGTGAGCCACTGCACCTGGCCTCTTCTTTCTATTTTTTCTTTTTTCTTTTCTCTTCTTTTCTTTTTCTTTTATCTTTTTTTTTTTTTTTTTTTTTTTTTTTTTGAGGCAGAGTCTCACTCTGTTGCCCAGGCTGGAGTGCAGTGGCGTGATCTCGGGTCACTGCAACCTCTGCTTCCCAGGTTCAAGTGATTCTCCAGCTTCGGCCTCCATAATAGCTGGGATTACAGGCGTGAGCCACCTCACGTGGCCCATTACTCCCCTTTCTTTTGAAAGCTCCCTCTCCCTTTATGCTTTCCTCTTGCGTGTCAAAGCTGATTGCAGTGCTTCCTATAGTCTGCCTTGTATTTCAAATGTGTTTATATGAGCACTGGCTCCCCTACTAGCATGCAAATCCTCAAAAGTCATTTCTGAGTCATTCCCATATCTCCACACAGCACCAGCAGTGTCTGGAGCATGGGAGAGGTGATCTCAATGATAAATTCAATTAAATAGACTGTGGATATCAAGGAAGCAAGAAGCCAGGGCAAGTAGGTAAAGTCAAAAGACAAGTGACAAGCTGGAAAAAAATACTTTCCACTTCATTACAGTCAAAATTTCACCATATTTGGTATGTAGGAACAAGCTTTAAAAATAAAGAAAAAAGGCTGGGCACGGTGGCTCATGCCTATAATCCCAGTACTTTGGGAGGCCAAGGCAGATGGATCACCTGAGGTCGGGAGTTCGAGACCAGCCAGACTAACACAGAGAAACGCTGTCTCCACTAAAATATACAAAATTAGCTGAGCATGGTGGCACATGCCTGTAATCCCAGCTACTTGGCAGGCTGAGGCCGGAGAATCACTTGAACCCGGGATGCAGAGGTTGCAGTGAGCTGAGATCGTGCCGTTGCACTCCAGCCTGGGCAACAAGAGCAAAACTCCATCTCAAATAAAATAAAATAAAGAAAAAAGAGTCTCTAGAAAAATGAGCAAGAGATGTGGAAAGTTCACAGACACAGAAATACAGATGGCCCTTACACATGAAAAGATGCCAACCTTACTCATAGTAAGATAAATGCAAATTAAAACTACATTGACCTAACAGACGTCTAAGAGTATACTACACCCAACAACAAAATACACATTCTTATCATGTGCACATGGACCATTCTCTAGGACAGACCATATGCTAGGCCATAAAACAAGCCTTCATAAGTGTAAAAGGATTTTTAAAGCCATGCAAAGTATGTTCTCCAACCACAGTGGAATTAAATTAGAAATCAATAATAGAAAAAAAAATTGGACAGGCGTGGTGGCTCACGCCTGTAAACCCAACAATTTGGGAGGCCGAGGTTGGTGGATCACCTGAGGTCAGGAGTTCGAGACCAGCCTGGCCAATATGGTGAAACCCCATCTCTACTAAAAATACAAAAATTAGCTAGGCATGGGGTCACACACCTATAATCCCAGCTACTTGAGAGGCTGAGGCAGGAGAATCACTTGAACCCTGGAGGCAGAGGTTGCAGTGAGCTGAGATCATGCCACTGCACTCCAGCCTGGGCAACAGAGCAAGACTCAGTCTCAAAAAAAAAAAAGAAAAGAAAAGAAATTTACAAATTCAAAAGTAAGTGGACATTAAATTACATACTTCTAAGTAACCAGTGGGCTAAAAAAGTCACAAGAAAAGTTATAAAATATCTTAAGATGAACAAATATGAAAAACTATATTGGATGCAGCTAAAATAGTGCTCAGAGGGAAATTTATAGCTGTAAACACCCGTATTAAGAATGAAAGATCTCAAATAAATAACCTAACCTTCAACTTTAGAAAATAGAAAAAGACAAGCAAACTAAATCCAAATCAAGCAGAAGGAAGAAAATAAGACTAGCGTGGAAATAATAAAATAAAGCGTAGAAAAACAATAGAAGAAATTAATGAAACCAAAAGTTGATTCCCTGGAAAGGTCAACAAAATTGAAAAACCTTTAGCTAGACTGGCCATCTAAACAACAGAGAAGACTCAAATTGCTAAAATCAGGAATGAAAAAGGGGCATCACTAATGATTTTCTAGACATATTAATACAAAGGATCATAAGGGAATACCATGAATAACTGGATGCCAACAGATTTTAAAACCTGGATGAAATGGACAAATTCCTGCAAAGACAAATTACTGAAACTGACTCAAGGAGAAACAGAAAAATCTGAACAGACCTATAAAAAGTAAAGACATTGGAGTAGTAATATTTAAACTTCCCATAAAGAAAACCACAGGCCCAGATGGCTTCACTGGTAAATTCTACCAAACTTGTAAAGAAGAATGAAGACCAATCTTTCACAAACTCTTACAGAAAATATAAGTGGCGGGGAGTCATTGCCCAACTCATTTTATGAGGCCAGTTTTACCCAGATATCAAAACCAGACAACAATATCCAAAAAAATGAAGACAACTATATTGCAAAACTATATTGAGAAACCGTTTCTTAATAAGATTGGCAAAATTCTAAAAGTGTAACAACGTATTTTGTTGGTGAGGCTGTGGGAAAACAAGGACTCATAAAATCCCACTGGAAATGCAAAATGCTACAATCTCTATGAAGGGAAGTTTTGCAATATAAGCAAATTTCATATTTATACCCTTAATCCCAGCAATCTCACTTCTCGGAATCTAGCCTAAAGATTACAGACAAATGCAAAAGGACATGTGGCAAGACTTTTTGTTGCTGTGCTATTTGTAGAGACCAAGAGCCACTCAAGTGCCCATTGACACGGGTCTGGTGAAATCAACTCTCATGCATCCACTCAGGGATTCGGGCCACACAGCTGTCAAAAGAAATGAGAGGCAGCCATGTCACCTCCAAGAAAAGTGGAGAAGAGAAGTGCCAAAGGCAAAGCAGAGAAAAGTGTGTAAAGTCCTCTACCATCTTTGTGAGAAAGAGGCGGAGAGAAACAATACATATATATTTATACTTAAAAAGTGAAAGGATAAAACAATAATTTTTTTTTAAGTTTACTTGTGGCGGCCAGGCGTGGTGGCTCACACCTGTAATCCCAGCACCTTGGGCAGCCGAGGCGGGTGGATCACCTGAGGTCAGGAGTTTGAGACCAGCCTGACCAACATGGTGAAACTGTCTCTACTAAAAATACAAAATTAGCCAGGCATGGTGGCACGTACCTGTAGTCCCAGCTATTTGCAAGGCTAAGGCAGGAGAATCCCTTGAACCCAGGAGACAGAGGTTGCAGTGAGCTGAGATTGCACCACTGCACTCCAGCCTGGGCAACAAGAGCAAAACTCCATCTCAAAAAAAAAAAAAAGAAAAGAAAAAGGTTTACTTGTGGGGAAAGAAGAATGAGGGAGAAAGACAGATGCCACAGCCAGACTACTCTGAAAGAATCTTGTTTGCAGATTGGACTTTGCCAAAATGCAAACGTTTCACTTAATTATAAAACAGACTTATATTTAAAAACTAATTCCTAAAACAATGCATGGAAATCCAATGGAAAATTCAATGAGTGAATCTTACTGGAAATCTGCCTTTAGTGTTAGTGCTATTGTTATTTGCTCAGACAGCTCACTAGACACATAATAATTCTCAGACATTGCCAGCGTCTCCCCACAGTCCTCGGATACTGTGTTCCCCGAACTCGCTGTGTATCAAGTGTGTAGAATAACCACACAGAGAATAATAACTTTAAGTTCTTGAAAAAACCTAATAGGACATATGCAAGGTGAAAAAGAACAACAAAACAGTCTTTTAAACTGCTTCCAGTACTGTTAGCAATATGGGTGTGTTACTTGAAACTATATTCAGGATAAAGCAAAAGAGAAAGCTTTTAATGTCATTAGGAATAGGGCTTTTAGCATAAGCAAAAAGAGACACAAACATGAAATCAAGGAAGTTAAGTAAAATCCCTCTGTTTCTAAATTTGAATTGAAAATTATCATGATGCATTTTCTTTACAGATGCACGCGCGCGCGCGCACACACACACACACACACACACACACACACACACACACAGAGACACACAGCTTCATAGTTCCGCCTGCTGAAAAGGCTCAGAAACAATTCAGTTCAGAAGCAGATCCTAGTTTCTGAATACTGTTTCTCACTCAAAGGAACCAGGGCTCCTTGGAGAAGTGCCTGAGCCTAGATCTGCGGCAAGAAATGTACAAGATGATCCCAAACATCTTTGCATTCCAGATAGCAAAGAGGCTCTCAGAGATTCCTGGGGTGGCGTCAGAAGGATTCAGGAGGCTTTGTGAAACTGGGACCATGTGAACAATAGTAAGAAAAATAACTGCTGTGGATTTAAATGCATCAAATATGTTCAAATCCATGAATTTATACTGACACTCTGAAGAAAAGGAATGCATTAGTCACATTGGAATGAGGCCAAGGAAGCAACCAATTCCACTGGAGATGGAAACCTTTTTCTTGCCTTTCCTCTGCAAGCTGTGCCTCAGAGTGACCAAATCTGCCCAGGGAAAGTTTCTATTTATGGATGAATTCCAGCTAACAAATAAAGAAGAGTCGACCTAATTAGAAGATCACCATTTTGCAGCTGGGCATGGTGGCTCACACCTGTAATCCCAGCACTTTGGGAGGCCAGGGTGGGCGGATCACAAGGTCAGGAGATTGAGACCATCCTGGCCAACACGGTGAAACCCAGTCTCTATTAAAAATACAAAAAAATTGGCCGGGCGTGGTGGCAGGCACCTGTAGTCCCAGCTACTCGGGAGGCTGAGGCAGGAGAATGGTGTGAACCTGGGAGGCGGAGCTTGCAGTGAGCCAAGATGGCGCCACTGCACTCCAGCCTGGGCAACAGAGCAAGACTCCGTCTCAAAAAAAAAAAAAAAAAAAAAAAAAGGAAGATCACCATTTTGCAAGTCCTAGGGATATCATGGCCCTAGACAGTCATCACCAAAGTCCGCCGGCATTGCAAAAGAGATGTCTCCTAACAGAAGGACACACTACCACCAAAAAGTCTTATTGCAAAAGTCCACCTTGAATCTGAACAGGTTTCGAGACTAACTATTGGTCAGGAAGTGCAGGGAACAAAGGAGCATGAGAAACAATATTGCTGGCTCATCTCAGAGTCCAACCAGGACCCTTGGGCCTCCACCTGGGGTGTCCCCTGCTAGCCTGGGGATCTCCCATGACCTCATCAGGGCCCCACACAGGTGAGCATACAGGTCACTGTCCCCACACTCTCACCAACTGTGACCGCCAGCCGGCCTCTTATTCCCTCTGAGGAATGTGTCCTCATGGCTCCCCCATGAGGAGAAGGACTGCACCCCCGCAGCTGGGTGAGGAGTGAGTGGTCAGTATCCACCCTTCACGGTGGTGTTCTTGTGTCCTCAGACGGCTCCACAGACACATAATGATTCTCAGACCTTACAGCGTCTCTCCACAGTCCTCACACACTGTGTCCATGCACCAGGTCATCCAAGTGACTTCATGGGGGAGGATGCCTCTGGAGAGTGGACAGTCTGGTGAGAACCCCTTTTCCCCACAGCTGCAGCTCAACACCGCCCAACAGAAATACAAGGTGAGCCATAGCTGTGAGCCACAGAGCAGAGGCAATTTTAAATTTTCTTTTTTTTTTCTTTTTCTTTCTTTCTCTCTTTTTTTTTTTTTTTGGATACAGAGTCTCACTCTGTCACCCAGGCTGGAGTGCAGTGGTGTGATCTCAGCTCACTGCAACTTCCGCCTCCAGGGTTCAAGTGATTCTCCTGCCTCAGCCTCCCGAGTAGCTGGGATTACAGGCACCCACCACCATGGCCGGTTATTTTTTATATTTTTAGTAGAGATGAGGTTTCACCATGTTGGCCAGGCTGGTCTCGAACTCCTGACCTCAGGTGATCCACCTGCCTCAGCCTCCCAAAGTGCTGGAATTGCAGGCGTGAGCTGGGCCAATTTAAAATTTTCTAGTAGTCAGTTTTGAAAAGTAAATAGAAGCAGGTGAAAAAAATTAATAACATTCTATTCAACCCAACATGTTCTAAATATTTCAATGTGCAATCGATTATTATCACAAGTCTTGGCAATCCCGTGTATATTTTACATTCGGAGCATATCTCAATTCTGACTGGCTCTGTTTCCAGCACTCCATAGCCACGCGTGGCCTGTGGCCACTGTGTGAGACATCTCAGCTCCCAGTTGCAGGCCACACTGCATGGACCCTGGGGAGGAGGGGTGTTCTCTTGGGGAAGGATGGGGCTCCCATTGTTTCCATCTTATCTGAACCTGAAAAAGAGCTTATTTGTCTAGTGAAGGGCCCACTGCCTGGAGAGCCACTGACTGGCAGCCGGTCGGGCTGGCCATTGGTGCTGACCACAGAGCCTCCACACCTCCCAGCCATGGCAGTGCCGGCCATCAGCTCACTTCCCCATGTGGTCTTTCCCCACTGCTCCCAGACTGATTTCAGATGCCCCGGATTGCCCTGACTGTGCCTTCAGAATTCCGGCCACGTAGCACCCTCCCTCAGCCCCCGGAAGGGTTCCCGCTGAAGCCGTGACTCTCTCAGGCCTCAGGAGCCAACACCAGTTCAAGAAAGAAGACTCGGGAGCCAGGCCAGGGAGGCTGCTGCGGTCATTGTGCGCCCAGGGGCTGTGCGCGCTCCAGCAAAGCACGTGGGAGCCACTCACCAGACCCTTTGCACGCCCACTCTGCGGTGACAGACCCTGAGAGAAACGAATGAAAGCAAAGACAGACCCAGAAAATGGCCTGGCACATGTGCTTCCGTCAGAAGTTCAGAGATTCCCTGAGCCCCAGGCTGTCTGCCAGGCATTGGGTGGGGGAGTGAGCCCAGCCTCCAGCTTCAGGACTCTACATATGGGCAGAACTTGACAACCTGGGCACTCCCACTCCACCCCACCTGCTCTCTGGGCAAGCCACCCTCTCACATGACTCAGAGTCCTCATCTGTAAAATGGGAACACCCCTAATTGCCCTTACGTCCAATCTGTCTGCTCCTCTGTGAGAAGCGGGAGGCGGACAATGCCCAAGAGCCTCAGATGCTGGGGAAGACCCAGCCCCTCTGCAGAGAGGGATAGTTCAGGGTTTGGGTTTTTTCTTTCCTCCTGGGCTGAGAAAGCTCATGGAAAGCTGGAATAACCACGCATACTGTTACAGCAAATCCAACAGAGCTCCCACCGTGGTGGTTTTCAGGTGACTGTGGATGCCAAGCAGGCAAGCTCCTGGTGAAGGGGGGAGAGCAGGGATTAGAAGCACTCAGAAGGGGCTGAGAGTCATGTGGGGCTCACACTGCATTTGCAGCTGGGTTCACCCTGACCTCAGGCCCAACTTAGATGAGGAAGGATTAGCAGTAATTAGTGCCATGTGCCGCCTTCTCCCAGCTCCCCGGGGCACGAACACTGCCCAGCTGATGAGGGGATTCTGAAAGAACCATTATGTCCAATTGTCTCAATTATGCAAACCCTGCTGACATTTCCAGCCAGGGAAGGGCGGCTGGGTGGGAGGGGGCCATGGCGGGGCCACTTCAAAGGAAAAGCTCTAGCTCCCCTACCTCTCTCACATCCTAAGGCTGCCTTTGTGGGATTCCACACAGAACAGCCTGGAAGCTTGGGGCCCTGGCTTCCTTTTCTGGCCTGGGAGTCAGGTCATGGGGCCATCGCTTCACAGCAATCATGAGGGCCCAGGCCCAAGTGCTCACATGCTCCTCATGGGGACTGCTCCTCTTAAAGGGTGGGCCCTCCTCACCCAGCTCCCTGCCCTGGCCAAGGAGGAGGCTGAAAGAGCCTGAGCTGTGCCCTCTCCATTCCACTGCTGTGGCAGGTAAGCTCAGATGCGGGTAAGCACAGGTGAAGGGAGGTCAGGTGCAGGTATCCTCAGGTGTGGGTAAACTCAAGCGTGGACAAACTCAGGTGCAGATAACCACAGATGCAGTTAAGCTCAGGTGTTGGTAACCTCAGGTGCAGGTAGGCTCAGGTGCAAGTAAGAGCAGGTGCAGGCAAGCTCAGGTGTGCTTTCTGGGGCCTGTTACTCATCTCCTCTTGAGGCTGGCTGGACAGGACCCTATGGAGCAGCTGGTGAACCTGTGTTCAGCCTGGGTTCCAAGAGGCTGTCTCAGCAGAAGGGACCCACCAGGTTGATTCACAGAGGGGATAAGTACTCTGTCAGCTGGTCTCAAAGAGGCTGAAACCCTCTGAGCTTCCCTCAGGGCCAGCTTCTAAATCCAGGTGCCAGGGATCTGCTCAGGAGCCCCGGCTCCAGGCCTCAACCTCTTGCCTGTCATTCCTTAGCATCTTACTTTGCTTCAGGGAAAAGGTGCACCTTCCTTAGAACCCCAGAAAATGCTGAAGTTCTAGGAGAGACAGGGTTTATACTTGTAAGCCTTTATCAGCTGATATTTCACCTGTGAAAGCCTTGGGGAAGAGATTGGTTACACGGAACAGGATCAGGAGGGGAGATTACTGCTCCCTCTCACTGCTGGGAGCAGTGCAAACTGGTTTCTGGAAGGCAGTTCAACAACATGCAGC